>NC_000004.12:3280533-3587030 GCF_000001405.40 Homo sapiens
CATGCCCAAGGTAGCACTGACCAGCAGGGCTTCAGGAGGGTCCTGGAGGAGGCTTGTGGCTGGGAGCCTGGGAGAGAAGGAGAATGAGGGCCTGGGACCCCTTGGGATAGGGGTGAGACACTGACCTCGGTCTCCCAGGTAATGGCACGCAAGGATCAGGATCAGGAACTTGGAGGAATGGAGTAGGTGTGGTGAAACGTTGGCAGCTAGGTGGGTAGGGGGTGGATTCCAAATTGAAGGACAAATGGCAACATCACCAGGAGGCCTCACTTCCCCAGGGCAGACACTACCTGGCCTGGGGACCCAGTGTACTCCCTGCCCCTCAGGAAGAAACTGCATGGAAGTCTACCCTGTAACATTCGATCTACAGGGGCGGAGATGGAAGAGCCTACGAATTTTTTTTCCCCAAGGGCACGTCTTAATCTTTACATGGCTTGGGGTGGCAGAAGACTGCAGCCTTACAGGCTTGAGGAGTCAGAAGATAAGAGTCCAGGTCTAACAGGAACAACAGAGTGAACTGAACAGAGCTTTTAGCTGCTGCCCATCGTGGGGGAGACAGAGTTTGGGATTTGAGTCCAGTGAAAATACGTTTCTCTTAGAAGAAAATCAACACTTCTCAGATAAAGATAATAGAATCCAGAAGTTCTACAGCAGATCATTAATGATATCCAGCATACAGTAAAAAGTGTGAAGAAACAGGTATGTAACCTGTTCTCTAGAGAGAATGCAGACAATGGAAACTGACCCAAATGACCTACATATTGCAATCAGCATGCCAGAATCTTTTTTTTTTTCTTTTGAGACAGAATCTCACTCTGTTGCCCAGGCTGGAGTGCAATGGTGCAGTCTCGGCTCCCTGCAACCTCTGCCTCTCGGGTTCAAGCAATTCTCCTGCCTCAGCCTCCCAAGTAGCTGGGATTACAGGCACCTGCCTTCATGCTCAGGTAATTTTTGTATTTTTGTAGGGACAGGGTTTCACCATGTTGGTCAGGCTGATCTTGAACTCCTGAGCTCAGGTAATTCACCCACCTCAGCCTCCCAAAGTGCTGGGATTACAGGCATGAGCCACTGCACCTGGCGCAGCATGCCAGAATCTTACATCAGCTGTTCTAAGTATGTTCAAGGACTTAAAGAAAAACATTCTTATAAGGAATGAACAGACGGGAGAATTTAAGAAGAAAAACATATGCTATAAAAAGAATCAAATGAAAATTTAAGAAATGAAAAATACAGTAACTGAAATGAAAATTTCACTGCATAGGCTTAGAAGTGGATTGGATATGGCTGAAAAGAAAATCAGTGAATTTGAAGATACAGCAATAGAAATGGCCCAGTCTGAAGCATCTGGATAAAAATGATTGCAGCAGCATGAACAGAGCCTGGGCACGTGTGGGCACCATCATGTGGCAGACTGCATGTGGAACTGGGACTGCAGAAGGAGTTGAGAGAAATGAGGTAGAAAAAATGGTTGAAGAAATAAAGGTGACAGATTTCCAAAATGTGGTGAAAAACATAAACTAAACATCCAAGAAATCCAACAAACCCCACACAGGATTATTAGAAAATCGCACCCAGAAACATCATAGCCAAAATGCCGAAATCCAAACAGAAAGAGAAAAATCTTGAAAATAGCCAGAAACAATGACCTTACATGAAAAGAACAATGATGCATATTTTGGCTGACTTTTCATCAGAAATAATAGTGGTCAGAGGACAATAAAATGACAACTTTGCTTTTTTTGTTTTTTGTTTTATTATTATTTTTTTGAGACGGAGTCTTGCTCTGTCACCCAGGCTGGAGTGCAGCAGTGTGATCTCAGCTCACTGCAAGCTCCGCCTCCTGGGTTCACGCCATTCTCCTGCCTCAGCCTCCCAAGTAGCTGGGACTACAGGTGCCCGCCACCACGCCTGGCTAATTTTTTGAAATTTTAGTAGAGACAGCGTTTCACCATGTTACCCAGGATGGTCTTGATCTCCTGACCTCATTATCCATGTGCCTCGGCCTCCCAAAGTGCTGGGATTACAGGTGTGAGCCACCACGCCCAGCCTGCTTTTTTAAAAAACAATTTGGCAACATGCGTATGTATCTGGAAAAATATACTTCGTTTCATCTGTTTTTGAACCTTCTATAAATAGAATCATTTTGGCGTGTTCTGCTTTTTTCACTCAGCATTCTTCTGTGATTCATCCGTGGTGATGTCTACAGCAGCCTGCCATTTGCTGTCCCAGCTGTGTAGTCTCCAGTGCATTTTAGTGTCACACTGAGCCCATTCCCTTACTCACAGGTGTGTGAGTAGGTTCACTTCGTAAATCCATGTATGTTGCCTATGAAATTCTGCATTGACCGTCTGGGTCTCTTTCACCTGTGCTGGGCCCCCCTCCCTTCTTCAGAGCTGCTCTGCATTCTGCTTTGTGCCCGAAGGCCGACCTCTGCGAACTGCAGCCACCAGGCTCCCTTTCCTTCTGGCTTCTGGTTGGCTTTGGCCAGTGGGATACACCAGCAGAGATGGGAGCAGGAGGGCTGTGCTCTCTCTGGAGTCTGATAGCCCTTCGTTCCCTGAGCCTCGGCGGCCCATAGTGCTCTACTGTTGCCCGACCTGGGCTACCTCACTGCCCCCAGCATTTCCCTTAACCTTTCCACAGGTTTGTAAACAAGCCCCTCATTCAACAAACCTTAATCACTCCTTTTGAGTGTGCTATCTGTTTCTTGATTGATAGAGGAATTAATACCAGGAAAGGCCCCAGGAAACAGATTCTCAAAATGGGATTCGAAGGCTGGAATGCTCACATATTTGATGGCTACACAATAACTTCCTTAAGGGGGAAGCTGGGGCCTTAAGAATTCACTGCACACACAGGCATCACGATCACTCAGATGACTACCAGGGCAGGCATGGGTGAGGCCATGGTGTTGGGAGATGCCTGTGGAACTTAGACGCTATGACGACAATGGAGATGTGAATATTGGGTCAAGATAGAACATCCATTGAGATGAAGACAAATTGGAGGGCTTGAATCCCAGCAGAAGGCACAGGTGGAAAATCAGAAGACCTCTGTGATAGCGCAGAAGGGTTTCCTCATCTCCTGGAGCCATAGGACAGACAGGGCAAGAGTCAGGTGCAGGGCCTTGTGGAAGGGGCGGCACAGGTGAACCCTCTTGGTAGGTTCAGGGCACAGGTGGGGAAGGAGTGGGCTCCTAAGGCGTGGGGTGGGGACTTCTCGACAGAAAGATGAAATTAAACTTTGAAGCCACTGCAGGAGGCAGCCCAGACTCCAGCCTGAGAGGACGAGCCTTCCCTTGTTTTCAAAGACTTCACCTCCCACCCCCTGCCCGTTGGGATTTGCTGCATCCCAGCGTAATCTGGACAGAGAGGCGAAAGGTTGCTCTGGGCCAAGGTCAACAATCTGTAGGAGCAGGCGTTTGGGGACACAGGTGGAATGGGGTTCCAGGAGTGCCAGGCTAAGCAGGAAGCCGTACGGGACTGCACTGGCTGATGGCATCCACCTGGGTTTGGGAATTGGGTTGTTGGCTTGAGCCCCAGGGGCGGCATGAGCAATCTGCTGGGCTGGCTGAAGCCCAGCTCACCCTGGCCAATGGGAAGCGCCAGCAGGATGCCCTGGAGGGGAGGGCTGAAGGGCGGGTGTGGGGGTGAATCTGTGTGTGCTGGCTGCTCAGCTGCTCCCTAAACTACCCCACCGCCCCGCTGGGCGACATTAAGAAACATCCGGCGGGGCGCATGGCTCATGCCTGTAATCCCAGCGCTTTGGGAGGCTGAGGCTAGGAGTTCAAGATCAGCCTGGCCAACATGGTGAAACCCCTCTCTACTGAAAATCACAAAAATTAGCCGAGCATGGTGGCAGGTGCCTGTAGTCCCAGCTATTTGGGAGGCTGAGGCAGGAGAATCACTTGAACCTGGGAGGCAGAGGTTGCGGTGAGCCGAGATTACGCCACTACACTGCAGGCTGGGCAACAGAGCGAAACTCCATCTAAAAAAAAAAAAAAAAAGCATTCAGTGAGGGCCGGCACGGTGGTGCATGCCTGTAATCTCAACACTCAGGAGGCTGAGGTAGGAGGATGGCTTGAGTCTGGGAAGTTGAGGCTGCAGTGAGCTGTGATCCCACTGCTACACTCTAGCCTGGGCAACAGGGCAAGACCCTATCTCAAAAAAAAAAAAAAAAAAAAAAAAGGACTATCCAGTGGGAGGCAGAGGTAGCAGCCAGGCCACGGTGCTCAGTGTTTGGTCGAATGCCAGTCTAGATGTCACCGTGAAGGTATTTTTTAGATAAGGTTAACATTTAAGTCAGGGAACTGCACGTGAGGCCAATGACCTTCCACGGTGTGGGTGGGCCTCATCTGAGCAGTTGAAGGGCTTGAGAGGAAAAAGGCTCCCAAGGAGGAGGGAAGGCTGCCAGCACGGTGCTCTGGACTTGAGGGGCGGCGGCAGCTCCTCCCCAGGTCTCCAGCCAGCCAGCGCCTCCCTGTAGAATGCAGACCTGCCGGCCCCCACCAGCCCATGCATCAATTTCTTAAAATCAGTCTCTCCCCTTCCTCTCTTTCTGCATCTCTGTCTATCTGCACACCCTACTGGATTCTGTTTCTCTGGACAGCACTGATACGGAGAGCCCCATAGCATTCTTGGGGCATTTGCAGAAAAGTGGCCCCCACTGAGGACTTGACAGGTGGCCCAGCTGGTGGGTCTTGTCTGGATGGTGGGACAGCAGAGGCAGGGAATCCGGACCTGCGGGCTGGCTGCAGTAAGGGGAGACCGAGGCGGCCGCTCAGGCAGCGTGCGGAAACCATTCCTTCAGCTCCCGCTCTCTATTCATAGCAAGTGCTACGGCTCCAGCAGAGGCCTGTTTTGGGGGTCATGACTGAAGTGACCAGAGCAATGTGAGGGACAAAGGGTGTGCCAGGGTGGCGTGGCTGGGCCTCTGGGAGCACGGGGGCCTGGAAGGAAGGGGGACTGGTGCCCAGCGCTCTGCTACACCTCCCTTTGTCCTGTAAGTCCTGTGTCCGTGGCCTCCTCAGCCCTGGAAGCTCCCAGGGCCCAAGGACGCAGGCCACGTGGTGGCCTCCAGGACCCGAGCCGCGCGCTTAACCTCTCGGGCTGGGTCCGGCGGGCTGCCCCGCCCCGGAACAAGCCCCAGCCCCACTGTCACCGTTGGGGGTGAGCTCGAGGTGGTGCCTCCCGGCTCCTCCTCATCCCCTCTGCCCCCACCCCAGTCCCCTTCCAGAGCAGACTTCTGTCGACTGGCTGGTCAGAGCCACCAGGCTGTGTCCTGGCACAGGAGTTGTGCATGGGCGGGACTCTGGGTTCTCATGCCCTGGGGAGCGCCCGCGCCTGGGGCAGGGCTCCGTAGACTCCTTTGTCACCCCTCAGCTTCGCCGTGAGGAAAATGTCCTGCAAACACCAGCCCAGATGGAGGGAGCCACGGCTTCACCACTTCCTGCCGGTGTGCCGGGCTGCGCTCCAGGGACCGCTGGGGCCGTCACCAAAAGAACGGAGCCCAGGGAACGTGGAGAGGAGCCCAGATGCCTGAGGTGAGCAAGGCAGTGCCTCCGTCCAGCCTGGCATGTCCTTCTGGTTATTCGTGAGGCCACCACAGGGAGGGTCACCAACTGTCTGTTTTGCCTAGGACCGAGGAGGTTCCAGGGGTGCAGGACCTTTGATGCTTAGAGCCAGGAGAGGCCACTCGGCCACCCTAAGGGCAGGTCTTCTGCCCCAGGCCGCGTGTGGTTTCTTTCGACACACTGAGGAAGCCTTTCTCCTGAGATCACCAAATGCAGCCTGCCCGGTTTCTGTTCCCCATTACTGCGTATGCGGTGGGCAAACCTCCTCCGGCCCTGAAAGCTCCTGGCTGCCTGGGGATTTTCTGTGTGCTCCTACATAAAAAGCAGCTTCTGTCACTCAACTGGCAAATACAGTCTCAATTCAGAGTCAGTCCAAATCCATTACCCTAACCCTGAGATATTAATCCAAGCTCCATTCTTGGTTTAAAGCCAGCCCCTGTGGGCCCTGCTCCCCCGGCCTCCTGGGGTGGAAGCCTGTGCTGGGGGCTGCGGTGTGGGGTTTGCTCTCCTCCCTCCCGCAGGTGGATGCAGGGCGAGGGAGTGAGGAGGAATGAGGGTCAGGGGCAGGAAAGGCAGCCTGTGGCAGCCAGGCGGGGCCAGCGCTGCACACCGGGGAAAGGCTCAGCGGGAACGTGTTCCCAGCACTTTGTCTCCCCAGGCCTCAGTTTCTGCATCTGTAAACGGGCATGTGCAGGGTTGTGAGAGGGTCAGAGAGCCCCCGTCAGGCCCTTAGTGCGCTGCTAGGCACCGAATGGGAGCCCGGTCAGCAGTGCCTGCGGGAGCCGACGCTGCTCCGGCAGGATTGAGTGGAATTCCGCCCAGGCCGGGAGCTCCCTCGGGCTGGGGAGGCCTCGGGGACCTGGCTATGATGGTGATCTGGGACTTGATGGGTGAATGGGTTGGGGCCAGCATCAGCTTTGGGCATATATTAGGGAGTTACTGAGGAAGACAGAGAAAAAGGGGCACCTAGTTCTTTTATAATCCTCCGGGAAAAGGTGAGCTCTGAGCGCTACCTGCTCACTGAACAGCGGAAGAGCGAGCAGCGCCCAGGCCCCGACGCTGTGCAGAGCCCCGGGAGGGCGGCGTTTGCGTGATTGTTCAAGGTGGACTCGAAGAGCAACATTTAAAACATTTCCGATGTCATTTTCTTGTTTTGAGGCGATGCTTTCTGATTTATTTCACGTTTATTTTCTGTAAAGGAAAACACCCTCCTAAACATACATTTTCTCAAGGCACATCACATGGTCTGAAAAAAAAAACAAAAAAAGGACATCTTCTCCAAATTGGTATTCCTCCAGCTGGAGCAGCTCTGTTGCTGCCAAGCTTCGGTTCTTTGACAAGAAGAGACATTTCAAAGCCGGGTCCCACAGGAGGGGTTCACGCCACACACGTGGCCAAGCCCTTCCTGATTCCTGAACCTGCCCCTGCCCGCTGGCCTTTGGGACCTCCCCAGCCCCTGGCCCTGGCGGCCCGAGGAAGTTCTGTGTAGGAATAATATGGTCTACTTAATTAATGCATATTTTATTTGGTGACAACGTCCCTAATTGCCATGAGCTCTACTTAGTAACAATATGCTCTATTTAATTAACTTTGTGTATTCTGGTTAAAAACATTATGCTTCATTTAATTTATTTCATCTGCTCACTGATGGTGAATTCCACAACACGGGCACAGGAGGCTGCCCCACCTGGAAGGTAGTCCCGGGACAGAGCATTTCAGATGTGGCAGAGTGCAGGCAAGGGGCTGGCAGGCTCATTTGTCCCACGGGGCCTGGGTGGGGGCCCTCAGCTCCCACATCTCCCCCAAACTCACCGGGCCCCACACAAACCTGTCCCCTTAGCTCTGTTTGGGGGCACGCCAGCCCCTTCGCTCCATCCCTGCCCTGCTTCCCAGCGTCAGCGCCAGAGTCCCTCTGGGTCCTCCCCCTCCCATGGCCGAGCCGTCGAGAGACACCGTGGGCCCGTACCTGCTGGCCCTGAGCTCCCTGAGCCTGCGTGCTCGTTGCTCTGAGCGCACACAAGGATTCGATGGCAGATAAACTACTGCCGCATGGGGAGTGTGCGCAGACCCCCAAGAGTGATGGGCCCGGCGGGTGTGTGGGGTCTGGTGGGCGTGTGGGAGGGCTGGGGCTGGAGTGGGGACACTGGCTTCACAAAGGTTGTGACACAGAGCTGGGCCCTGACAGGAGGGGGGCAGCTGACAAGGGGGCCCCGTGGGTGTGGGCAGCATCCCCACTGGGCAGGAAGGGTGTGAGCCGCGCAGAGGCCTGCCGGACGCCTGGCCACCAGCACTCCCCTCTGGGCCTGGCTTCCTGGTGCAGCTCCTGAGGCACAGCTTCCCCCATGCTTTGGGGCCAGGAAAATACTCACTGGGGACATGCAGGCCCATGGGTGTCCCTTGAGGTGGACCTGGTCAAGCTCTGACGAACCCCAACTCTCTCGGGAGGACAGATGGGGTTTGGGTTCCTCTGTTGCCTGGGTCGGCTCAGACCCTGACACAAGCAAGCCCCCAAAGTCTGGAGGTTCCTCCTTTCCGGGACGTATGGACCCTGGCATGTTGCCACAGGCCCAAGGGAAGGCTAGGGAAACACCTGCTTAGAGGCTGACAGGGCATTCCAGGGCCTTCTGCAAAGGGATCCGGTCCCCGTGAAGGGACTCTGGGCCTTTGCACCGATTCCCACATGGAGACTGCATGAGGCATGTGGCTTGCTGGGGGCCTCAGGGGCCCCAGGTCCCAGCTCCCAGCTCTCCTTGTCTCTAATTATGGACGCCGTCAACCCTGAGTGAGCCGCCATCCCCCCACCCCTACGAGCCCCATTGGTGTAGCCCCTAGAGTGGGCTGACTCCAGCCTGGCTGCCCACTCTGCCTGCCATTCCCTGCCCAGGAAGTGCATCTACCTGCCTCTGCCATCAGGATCCTGTTGCCCTGCTGTGGGAGGGACCCAGTCCGAGGTCCCACCTCCCCCTATCAGCCTCCACCTGCTGAGGACACCCACAACCAGGTCCCCAAGTAAGGTGTGGGCCCCTCAGAGAACATTGTTTTACATGTTTTCTTATTGGGGTAAAACACACATGACGTACAACTTACCAACTTAACCATCACAATTTTTTTTTTTGGAGACAGGATCTCATTCTGTTGCCCAGGCTGCAGTGCAGTGGCGCGATCTTGGCTCATTGCAACCTCACTTCTCAGGCTCAAGTGATCCTCCTGCCTCAGTCTCCTGAGTAGCTGGGACCACAGGCACGCACCACCACGCCCAGCTAATTTTTTGTGTTTTTGGTAGAGACGGGGTTTCACTGTGTTGCCCAGGCTGGTCTCCAACTCCTGAGCTTAAGTGAGCCACCTACCTCAGCCTTCCAAAGAGCTGGGATTACAGGCATGAGCCACCGTGCCTGGCCTACAATTTTTATTTTTTACTTTTTTAATTAGTGCAAATCCCATAGTATATTTATATATTTTTAATTAACAAATGAAAAATTGTACAATCTGATGCTTTGATATATGTTTACACTACAGAGTGATTAAGCTAATTAATGTGTCCCATCATTCACATCCCATTTTTTGTGATGAGTACATTTAAAATCTACTCTTAGAGATTTTCAAGGGTACATTATTATTGACTAGTCATCATGCTGTACAATAGATCTTCTGAACTTAATTCATCCTGCATAGCTGAAACTTTGTGCCCTTTGACCAATGTCTCCCCAATTCCTACCCACCCACAGCCTCTGGTAACCTGCATCCTACTCTCTGTTTCTGTGACTTGGACATTTTCAGATTCCACATGTAAGTTAGACCGGGCAATATTTGTCTTTCTGTGCCTGGCTTATTTCACTGTTATAATGTCCCCCAGGTTTATCTGTGTTGTTGCAGATGGCACATTTCCTTCTTTTTAAGGCTCCAGAGTATTCAGTAATTCACGATGTTTTCTTTATCCACCTAATCCATCGACGAGCGCTTAGGTGGGTTCCACATCCCGGCTATTGTGAGTGGTGCCGTGCTGAGCCTGGGAGTGCAGACGTCTCTTTGACACACTGATTTCATTTCCTTTGGATACATACTCAGCAATGAGATTGCTGGATCACACGGTAGTTCTAGTTTTGATTTGTTGTGGAACCTCCATACTCTTTTCCATAATGGCTGTATCTTAACCATTGTTAAGGGTACAGCTCAGGGGTATCAAGCACCTTCACACTGTTGAGCAAACATCTCCACCCATCTCCAGAATGCTTCCATCTTCCCAAACTGAAACTGTCAATAACTTCTGTCCTCTTCTCCCCCGCCCCTGCCACCCACCCTTCTACTATCCGTCTCTATAAATGTACCTACTCTAAGAACCTCCTATAAGTGGAATCAGACAGTATCTGTCCTTTGTGACGAGCTTATTTCACTTAGCATAGTGTCCTCAAGGGTCATCCGTGTCGTAGCCTGTGTTGGAATGTGGGGGGACGCCCCCACACCCCGAGTCCCGTGGAAGAATTATCATCCATCCCACTTGTTCAACTCAGGAGTGCCTCCTTAAGCAACTGTAGCCTATGAGCTGTGGGTAGGGCCGCTGAGCCGCTGCCTGGCAGGCACGGAAGAGCAGGTGCACGCTTCTCCATGGCCCTCCCTGTGCCAACAGAGGCCGCCCTGCCAGTCTGGGCCCAAGAGTGAAGCCTACAGGAGGAGAACCACAGGGGCCAGGGACTGACCACCCAGAGACTTGGGCATGGTTCTGTGTCTAGCCCCTCCAGATGGACTGAATGAGTTTTGCTTAATTGGCAAGACCTACCTTTTCAAAACCTTCCAGCATGACACTTGACACCTTCTCTCCGTCTCAGGCAATTTCTCCCCACTTCTGGGGGCCCTGGCTTTCACGGGGATGGACTAGGGTGCTTCCTCCCACAGAAACAGCTTCTTGGGCCACCCCCCTGCTGGGCATGAGTTCTCTCACAGGCTCGGTGACCCCTCGTATGAGCTGCTCGTCCTCTTCCCCTACCCCTGTCCATGAGGCACCTGGAGGCCGGGCAAGTGTAGAGGAAAAAGCCAAAGGGAAAGAAGAGACCTGCAGGTGGTGTTTCCCCATCTCTCACTCAGGGCCACTTGTCCCTGCCCTGGAGCCTCAGGAGGCTGAGCTCTGCGGCCTGCTTCCTTCTGGCTTGGCGCTGCTCTGGAAGATTCCACCATCTGCGCATAGGCAGGAGCCAAGAAGGTCCACAGTTTTGGGGGGGCCAGGGTGGGGGCAGTTTCTTTCCTGGCTCTTTTTTTTTTTTTTTTGAGATGGAGTTTCACTCTGTCACCTAGGCTGGAGTGCAGTGGCACAATCTCGGCTCACAGCAACCTCCGCCTCCGGGGCTCAAGTGATTCTCCTGACTCTGCCTCCCAACTAGCTTCGACTATAGGCGCGTGCCACCACGCTTGGCTAATTTTTTGTATTTTAGTAGAGATGGGGTTTTGCCATCTTGCCCAGGGTGGTCTCGAACTCCTGAGCTCCGGCGATCTGTCCGCCTCAGCCTCTCAAAGTGCTGGGATTACTGGCACGAGTCACCGCGCCTGGCCTCTTCCCTGGCTCTCTCTGCTGGGTCATCAAGGGCTGGCTGTGTCCCTTGGCCATAGGTCGCAGCTCCTGTTAAGTATCTCTCTCTCTTTGTCTGGCTTCCTGTAACCGCTCTGGCCGCGCTCCTTCAGCCCTGCAGGTGAAAACAGTTCCCTCCCTGCTGTTACCTGTCCCAATTCAGCACCGCCCTGTGGCTTCCCGGCTCCCGGACCGCGCCTCTGCCAGCGGGAACCCTGCTGGACTCTTAATTAATTGTCCCACTGAGAATGCCATTGGTTTCCTCCTGGGATCCAAACTAATCACACAAGACTAGATGATGGAGAGCTGCCAAGAAACCATGGGGCGGTGGCGGGGACGGAGGGGAAGCGTTTTGAGCCCATCAAGGCAGGTGACAGGAAAGAAGCAAACCCGAGAGGGGCCGAGTCCCTGGGCGGGCGGCAGGGCTGGAGCGTGAACAGCAGCGACGGATGCGTCTCGAGGGAAAAACGCGGCGGGAGAGAATGAGGGGAAGGCAGGAAGGAAGGGGCAGGGAGACCCAGCGCCGGGGAAGGAAGACACGAAGAGGGCGAGGAAGGAACTCCGGCCTAAAGGGTGAAGGCGGCGGCTGGGACAGGGCCAGAGGCGCAGGCCGGGGCCGGGCAGCTCCTCCTCTCGTGCCAGCGGTGCCTCCGGTCCCGCCCTCGCTGCTGCCCGCGCTCCGGGAGGGGCAGACCCGCTGGACGCCGCAGTCACCGCGCCGCCTTCGCGGGCGTCCCGGGGCCCGGAGGGAACGGCCTTTCCTGGCTGTCCCCGTGGCTTCGCCGCGGGAACTCACGCCGCCCCCGAAGCTGCCGCCAGCTCCGGGCATCTGCCCAGCCGAAAAGCCAGGGCGCCGGGGCCTGACTCCCCACAGCCAGGTTTCCCGGGCACAGAGACCCAACGGGAGCGGGACTTCCTCGGACACCGACGGCGAAGGACAGAGACAGCCCAGGCAGGGGCGGCTCCTCCCGGCCACACCGACCTGCCCTTCGCAGGGTGTCCCGGGCCAGCGGAGGCAGAGAAAACCAGCTTGCGGGAACGCAGTCGCTCCCAGCACCAGGGCCGGGCCAGTGCGGGTACACACCGTGCGCACCAGCGCCGCCGCGCCCCCAACGGAAGTCCCGCCCCCGGCCGTGGAGGCCCCGTCCCTCGCTTCTTCTCATCCCTGCTTCCCTGGCAGTCCCGTTACCACGCTGTCCCGACGCGAAGGCCCTCGCCCCGCCCCGTGCCCCGCCCCCGCATCGCCCCGCCCCAACCCCACCCCCTTGGCCCCGCCTCACCAGGTTCGCCCCGCCCCTCTCCGTCCCCGCCCCTCCTCCGGCCTCGGCCCCGCCCTCGCCTCGACCCCGGGGGGCGGTGGCTGCCGAGGCGACCGTTGCGCGCGCGGGCGGTGGCGCGGGCCGAAGCGCCCGGAGCGGGAGCGAGCGGCGCGGCCCGGTAGGTGTGCGGGGCCGGGGCCGGGGCGGGGGCAGGGCGCGCCGCCTCCGCTCTTTCTTTCGTCTCCGGGGCGCGCGCCCGCGCCCTCCGCCTCCCGGCCGATCCCGGCCAGCCCTGCGCGGCGCCCGTCCCCTCGGGGTCGCCGCCCGCCCGCCCTGCCTTTTGTTCGCCGGCCTGACTCAGGCTCCTGGTCCCGGGCCCGGCGCGGGGCGGGGCGGGGCGGGGGCGGGGGCGGGCGGCGCGGGGCGCGGGCCTGTGGGGCCTCCGGCCGGGCGGGTGCGCGGCCTCCTGGGGCCCCGCGCTGTGAGGCCCGCCCGGGCCCTTGGCGGGACCCGCGGGGGCGGCGCCGGGCAGGGGGTCCCGCGGGCGAGATGCGCCCGGGAGCGCTGGGAGGGTTCCCTCGTCGGACTCCACGAGCGGCCGCTTTGTTAGGGCAGAAGCTGCCTTCCGAGACCCGAACTCCAGACGCACTGCAGCGACCTGGGGTCGCCTCAGCCGCGGTGCCGCGATTGTGCAGTGTAGACAGAGGGGTCCCAGAGCCGTGCGGTGTAGACAGAGAGGGGCCCAAAGCTGTGGAATGGGGACAGAGAGGGGACCCAGAGCTGTGGAGTGTAGACAGAAAGGGCGCCCAGAGCCATGGAGTATAAACAGTGGAGTGTAGACAGAGAGGGGGCCCAGAGCTGTGGAGTGTGGACAGAGAGGGGGCCCAGAGCCGTGGAGTGTAGACCGAGAGGGGGCCCAGAGCCGTGGAGTGTAGACAGAGAGAGGGCCCAGAGCCATCTAGTGTAGACAGAGAGGGGACCCATAGCTGTGGAGTGTAGACAGAGTCTCATAGCCGTGCAGACAGAGAAGGGGCCCAGAGCCATGGAGTGTAGACAGTGGAGGGTGAACACAGAGGGGGCCCAGAGCCGTGGAGTGTGGACAGAGAGGACCACCTGGCCTCTCACCTGCTTGGTCACTTGCTGGGAATGTGTCCCTGGGCAGGTGACCACCTTCTCTGTGCCTGAGTTTCCTCATTGGACCTGTCTTTGGAGCTGCTGCAAGGGCTAAGAGTGTCTTTGTCTGAAGTCCTCAGCGTGGTCCATGCCGTCCTGTGCAGGGCCCTTCTGAGGCCACAGGGACGTGCAGGATGGCCGGCAAGGCCTGCACAGAAGGGGCGCTGGGGGGCCTTCCCAGGCAAGGCAGCAGCCCCACCATTCACAGCAAGGAGACTACCAAGGAGGGCAGAGAGGCGGCTTTGGGCAGCAAGGGCTGCTGGGGTGGAGTCCTGCTGGCCTTCCCCTAGAGAAGGCGACGTGGGGAGGGCAGAGCAATTCTGAGTAAGGGAGAACCAGTTTATATTTCACTTTAGAAAGTAATTGTCACAGTGCGAAGTTTCTTCCCCTGAAAAAGCGATATAAAAAGGTCCATCGTGGCCAGTGCTTTTGGGGACTTGAGATGATGGGTATCCGGTGCCCGGGCCCTGCGTGGTGCCTCAGCTGGATGCTCTGCAGGTGGGGGAGGCCATGTTGGCTGAGGGCAGGGGCTCAGGCAAGGGCAGTGGGGTGGCTGAGCCTGCACAAGTTGGTGCACCCCTGTCTGGGTCTTTTTCTTAAAACTGCAAGTCCAGCCTTATCTCTGAGACCTCCTGAGGCTGGAACCTGCCATCAGACAGGCTTACAGTTCTAGCCCTGGTAACTGCAATGATGCGGATGCCTCTGTGACTGGCAGAGCAGAGGGAGGAGCGACAGGGCAGTGGTGACCGGAGGTCTCAGGGAGGTTGACAAAGACAAGGGCGGAGGAAAGGCCCCTCACGTGGACTGGAGGTACAGTACTGACCTGTGGAGTGCTCAGGAGAGGGCAGGGGTGGCGCGGCCTGAGGGCATGTCCTGGGGAGGGTCAGGAGGTGGGAGGGAGGCACTCGACAGGCACTGCAAAGAGGAGGGAATCCAGGGTCAAGGGCTGGCTCCCTTTCTGCCCTGTTTAGGATGAGGGTCTCGGGGAAGAAGGGGTGGCCAGGCCGAGGAGACCTGTGGCGCTGGGAGCTGGGACTCAGTGAGGTCCTGGAGGTGGTGAGGGCCCAGAGGTGACAGCTGGTGACCCAGCCGGCCTGGCTGCTGCTGTGGGAAGGTCGGGGGTAGAGGAGATGGAGGACAGGCTGAGGCTGCCGCTAGTCAGCGCTTCCGGCTGATAGAAGGGGGCTGAGTGGGCTCTGCAGGCCTGGTTGACAGTATGTGGATCACATTGACTTTGGACCTTTATTTTTGTCTGAGACTGACCAAGCAAAATAATCAGGCTGGGCTGGGTGCAGTGACTTAACGCCTGTAATACCAGCACTTTGGGAGGCTGAGGCAGGTGGATCACCTGAGGTCAGGAGTTCGAGACCAGCCTGGCCAACATGGTGAAACCCCGTCTCTACTAAAAATACAAAATTATTCGGGTGTGGTGGCAGACGCCTGTAATCCCAGCTACTCGGGAGGCTGAGACACAAGATTCGCTTGAACCTGGGAGGCGGAGGTTGCGGTGAGCCAAGATTGCGCCATTGCACTCCAGCCTGGGTGACAAGAGCAAAACTCTGTCTCAAAAAAAAAAAAAAAAAAAAAGCTCCATCTCAAAAACAAAGACAAACCAACAACAACAACAACAAAAAGCAGGCTGAAGGAATAAACAACTCATTAGTTACGACTTAACACATGCAGGGCTTCAAGCACACAAAATCCTAAAGCCCAGACCATTTTACATTTTATTTGAATTTGGTGGAATTCCTAGAAACATTTCCCTTCCCAGTTGTATGAGTTTCCTATTGCTGTGTAACAAAGCACCACTCACTTAGTGGCTGAAAATGGCAAAAGTTTATTTGCCCTAGTTGGGCTGAAACTGGTGTCATCGTCAGCTGGCCAAGCTCCCTCCCGAGGCACTGGAGGAGAACTGTTGGCCCGCCCCAGTCAGCTTCTGGAGGCTGGAGGAGAGCCGTTCACCCCCCTGGTCAGCTTCTGGGGGCTGGAGGAAAACTGCCCCCCTGGTCAGCTTCTGGGGGCTGGCCTCATTCCTTGGCTCCCGGCTCCTGCCCTGCCTCCATTGTCACATCGCTGTCTTTCTCCTCCTCTTTATTTTCTCCTTTTAGAGACAGGGTCTCACTTTGTTGCCCAGGTGGAGTGCGGTGGCACAATCATAGCTCACTACAGCCTTGAACTCCTGGCTCAAGCCATCCTCCTGCCTCAGCCTCTTGAGTAGCTGGGACCCCAGGCATGTGCCACCATGCCCAGCTAATTTTTTCTGTTTTTTTTTTTTGGTAGAGATGGGGTCTCACTATGTTGCCCAGGCTGATCTTGAACTCTTAGCCTCAAGTGATCCTCCTGCCTTAGCTTCTCAAAGGGTTGGGATTGCAGGCACGAGCCACCGCGCCTAGCTTCTGTCTTCTTCTGCCATGTTCAAATTTCCAGGATAATCTCCTTGTCCTGGGAGCCTTAGTTTACTCACATCTGCAGATCCGTATTGCCGTATGGCTTTCACAGTCCCAGGGATTAGGGCCTGGATATCTTTGGGGATCGCTATTCAGCCTACAGCAGGCTCCTCACTTGTCTTCGAAATGACTTCACTTTTCCCATTGTGTGCGAGGAGCACCCGTCTCATGCCTCTTCTCTGGGATGGGCAGGGTTTGTCCAGGGAAGGTCCCTGTGGTTTCACTTCCCTGCCCTTGGGGAGAGGCGGGAGCCATCCTGGAAACAGGTGTCCTGGGAAGGAAGACAAGCCTTGCTCAGGATGCAAGCCCCAGTCATGAGAGGTTGTGGGAGGTCACTCATGCTGTGCCTTTTTAGGAGGTGGGGTCGTTACCAGTTCCAAACTGGATACTCCACACAGTGCTCATGCAGTTTTACCTGTGGTTTTGGGGGCCACCGTTGCAGAAGTTGCCTAGATTCTTCCATGAAGGAGCCTCTTGCCTCGGGCTCCGGGCAAGGAACTCTTGTGTTAGAAGTTCCCTTCTTCTGTGTCTTTTAAGGTCTGGACTTCAGTGAAAGAGAAAAGAAACATCTAGTTTGTTCTTTCTGTTTTTCTTTTCTTTCTGCTTTTCCATGCACTTGCTGTCCCCAACTCTGTAATCATGGTGATACCCGATACGCATACACACTCTACTCACATATCTTTTCCTACATCTTTGTGTCCCTTAGCAGTGATCTTAGTTGTCCTTCCAGCATGCCTGAAAAAGGGCTGAGTCTGTGGATTGAAGCGTCCAGTTGTAGGCATTCTCCTGCCCTGCCTGGCCGCAGCCCCCAGAGGCGGGATCCTAAGTGGTCTGTTTTCTCAGGCATTTACTGCTGTTGAAGCTGCTCCTTTAAAGCTTAAGACATTCTTTTTTTATTTCTCCCAAAGGCCGTGGGGAGGTTTAGCTCTCCTCTGTCCCACCAGCCTCCCTGTCCCTCTATGTGCCATCATAATCACTGCATTTTTGGTGAAATCGACAGTCCTTGCTCTTGTGTGACTGTAAGCATTGCTCATTACTGCGCCAAGGAGTGCCCTGAGCACAGGTCCTCTCGCACAGCCCTGTGGATTAGCATCTTCTAGTCACCCACCTATCAAAATGGTTTGTTTTTCATTGCATCCAGGACACTAGCCCCATCCCCACCCCTTTGGGATTGGAGCCTTCTCCCTGCTCTCGTTTGCCCTGGTCTCCAGGAGACCTGCTGCGCCGCTGTCACCTGCATTTCCCGCTGCTGTCCTCCATCTGTGGGGCTCCCTGTGCACTGGGTCCTGCTCTTCTCTCTCTGCTTGGCTCACTCCTCGTTTTGCTGAAGTCCTACTCTTTTGATACCTAAGAAACATCACATAGGTATTTTTTTTGGTCCTTGATTTAGAAAACATCTTTATTTTACTCTCCAATTACCTTTTAACTTAGCTGGGTATAAAATTTTAGACAATGATTTTTTCGGAATTTTGAAAATGTTGCTTCATTGCATTTGGTTTCTGTGCTGTTGAGGTCTGACGCCATTCTGATTTCAGTTCTTCTGTGTGTGATCTCTCCTGCCTCAAGCTCATAGAAGCGGCTCTTTTCCCTCAGTGTTCTGAGAAGCCCGATAATGGCATCTGCTTCCGTTTATTGTGCTGGGCACTCCGTGGGCCCTTTCAGTCTGAGGATAGAAGTTTTTAAATTTCAAAGATAATTTTCTTTCAGTTTTGCTGTTTTCTCTTTCTGGAACTTTTATTTGGAGGTTGGACCTCCTAGGTTGATCCTCTAATTCTCTTTTTTCTCATCTTGTTGATCTCTTTGATGTTTGTTCAATTTTTTTTTTAAGAGACGGAGTCTCACTCTTTTGCCCAGGCTGGAGTGCAGTGGTGCAGTCATAGCTCGCTGCAGCCCCAAACTCCTGGGCTCAAGCGATCCCCCTGCCTCAACCTCCTGAGTAGCTGGGAACACAAGCATGCACCCCCACAACTGGCAATTTTTACTTTTCATTTTATTTTTTCATAGTCTCGTCATGTTGCCCCTTTGCTGTTTCTAAGAAGTCAGTCACTCTGGTAGCTGCGTTGCTCCTTTATGTTATATGATGAGGTGCTTTCAAGCTCCTCCTGGGATTTTTGGCTTCCAGCAGTTTGATTGTGATGTTCTTAGGAGGGTTTGCTTTGTATTTGTCCTGCTCAGGGTTTGTTGAACTTCTTGGATATGTAATTTTTCACCATCTTCAAACTGCTATTAAGTTTCGTGCATTTTAAAATTTCAGTTACAGTAGTTTTTATTTCTAGAATTTTCACTTATTTTTTATGGTTGCCATTTCTCTGCTCTGTCATTTGTTTATTGTGATCATACTGTCATTAAATCTTTGAACACATACTAGCGGCTTTAATGTTCTTTTCTGCTAATTTCAACACCTGCATTACCTCAGGATCAATTTCTATTGGCTTCTTCCAACTATGGGCCACATCTTCCTGTTTCTTTGAACATCTAGTGTTATTTGATGGTGTACTGGACATTGTAGATGGTAACTGTAGTGACTTCTTTTTTCTGAAGAGTGTTGATTTTTGTTCTGGAAGTTAATTTGTCTGGACTCAAATGAAAATCTCTGCTGCAGTCTCTGCTTGGTGCTGTTGACCTTCCGGCTGCCTCCTTCTGCTGGACTCTGGGGTCTCTCTGTGCATGGATGGCTCACCACTGGCCAGGACCTAGGCAGAATTTACTAACAGATCTCACGACTGCCTCTTCCCCAGTGACCTCCTTTCTGAGATATGCCCCTCACTGTTCAGCCACCCAGCCCTCCCCAAGCCCTATCTTGGACTCTTCAAGCTGGGAGGATCACAACTTCTACCTGTGCTCTAGCCATTTTTAGAAACACTTGTTTTAGTTGGTGCAGCTCTCTCCTTTCAGGGGACAACTCCCCTCCACTTTCTGCCTGCTTTTCATAGCTCTCCAGGACCTCCCAGAGTTGGTTTTTGTGTCTTGTGTCTGGTTGGAACTTGATTTAGCAGCGTGGGAGGATGTGGGAACTGTCAATTTACGGACAGAGCTGCCGGCACTTTGATTAGTAGCCAGGCATTGGTCTTTGGCAGTTTGCTTGTTTTTCTCATAGAGCGTTCAAGTGATCAGGGAGCTAGCACTCCAGTTAAAAGAAAGTTCTTCCCCTACCAACACCTGACTTCTGGATCTTAAGTGTTAGCCTAGAATAGATGCATTTCCTGGATGGGTCAACTAACCTGATGAGCCTGGTGGCAGAGAGACTGTGCGTCCTTTATTGCCTTCCTCTGATGCGAGCACCATAAGGATAGGGCCTATGGGCTCTTCTTTGACTTTCCAGAGGCCCATGACCCCTGGACCCCTGGACCCCACGCAGGTGTGCTAGGCTGGGTCTCCTCCAGGCTCACTGAGGGTGGGAGGAAAGGCTCAGCCTGGCCTGTGGCTGCTGTTCCGCGGTCTTCACCTCACCCCCACAGTCTTTTCTAACTCTGTGCTGCAGTTTGTCTATAAAATAAGGTTGTTGTGAGGTTTAAATAGCATGATGTGTGGAAAACGGTTAGGAGCAGTGGCTGATACCTGGGAGTCCTGGTCACCATTAGCGATGGTGCTGGTGGCATCGCTGCAGGCTTGCACTCTGCTGGGAACAGGTGCTCGCCTCGGAGGCGCCCAGGCCTTCACTGAGTGCATCTGGGTCTGGCCCCCACTGTGTGCCAGGCTGCTGGAGACAGCAGTGCCGCGGGCTCTGCTGAGCTGGAGTGCAGTGAAGGTGCTTTAGGCAGGGTGAGGGGCTGGCTTGCCCCGCCTGCCAGAGCGCCCTGCACTCCAGGGGCCTGGAGTCCAGCCTGGGAGTTAGTAGACAATCGTGTGGAAGAGGGACAGCTCTGTGGATTCCAGCCTTTAGCAGCCAGATTCCTCCCTGCGAGGCTGGGGACGTTGGCCCTGGGAGGAGGAGGACTGCCTGGGCCCGCCCCTCCTAGGAGTTCCTGTGCCTGCTGGCACAAATTATCACCAGCGAGGGGCTAGCCCAGTAGCAGCCCCCGGTCCCGTCACAGTTCTGGAGACTGGAAGCCTGAAGTCAAGGTGTGGCAGAGCTGTGACCCCTCCGAAGGCTTTAGGGGGAGACCCTTCCTGCCTCTCCCAGCTTCCAGGGCTCCCGGCATTGCTAGGCTTGTGTTTGCATTGCTCCAGTCCCTGCCTCTGTCCCCATGTGGCATTCTCTCACGTGGCTT
Organism: Homo sapiens; assembly: GCF_000001405.40. Lineage (NCBI taxonomy): Eukaryota > Metazoa > Chordata > Mammalia > Primates > Hominidae > Homo > Homo sapiens. The sequence continues at coordinate 3,300,753 of NC_000004.12, forward strand.
TCTCTGGGTCTGTGTGTCCCTTTTGCCTCCCTCTTTTACGGACACCTGTGATTGCATTTAGGACCCACCTGGGAAATTCAGGATCATTGCCTCATCTCAGAATCCTTAACATAATCCTTTTCCAAATAGGGTCACAATCACAGCTTCTGGGGATTGGGCCCTGGTATCTTTGGGGCTGCCGTTTGCCCCACTGCACCTGCCTAGACCTGGGGGTGGTGAGGAGCCACGTGAGGAGGTCACAAGGGCACAGCGCTTCAGGCCCCAGGAGCCTCCCCGGCTGCCCTCCTCTGTAACACGGGGTCTGTCCCCGGCTGCCCTCCTCTGTAACACGGGGTCTGTCCTGGCTGCCCTCCTCTGTAACACGGGGTCTGTCCCGGCTGCCCTCCTCTGTAACACGGGGTCTGTCCCCGGCTGCCCTCCTCTGTAACACGGGGTCTGTCCCGGCTGCCCTCCTCTGTTACATGGGGTCTGTCCCGGCTGCCCTGTGGGCAGGACAGGTGCACAGCTTGTCCTTAACACGCTTGGTGCTGAAGAGGCTCACAGTACTGTGAACATTGGCAATGATTTTGTCTTTCTGAGAGTGGATAAGATACTAAAAGCAAAAGGACCCCTTCAGGCCTAGTGAACACAAAACAGTGGTGGAACCCTCTGTGTCTTTTTCCCTTGAATCCTGTAGGTGGGTTACCAGGTGTCGGTGAATAGGAGAATCACATGTAGGAGGCTGATTGGAAATAAGACCCATTTGTTGATGAGAAAAATTGGTTTCAGTCTTTCTGGGGTGTTTTGGGCTAAGGAGAGGCCCGCCAGGGCCAGGGATGGAGAGTGAGGCCGGGGTCCGAGGGCCGGGGATGGAGAGTGAGGCCGGGGTCCGAGGGCCGGGGATGGACAGTGAGGCCGGGGTCCGAGGGCTGGGGATGGAGAGTGAGGCCGGGGTCTGGGCTGTGCTTGTCCTTTCCTGTCCTTTACCTGCCACTGTGGGTTTTGTCCAAGGAAGCAGGTATGAGGGAATGAAGGGGTGGGGGGCGCAGAGGTGACATGTCCAGGTGGGGTGATGGGGGACCTCCGAGGTGCCAGCAAGGAGGAGGAGAAGAACATGGACGTTGGAATGAGCCAGGTTTAAACACAGCCTCTCTCCAGGGCTAGACTTGCCAGGTACAGTGTTGCCGCACAGCATTTGGGGCGCACTCATACTAGGAAGTTGTCATGTATCTGAGATTCACATTTAACTGGGTATCCTGTATTTTTTTTTTTTTCTAAATCTGGCAACTCCATTTATAGTCTCACTCTGCACAGATTTAAAAACCACAAACAGAAGTAAATATCAAGTAGAGATAAAAAGGGAAAGTCAAATACAAATGGAAAGGAAGAATTGAGGAGGTTTGACCTTCAGTGTTCCAAAGATACTGAAATAGTGTTTGTTTCTGGAATCAGGAAGTTTCATCAGCTGTGGCGCACGGGGGTATCCTGGAGGGCTGTGGCCTCCGTGTGTCCTGTTCACTTTTCCTGAAGCCAGGTCATCACCAGGCCGGTGCCCAGAGTGAGCTCACAGGGCAGGCCCTGCTGGACTGACCGCAGGGTCAGGTTGGCGCCTGTGACGTGGCTTTGGGCCCTGGCCGTTGTGGTCTGGGGTGGGTGGGGTTGGGGGCTTGGCTCCCGCTCTTGTCTGAGTGTCTTTGTGGTGTGGTGCTTCTGCAGGATTGGAGTTTCTGGAGTTCACGTTGTGTGGCCTTCAAAACCACAGAGACACGGGCAGGTGGGGCCTGCTGTGCTCAGCCCCTCCCAGCCTCTTGTGACTGGTGGGCTCCGCTCCCCCTGCTTACAGAAGTGGTTCCTCCTGCCCCTTGCACGGGGGCCTGTGTGTGTGCCCACAGCACCACATCAGAAAGCCCCGGAAGGCTGTGGGGTGACGTCTCTGTGCATGAGAAGGGAGGCGCCCCAGGAGTGAACAGGCACAGCCGGAGTGTGGGGCCCCTGCTCTGTGGCTAGGTTCTCAGAGCCTAGAGGCTGGGGGTGTTGGAGGAGTCATTGGGGGCCTCAGGTAGGAGGTGAGCTATGAGCTGAGCCACAGAGTCGTGGGGGGAGGAGAGAGGGCCCGTTTCAAGAGAGAGTGATTTTTGCAAATGGTGTCCTCCTGCATGGCCTGGCCCTGCTGTGCACTGTGGCATTGGGCTGTCTTAACTGTCTGTGACCCCGGGGCAGCTGGCCCTGGGAGTTCAGGACCGTCACTGGTTGCCTGTTCGTAGTTGCCCACCTGGAGCTGCTGCAGAAGCCACGAGACAGTTCTTGAATGAATAAACGAATGAATGAGTGAGCAGGAAAATCATGGGGCCACGAGGAAGTGGGTCTGACCGAGGGGGATGTTGAGGTTTGGGGAGGGACCCAGTGAGAGAGCCTCAAGAGGCTGGACCCAGTGGGACAGGTGCTTGGGCAGGGATTAGGAAGTGGGGAAGGACAAAGCGCTGGCAGCTGTGGGCAGGAGGAGGGTGAGGGCAGGGTGGGCCGGCAAGTGGGGTACAGCGGGGAGTCCAGCAGGAGGTGTGGCCACCATGCAAGGTGAGCCTCGGTACGGCGACCTAGGCAGGGAGGATGTGGGAGGGCCTCCGACTGGATGGGGACACAGGTGACAGCCACAGGGCACCTGCTGGCTCCCCCAGTCTCACCTCTGTGGCCCTTGCTGGAGGACACTGGAACCAGCAGTGCTGTATTTCAGCATCTGTGCAGATACTCTGTCCCTGGAGGCTCTTTTGCTTCATGGACTCTGGGTCCTTGGAGGATCCTGCAGAGTTTCCCCTCCTTGGGAGAAGCCCCCTCCTCTTCCTCAGCAACTTGAGCTTGCCCTGGTAGTGGGGGGAACAAGAGGAAGGAGGAACTAAGCCAGCTTGTCTCCCTGGGTGCCTGGCTTCCCCCCGCCCCACAGACCTGCCCCTGATGTGTTCTCTAGAAGTAAAACGGAGCTACAGAAGCTAAAGCCAGTGTTCACACTTTATGTGATTAGTATTAGTGTGATGTTAGCACAACTATTTCTTCAACTTTATATGACTTTCTGAATGCTACTTCCTTTTACTGTTGCTGGACTGTAATAGTATATACCTTTTTCTCAAGTGTTCAAAGAAACGAAGCATTCTGAAAGTTGCCAGTCTTTAATTTCTTCTTTACCTCTTATTTCTTTCCCCTAATCATTCATGTTTGCCATACTTCTGAATTCTAAAAGCTGCATTAGTTTTTGAGTGAATTCTCTTGTAAGCACTGAGTCGCTGTGCTGCTGCCTAGCAATGTGTGGGATCTTTCTGAGACTGACAATGGAAGAGGAAGAAAGCGCATTTGCTCCATGAGGCCGGAATTGAGGCATTTAATGTGTGTGTCCCTGATGCTCAGCCTCTTGGTTTCTTTGGATTTGAAATGTTAAAACCTCAAGAAGTGACATTTATTAAAAACCCACGAAAAACTATGCATGATGACAAAATGCTGACCTGGGACATTTTATGTATTGTACTTTTCAGTTCAGCCTAATGTATTATTCAAAAACTATGCATATTTATTCAAAAACTACTCATAATGTTGGTGGCTGCTGACCTGCTGCCTAAACGTAGGTTATTAGTATTCAGATTCAGGAGACTAAAGCTACCCAGGAACTGAGACACTCTTGAGAACCAGGTAGTTTTTGTTAGTGGAAACGTGAGCTTTGAGGGAGGCCGCTTTCTCCCGGGAGTGTGCTGGTGGAGAGGGAGGCAGCTGGGGCTGCACTGTAGAGCCCGGACTGCAGTCAGCCAGCCTGGCTTTGAATCCTAACTGCCTCCAGTCGTGGTGCTGGAGCCTCGGTTTCCTCATTTGTAAAACGGGATAATTAGACTTCGCTTGTGAGATTATGATCAGTTCGGCTTCTTTTTAGCCGCTTTTCCCCATTCTGTAGAGTTTGTCTCTGGTGTATCTGGTGTGATTTCCTTAATCACCTCCTCACAGAGTAGATTTCAGGGACCATTTTTGAAACTACCTGCTTTACATTGCCACCTAGATATAAGTACAGCACCATTTTGTGCTTATAGCAGGAATGGCAGCAAGTCAAACGACCCTGGAGCTATTTTGCATCACGTGGCACGTTGGTTCGCTGCCGCTGTGCAGCACACTGCGTCTGTAGCTGCAAGGCTTCTGGGATCAGGAGTCCTGCCTGGTGAGGCTCACGCAGGGCTGTGATCAAGGCGTTGGCCAGGGCTGTGCGATGAGGATTCGTTTCCATGCACACTCATGAGGCTGCTGGCAGCCTCAGAAGATCCATTTCCAGGGTCGCTAATATCGCTGTTAGAAGACCTCACATCCCTGCTGGCTGTTGGCCAGAGACATCCATTCCTTGTCACGTGGGCGGCTTCCTTGGGCAGCTCACAGCCAGGCAGTGACTTCCCTGAGAGGGAGTGAGGGAGAGCATGAGCGAGACGAAAGCCATGGTCTTTTGAAAACCTCATCTTGGAAGTGACATCCTATCTCTTTTGCACATTCTGTTTGTTAGAAGCGAGTCGCTAGGTCCAGCCTACACCCCAGTGGAGGGACTGCAGGGGCAGGATGACCAGGAGGTGGTGTCATGGGGGCCATCTCAGAGACCACCTGTCACTGTGCACCTGCTGGTCCCAGAGATTCATGTCCCTCCCATGTACAAAATACACTCCCCGCAAGGTCCTTCCATGACAGCATCTGCTCAGAGTCCCGCGTCATCCTCTAAACTGGCTCTAGGTGGGCTGAGATGCAGCTCCTGGGGTGCACGGTACCCCGGTCTATTGACCTGAACTAGAGAGACACGCCGTCAGCTCATCCAACCACAGCCACGGTGCCATCATGGCAAGCACCACAGGCCAGACCTTCCTGTTCAAAATGAGGGAAAATGGAGGCAGGAAGGAGCCTCAGATGTGCCTCACTTCCGAGACCCAGCCTGGCAGATGGTGGCAGTTCAGAGGCAGGAAGGAGCCTCAGGTGGGCCTCACTTCCGAGACCCAGCCTGGCAGATGGTGGCAGTTCCTTGTTCAAGTGTCATGATTTGGGACTGATAACTGTCCCTCTGCCCTTGGAGGCTTTGATTCCTCTCTCTGACTCATGCTTTCCTTTGTTTGAAACACAGCAGCTGCTTGCAGTTGAGTTGTTTTCTCAGCCTGCTTCCTGCTGATAGGATTTCCGGGTCCAGCACCCACTTTTTATTTTGTACTGCCTCTGACCCTTGTAGTTCAAGCTGGCAGTGATAGTTCTAACTTTATGGGCCTCCTGGGAGTCTCACTGGTGTCCATTCCATCAGGCACGAGCCATACCTGGCATCCCTCTGAGATGAGCCCTGCTCTGCCTTGGGGTCCTGAAGGGTGAGGACTAATGCCCATAAGCTTCTCAGGGCCTGGCTATTCCATGAGAGGCTGTGAGGCCCACCCTTCGTCTCTTTACAGAGGCTCCAGCCATCTTGTTGGTGCTCAGCACACAGCACCATTGTCTTGATGTCACATGCACAGCAGGCTTGCCTTGGACAGAAGCGGAAGGAGGAGCTGGCTGGCTGGAGCATTGGGGGCCGCCTGGCAGTGGGCTGCTCAGAGGAGAGTCAGTGGCAGGAGGTGCGATGACGATGACATGAGTTTAGAGGAGGGTGTGGAGACGAGGAGACGGATGCAGGTATCACTCCACCATGGGGAGTGTGAGTGTGGGGGCAAAGGCTGATTTGGGAAGTCCCGCTCGATAAGCGGCACAGCCTTTCCACCCCTGTTTCATCTAAATTTCTTTAGCATAACTGGAGTTGAATATTTGGGCTCCTGTCCTGCCTTGCTTGTAGACATGTGGCACCCTCTGCTCCTCAGTCAGGCACTGGCCTTGATGACATTTCCTTCCTTAAACACAAATAGCTGTTGGTCTGCTCCGGCACCGAAGCCTCAGGATCACTGCACAGGGCCTGGGGAGGCAGTAACTGGTGCAGGGGACCGAGCAGGGAGCAGAGAGTGGTCCCGGGTGTCTGAGCCCACCCTCTGTGGCACTCTGCTTCTGTTTGGGTAGGGAATGTCCTGGGGGACGCTGGTGGGTGGGAACAACACAGCTCTTGCCTTGTGAACCCGGCAAGTAGCAACAGCCCTCACTGGAGGAGCTGGGTTGGGCTGGGTAGAGGGGTGATGGGGTGATGGGGTTTGGGGTCAGGGAGTGACGGTGGATTCCAGGTGCTTTTTTGGAGGCTTCTTCCTAGCTCCTCATTTTAGGCAACTAAGCAATGTGCCAGGGTGGGTTTTCGTCAGTTTCCGATGTTTGGTTTCCTTCTCATCACATCACTCTCTTTTCTGAGTTGGTGCTGACCAAGTTTGTTGTTGATGGATGTGGGGTTTGGAGTGAGCCCATCGTTCACACCTCTTAACTGCCTCCCCCCACAAGCTTAGGAGCTTTATGGGATGTGTTGCCGCTGGCTGCTTTTCTGGTCCTAGGATACGGCCTTTGCCGACGTGTTGCCGCCGGCTGCTTTTCCGGTCCTGGGATACGGCCTTTGCCGACGCACCTTGCTCTTAGGCAGACTGTCTTGGACATGAGCCCGCGCACCGCTGGGGACAGGCCACGCTGCGGCAGCGTGTGCACACGGCATGAGGTCCGTCTCCACCAAGCCAGCCTGGGGTGGGATGCTGTGGGTCTGAAGAGAGGAGGCCAGGTAGATTTTCGTAAAACTAGGAGTTATTTATTTTATTCATGATTATGATGGCCTTTATGTAAAACTTCATCAACCCTCTTACTTTTACTTTTTTAGTACAAAAAAGTTCTTTTTAGAAAATGTAGAAAACATGCACAGAAATAATTGCATTCAGACACTTGAGAAAGTCAAGAATGTTTCAGTCAAATAGGTTCTTGGCACCCTTCCCTCCTCCCCTCACTCGGCAGGCGTGGATCGCGCACCTGCCCTGGGCCGTGGGTGTGCCAGCCTCGAGGCCTCGTGGCCCCTGCTCGTGCCTAGAACTGTGCCTGGCATGGAGAGAGCGCTCCCCACTGTGAAGTGTGTGGACAGATGGCAGCCTGTTTCCTTGTGTTAGCAGAACTCCTTTAAGTGCCCTGGTGTTTGGGCGGGAGACGCGAAATTCTACACTCAGAAGGTCCTGCCTGACAAACAGTCCTTTTAAAAAGGGTCCTTCCTTCTTTCTTCCCAAAGTTCCAAAAAGTCTCTTAGAAAGAGCAGGGCATATTTTCCTTACCTGGTGTATTTGGGTTCCAGCCAGACTCACCAGGATGACTGGGGGCGCCTGGGCAGAGGAAGCGTGCAGGGGCTTAGGAAGCATGGCTGGTGTTTGTGCGATTCTTGGAGTGGTGCCTTGGTGAGCTGCCCCAGGACCATGCGGTCAGGTGTGCGGGCAGCTCTGGGCCCAGGGGCCGTGTGCACAGTGCCCGTCCATCTGGTGCTGCTAGGGCCCTGGCCCTGAGCTGGTTGGGGAATTGCAGGTCTGCGTCTGCTGTGTTCCTCCCAACGCCTGCAGCACCCCAATTTTTGGCCAGACAGGGCCGGTGCACTTCAGGAGGTGAACAGAAAGAAACACATGTGACGATCTCAACAGCCGGCGTTAGTAAGAGGCTGTGTCCTCGACGCGAGGGATTCTGTTCACTGTCACAGGACTCAGGGCAGGTTTAGATGTGAAGCGTGTTGGCTCGGCGCTCCTCTTGCTGCAGGCGGGCCGTGGCACTGAAATGGCGAGGCACCCTCCCCGTTTGCAGATTGTAAGTCTTGGAGCGGGGCTAGCGATTCGTACTTATTTCCGCGGGCGGCTGGGGTGCGAGGTGTATGGGGAGAACAGCTGGTCTGTGGTGCTGCGTGCTCTGGGTGGCCTGTGCAGCCCTGTGATGGTCTCCCCAGGCCACCACCTGGCTGCCTAAGGCCCACGCACCTGCAGGCTCTGTGTTCTTAGGTGTCTGGTGGCAGATTCTCATGCCTTTGTGTGAGACTTGTCTTTTTCTTCTGAAAGTTTTGTGGGACTTTTTTCATCTCCCTGCTCAGGGCTTGGTGGGCCCTTTGCATTCGAAGATTCTTGTCTGCCTTTAGCTCTGGGAAGCGGCTGGCGCCGTTCAGGGCTGGGAGCCGCTCTGTCAGGATTGTGCTGTCATCTGTTGCATCCCGGGTTACCTGTGCCCTCCCAGGCCCTTTGTTGAAGGCTGAGAGGTCTTCCTGGAAGGGACTGTTTTCCTTATGTTGCAGCCTGAGCCTGCGTGGAGTCCCAGACGCGGTCGGCACTCGCAGCACTGCTGAATGGCAGGTGTCCGCTGAGGGGAACCGGGCAGGGGAGGAGCTGGGACCTGGGAATGGCAGGTGTCCTCTGAGGAGAGCTGAGCAGGAGAGGAGCTGGGACTCGGGAATGGCAGGTGTCTGCTGAGGGGAACCGTGTTGAGGAGGAGCTGGGACTCGGGAATGGCAGGTGTCTGCTGAGGGGAACCGTGTTGAGGAGGAGCTGGGACTCGGGAATGGCAGGTGTCTGCTGAGGGGAACCGTGTTGAGGAGGAGCTGGGACTCGGGAATGGCAGGTGTCTGCTGAGGGGAACCGTGTTGAGGAGGAGCTGGGACTCGGGAATGGCAGGTGTCTGCTGAGGAGAACCGGGTGGGAGAGGAGCTGGGATCCGGGAATGGCAGGTGTCCGCTGAGGGGAACCGTGCAGGGGAGGAGCTGGGACCCTGGAATGGCAGGTGTCCGCTGAGGGGAACCGTGCAGGGGAGGAGCTGGGACCCAGGAATGGCAGGTGTCCGCTGAGGGGAACCGTGTGGGGGAGGAGCTGGGACCCGGGAAATGGCAGGTGTCCTCTGAGGAGAGCTGAGCAGGAGAGGAGCTGGGGCCTGGGAATGGCAGGTGTCTGCTGAGGGGAACTGTGTTGAGGAGGAGCTGGGACCTGGGAATGGCAGGTGTCCGCTGAGGGGAACCGTGTGGGGGAGGAGCTGGGACCCTGGAATGGCAGGTGTCCGCTGAGGGGAACCGTGCAGGGGAGGAGCTGGGACCTGGGAATGGCAGGTGTCCTCTGAGGAGAGCTGAGCAGGAGAGGAGCTGGGACTCGGGAATGGCAGGTGTCTGCTGAGGGGAACCGTGTTGAGGAGGAGCTGGGACTTGGGAATGGCAGGTGTCTGCTGAGAACTGGGTGGGAGAGGAGCTGGGATCCGGGAATGGCAGGTGTCCGCTGAGGGGAACCGTGCAGGGGAGGAGCTGGGACCCTGGAATGGCAGGTGTCCGCTGAGGGGAACCGTGCAGGGGAGGAGCTGGGACCCGGGAATGGCAGGTGTCCGCTGAGGGGAACCGTGTGGGGGAGGAGCTGGGACCCGGGAAATGGCAGGTGTCCTCTGAGGGGAACCGTGTGGGGGAGGAGCTGGGACCCGGGAAATGGCAGGTGTCCTCTGAGGAGAGCTGAGCAGGAGAGGAGCTGGGGCCTGGGAATGGCAGGTGTCTGCTGAGGGGAACTGTGTTGAGGAGGAGCTGGGACCCGGGAATGGCAGGTGTCCGCTGAGGGGAACCGTGTGGGGGAGGAGCTGGGACCCGGGAAATGGCAGGTGTCCTCTGAGGGGAACCGTGTCGGGGAGGAGCTGGGACCCGGGAAATGGCAGGTGTCCTCTGAGGGGAACCGGGCGGGAGAGGAGCTGGGGCCTGGAAGGCCAAGGCAAGGGCTGTCTCCAGTCCACGCTGCACCCCAAGAAGGGAAGTGTGGAGAGGTATTGACTGGTGGCTCAGTAAAATGGCCTGGAAGTGGCCTTGGTGATTCCAGAATCTGCCAGCTCACTCCCTTTGGCACCGTGTCCTGCTGTGTCCAGGGCGGGCAGGTCCATGCTGCTCTGGGTCCAGGGAAGGTCTGGGAAGAGTGGCCAGGGACTTGGAGGGCCTCTCAGGTGAATGATGGGAGGTGGCTGGATGCAGGGATGGCCAGTGCGGGTCTGCATGGGGCGGGTATCAGATCGTCTGGTGTGTGTGTCCCTGATGAGGTGGGAGGGGGGTGCCAGGTGGGTGTTCGGCAGCTGTGGGCACTGTGAGGTGGTGGTGGGGGGAGGCTGCTGGGACATGATGACTATGGGAGGGTGTGAGGTGGGCAGGCGCCTGCGGGGGCAGGTCCCAGGTGGAGAAGGTGGCGTGGTGTCTTGCTGTCTCAGGCCCTTCCTCTGTGCATCCACGTAAGTGTGGGTAAGCCAAGAATAGCCTGGGTTCAAATCCACCTTTGCCGTTAATTGGCTGTGTGCTGGTAGACAAGTTACTTAGCTTCTCTGTGCCCCCACTCCCTCATCTGCACGCGAGAATTGTAACAGAGCCTTCCTCAGAGCGATGATGGTGTTTAGGATGACATGCGCTGCACAGCAAGTCCTGGCCGTGGCGGCTGCCATTGCAGCCCGTGGGGTCACCCTGGAGGCCGTGATTGCTGATGTTGTGCTGTTCTTGTGCCTTGCTCTCTTCTTCTCGGTGCCCCCAGACTCTCTCTGCCTTCGGAGGACGGCGTCTCTCTCGCCTCACACTGTGTGCACGGGCAGTGCGGACGGGTGCTGGCTTGGTCTTTCCAGCCCTGCCTCGCTCGGGGCCTGCTGCATCGTAGCTCAGGCCTAGGACCCATCTCTGTACCTGCAGGTCTTGGGTGCTGCCCGGCATGAGTGGAGGAGTTTATCAGAACAGGACCTTTTATAGGAGGTTTTAACTTTAGAAGGGAATAGAAAAGTGTCATGGCAGCAATATTTATTTCTAGATCACCCTGAGTTTTTTTTCTTTGTTTTGTTTTATTGTCCTCTTTACACCATGAGTTTTTAATGATGAATGAGTGAAGGAGTGACAGTGCGGGTTGAGCATCCCTTATCCAGATGCTCCAGAATCGGAAACCCTCTGACACCGATGTGGCACCTCAGGCATAGCTGAGCTAGTGACACCTTTGCTTTCTCATGGGTCAGTGTACACAAACCTTGTTTCATGCACAAAATTATCAAAAGTACCGCACAAAATTACCCTCAGGCTGTGTGTATAAGGTGTATATGAAACATAAATGAATTTCCTGTTCAGACCTGGGTCCTATCCAAACATATCTCATTACGTATATACAGATGTTCCGAATCAGAAAAAATCCACAGCCCTTCTGGTCCCAAAAATCTCTTCTAAGGGACACTCAGCCTGTGTGACGTGGTCGGTGACTCCTGATGGGAGGTGGCAGTGCTGTGCGGCGAGTGGGGACCTTCGTGTCACATCCCATCTGTGCCTCAGGGCTTGGATGAATTACTTCTGGCTGGACCTTGTTCCCTTTTCCACACAGTGAAGAGGCTGGGTTAAATGATCTCCAGTCAAGGTGATTCAGAGTTAGCTGGAAGGTGTGTAGGGGGAAGTTGGAGCTTCCTGGCCTTGCCCCAGACTTACTAAGTCAGAGTCCCTGGGAGGTGCAGGGGCTTGGGAGCAGGCGTTCTTACTGGTAGCCCCGATGGTGTAATGGAAGTTCAGCTGGAATCCAGTACCCCATGGTCTTCTAAATTTCACTGTCTGTTCTGCTAGCTTTACTATTAATTGATACAGTTTTAAAAAAAATTAAACTATAAGCTGAACTTATGTGATTATTTTGGGAGGCCAAGGTGGGAGGATTGCTTGAGGTCAGAAGTTTGAGACTAGTCTGGGCAACATAGTGAGACCTCGTCTACAGAAAAATTAAAACATTAGCCAAGGTTCACTGGGTGTCTTCTCCTTGGCCCCTTTGCCCACGTGGTGAACACTGTGGACCTGTGAGGGTGTGAGGGTTGCGTTCCTGCGTTCTGGACTCTTTACCCACTACTGAGAAGCAGCCGTTTGAAATATGAGTTGGCAAGGAAGATCAGCATGTAGGCTTAGACCAAGACGGTATGTGCAGCCTCCTGAGCTAACTGGGCCTGTGCTTGAGCCCAGTGATGAGCAGCCTCAGCAAGAGGAACCACCACCTGAAAGTCGGGGTCTTACCTGGCCAGGAGAGAGAGGAAGATCACGGTGCTGCTGAGATTCTTGTGCTTGACCAGGAAGCTGATCTCCGGGAGCTGTCTCAAAGACTGGGATGAATGTGGAGATGGTCCTGATGTCCGGGGAATATTCTGCCGAAATCAGAGCAATTTAAATTGCCAGAAGGAGGTGAAGGGCAACCACAGGTTCCAAGGAAGACAAGCTGAAACAATGCAAACTGGTTTTATATTAGATACGTGACTTAAAATATCTCAATACAGTTTTCTCCAAAAAAAAAAAAATAGTTAGCCGAGTATGGGGGTGTGCTTGGTATGGCTTGAGCCCAGGAGTGAGTTTGAGGCTGCACCGAGCAATGACTGTGCCACTGCACTCCAGTCTGGGCAATGGAGTGAGACCCTGTCTCTAAAAAATAAAAACAAAGAAACGTGATTATAGATAATAAGATATTACTTACATGAGTTACAAACCATTTCTTTTTAATAAGCAGAGGCCCATGACAGTAAGAGTCTAGTAGAAAAATTGGGTGGACTGCATAGAAGACATTGTCCATCATTATGTCACACAGTGTGAGGCGGATGGTGCGAATAAACTGGGAAGTCATGTCTTTCATTGAGGCAGCATCTATTCCTGTTTGGAAGAGAAAGCCGAGAGGTGTTCTGTTCCCCGAGGAAGCCATCAAGGCTTCATGACCTGCTGTCCTGGGGCTGTTCACAGTGATAGCTGGCACTTGCCGGGAACAGCAGCACCTTTGTTGTGTGACAGATGCTTTTCTGAGCGTGCTTTAGTGAGACCGTTTCACGCATGTCCTGCTTTCCCTCTCCCCTCACCCGTGACAAAGTGATTCCCCCTTGTATTTGTTTCCTGGGGTTGCTGAAAGAAATTACTGCAAACTGGGGGGCTTAAGACAACACACATTCATTCTCCTGCGTTTTCGGGGGCCTCGTGTCTGCAGTCAGTGTGACCTGGCTGATGGCAGGTGTGGCAGAGCTGGTTCCTCTGGTGACTTTAAGTCTGCTTCCTTCACCTTTCCGGCTTCTGGAGGTGACCGCCTGCCCGTCTGCCTGGGCTCGAGACCCATCCTTGAATCCCTGCAGTCTCCGCATCCTTCCTCATGTGGCCGTCCCCTCTGGCTCTGACCCCAGGCTCACACAGGCGCACCCCACACTCTCCCCATCTCTAGAGCCTTCACGTGGTCACGTGGATGGGAGGAGCCATCCAAAAGCTTGGGAGTGAGGATGTGGGTGTATCAGGGGCCATCAGCCAGCCTGTCACACCTCTTAAGAAGATCGATCCCCAGACGTGTTTCTTGGCCAACTTTTACATTTATTTATTTATTTTTTAATGATGATTTTTAATAATTTTTAATTATTAAAAAATTATAAAATAATTTTAATTATTTTATTTTTTAAATTCATTTTTTAATGATTTTAAATAGTTAAATGCCCAGTCCTAATATTTAAATTATTAATACAGTACTACTTAGATATTGAGTAATGTAATTTATATTCATTTTTTACTCTTTTCCATCAAAACATAATTTTACTAAGTACGCATGTTCTGTGTCCGTGTTTTGTCATCACTGAAGCCACTTTTGGAGTCACCTAGTAATAGCCTTTCCACTCTATCTAGTTCTGTAGCTTTTATGTGTGTAAATTACTTCAAATCTGTTTATGATCCTATTGCTGGAAACTTTATCCCAAGACACAAAAATCTTTTCTATTAGAAGTTATTAACTTTAAAACAATTATTTATTTTATTTTATTTTATTTTTTGAGACAGAGTCTCGCTTTGTCACCCAGGCTGGAGTGCAGTGGCACGATCTCGGCTCACTGCAAGCTCCACCTCCCGAGTTCATGCCATTCTCCTGCCTCAGCCTCCCGAGTAGCTGGGACTACGGGCGTCCGCCACCATGCCCAGCTAATTTTTTTTGTATTTTTGGTAGAGACAAGGTTTCACCGTGTTAGCCAGGATGGTCTTGATCTCCTGACCTCGTGGTCCACCTGCCTCGGCCTCCCAAAGCGCTGGGATTATAGGCGTGAGCCACCGCACCTGGCCTAAAACAATTATTTCTTTAAAAAAACATACCCTCTATTCTATTTTGTGTCTTCACAACACAATCACTTACTGTATTGCTTTTTAAAGTGATCTTTAAAGAGTCTTGCAGAAGAGACTACACAGCAGGCCCGAGACCATCCTGAGAGGCCTGTGTGCAAGGCTGGCCCCCCGCTGGTGTCAGGACGGTGCCCACCACCCTCAATGAAGAGGGGCTCCCTGTGCTTAGCTGCTTGTGTGGGGAACAAGGTTTGTGCTGAGAACCTTCCTTTCTTCTGGGAGTCCAGAGTCTGGGCACGAAGCAGGCAGAGGGTGCCCATGTGCCCAGCCCCCAGTAAAAACCCTGGCACCGAGTCTCTAGTGGGCTTCCCTGGTGACGACACTGCACATGCGTTGTCACGGCTCACTGTGTAGGGAGTTAAGTGCGTCCTGCGTGACCCCGCTGGGAGAGGATTCTGGAAGCTCAAGCCTGGTTTCTTTGGGACATCGCCCCATGGACCTCTGCCCTTGCTGATTTTGTGTGGAATCCTTTCGCTGTAATGAATCTCAGCTGTGAGAGCACCTTTGTGCCAAGTCCTGGGAATCCTAGGGAATCACTGGCCTGGGGGTGATCCGCGGACCACTGACAAGTTTGTTCTCAATGACAACCAATACTTTTATACCCCCTGGAAGAATTGAGTTAATATGACATTTCTGCTTTTTTAGGTGGTGGTTTTTATCTAGCCTGTTGAGTGGCCTCTGCAGTATTGATCGAGGTTGTTTCAGGCTAATACGTTTTCCCCCACACAGTATATTCAAAATAAATTAATGTGGGAGGGTCATGGAATATTAGGTGACCCCTCTCCTGAGGGAAAACTCTATGTCAGGGGATTTATGATCAACTAAGGGGTTAGACTCAGTGTTCTGCAGGTGCCTTTGAACCTGAAGCCTGTAGCAGGCCTTGCTTCTCACGCTTGGACTCTGCCATCCTGTGAAACGTGGGTTTGGGTGTGTTTCTTCTGTGTGGAGCCCGAGAGTCTGCCTTTCAGACGGGCTGCCAGTCCACGGACCACACTTTGAGTAGCAAGGGGCTCTTTCCATCCAAACAGGGTGTGGAAGCAGTGCTGGGAAGCAGTCCTGCATCCTCACACCCGTGGCAGGTGGGCCTGGCAGGAACTTGTGTGGTAACAAGGTAGCAGTTGTGGGAGACATTTTCTACTCCGAAAGGAAGTTTCTTAGCCTGACTTGAAGATTTATTATCTATAGACACTTAGAGGCTCTTTCTGTGGTGGTTTTTATTATGAATTATCTTTTTGTGTTTAGCTAATACCAGTGAGTGGTGGAGAAAGATGGGCTCTTTAATAATGAGCTGTTCGTTTTTCTTTCTTAGGGCACTGTTTGAAGAAGCAAACATGGTAGCATCAAGCATTCCTTGAAATATGGCTCCAAGGGAACAATGAGACGTGCTCTTGGTCTTGGAAGCTCATCAGAATGTTTAGAGCTGGGGAGGCCTCCAAACGCCCATTGCCTGGGCCGTCGCCCCCAAGGGTGCGGAGTGTGGAGGTTGCCCGGGGGAGGGCCGGCTACGGATTCACGCTTTCGGGACAGGCACCCTGTGTGCTCAGCTGCGTCATGAGAGGGAGCCCTGCGGATTTCGTGGGCCTCCGAGCTGGAGACCAGATACTTGCTGTCAATGAAATCAACGTGAAAAAAGCATCTCATGAAGATGTAGTGAAATTAATTGGGAAGTGCTCTGGTGTCCTTCACATGGTGATTGCTGAAGGCGTCGGCCGCTTCGAATCCTGTTCCAGTGATGAAGAAGGGGGACTCTATGAAGGAAAAGGCTGGCTGAAGCCCAAGCTGGATTCTAAAGCACTAGGTATAAACAGAGCAGAGCGAGTCGTGGAGGAAATGCAGTCTGGTGGAATTTTCAATATGATTTTTGAAAACCCGAGCCTTTGTGCGAGCAATTCAGAGCCCTTGAAATTGAAACAAAGATCCCTTTCAGAGTCGGCCGCAACTCGATTTGATGTTGGACATGAAAGTATAAATAATCCAAATCCCAACATGCTTTCTAAGGAGGAAATATCAAAAGTTATTCATGATGATTCGGTTTTCAGCATTGGACTAGAAAGTCATGACGATTTTGCATTGGATGCAAGTATTTTAAACGTGGCGATGATCGTGGGCTACTTAGGCTCCATTGAGCTTCCTTCCACGAGCTCCAACCTGGAGTCCGACAGCTTGCAAGCCATCCGCGGCTGCATGCGGCGCCTGCGGGCAGAGCAGAAAATCCACTCGCTGGTGACCATGAAGATCATGCACGACTGTGTGCAGCTGAGCACTGACAAGGCTGGAGTCGTGGCCGAGTACCCGGCCGAGAAGCTGGCCTTCAGCGCCGTGTGCCCGGACGACCGGCGATTTTTCGGGTTGGTTACCATGCAGACGAATGACGACGGGAGCCTGGCCCAGGAGGAGGAGGGCGCCCTGCGGACTTCCTGCCACGTGTTCATGGTGGACCCAGACTTGTTTAATCACAAGATCCACCAAGGCATTGCTCGGCGGTTTGGGTTTGAGTGCACGGCCGACCCAGACACCAATGGCTGTCTGGAATTCCCGGCGTCCTCCCTCCCCGTCCTGCAGTTCATCTCTGTCCTGTACCGAGACATGGGTGAGCTGATTGAGGGCATGCGGGCCCGCGCCTTTCTGGACGGGGACGCCGATGCCCACCAGAACAACAGCACCAGCAGCAACAGTGACAGCGGCATTGGGAACTTCCACCAGGAGGAGAAGAGCAACCGGGTCCTTGTGGTGGACCTGGGTGGGAGCTCGAGCAGACACGGCCCCGGAGGCAGCGCGTGGGACGGTGTGGGTGGGAGGGGTGCCCAGCCCTGGGGTGCTCCCTGGACTGGGCCCTTCTGTCCGGACCCCGAAGGGAGCCCCCCATTTGAGGCCGCTCATCAGACTGACAGGTTCTGGGACCTAAACAAGCACCTAGGGCCAGCCTCTCCTGTGGAGGTGCCCCCAGCTTCCTTGAGGAGCTCAGTCCCCCCTTCCAAGAGGGGCACCGTGGGTGCTGGCTGTGGTTTCAACCAGCGCTGGCTCCCGGTCCACGTGCTCCGGGAGTGGCAGTGCGGACACACCAGCGACCAGGACTCTTACACAGATTCCACCGATGGCTGGTCCAGCATCAACTGCGGCACACTGCCCCCTCCTATGAGCAAGATCCCCGCAGACCGCTACAGGGTGGAGGGCAGCTTCGCGCAGCCCCCGCTGAATGCCCCGAAGAGGGAGTGGTCCAGGAAGGCCTTTGGAATGCAAAGCATTTTTGGTCCCCATCGAAATGTTCGAAAGACTAAGGAAGATAAAAAGGTAAGCCTGCCAGGAGCCACTCAGCGCGGAGGCCCGGCCTCCTCACTTAGCAGTCACGGGGAGGTGACTCCCAGTCACCAGCTTGCACAGTCCTGGCTTCCTCCTGCTGGCCCTGTGGCCTCTGTGGCCATCACAGGGTGTCTGCGTTGCCTGTGGGCTGCGGACTGTGTCTTGCTGGGACCTCTTGCCCCCTGCCCTGTTCGAGTCCTTGGTTCTGGTTCTGGCTCTGATGGCTGGTCCTGGGCAGGACATCTGGGCAGGACTGGTGGTGGCGAGAGGGAAGTTGTTGTCTTGGAGCTCAGGATAAGGCCCTTCCTCCCCTTCCTGCTCCTCCCTAGCTCTGTCCCTGTGGCTCCTTGAAGCCCATTTTAGGTCTGACCCCAGAATCTTCATCCCAGTGTCCCACACCCCTCTTGAGGCGAGAATATTCTTGAAGCACTGAAAGCTGGTTCCTCGTGCTGTTTCCTCCATGGGGAATATCCTGTTGTGTAAAACACCAGCTGGACTCCGCAGTGGGCCTGGGGAGCCCCACGCCGCCTGCTCACTGAGGGGTACCTCAAGGTGTGTAGTGCTGCCTTGAAGACCTGGACCCATCAGCATCCCTTTGGGGGCCCTGCCTTTAGGAGCTAAGTTTGGAGCAGGAAAGAGTAAATGAGCAAAGCTGGGAACCCTCTGGAAGGGACTTTGTCCAGCAGGAGGCGGTGCTGCCAGTGTGGGAGTGTGCGGGGCTGTGCCTGTGCGGTTGGGTGCAGGGAACCCTCTGGAAGGACTTCCTCCAGCCAGAGGCGGCGCTGCCGTGTGGGGCTGTGCTGTGTTTGGAGCCAGGGCCCTTGTGACAGGTGATGGGGGTGGGCACTTAGCTCCCTTTGTTTCAGAGAAACTACTCCGGCTGTTTACGATGTAAAGACACCTTTTTAGTGTTTGTTCACATCCTGAGACCATCCTAAGAAGACCCTCTAAGGCTGCTGGCTGGGTAGGCAGGGCCGGGGAGTAGGAAAGGCCGTGTTTGATGAATATTTCTACTTGATTCCCCCTCCCCTAGTGTTTTCCATGATGAAATGTAGCACCTGAGAGCATTTAAAGGCAAGGAAGGAGCCGGCTGCCGTGGCACACGCCTGTAACTGAGTGCTTTGGAGGCTGAGGCAGGAAGCTCGCTTGAGCCCAGGAGTTCAAGACTGCCGTGAGCTGTGTTGCAGCCACTGCACTCTAGCCTGGGTGACAGAGCGAGACTCTGGCTCTAAAATAAAATAAAATTTAAAAAATGGAGGAAGAACAGATTTCTCGTTTTATCTCCTCAAAATGATCACTGATAACATTTTGATGTATGTAAGCATAGAATTTTTTTTTTTAAAACACTTGTAATCATATGGATTTTCAACATCCTCTTTATTTTTGGGGACAGGGTCTGGCTCTGTTGTCCAGGCTCAAGTGCAGTGGCTCTATCATAGCTCACTGCAGCCCCTGCTCCTGGGCTCAAGTGATCCTCCCACCTCAGCCTCCTGAGTAGCTGGGACTACTGAGTAGCTGGGACTACAGGCACTTGCTACCATGCCTGGCTAATTTTTATATTTTTTGTAAAGATGGGATTTTGCCATCTTGCCCAGGCTGGTCTTGAATTCCTGAGCTCAAGCGATCCTTCTGCCTCAGCCTCCCAGAGTGCTGGGATTACAGGCATGAGCCACACGCGCCTGGCCTCAGCCTCCTTAGAGGAGTCGTTCTGCAGCTGCACGTGCTGCTGCTGTCTTTCCTTGTCTCTTGATCTGAGCCCTGGTCTGGATTCTCAGGGAGGTGCCCTCCTGCCCGCCCTGGGCCTCACCTCACTTCTCCGTGGAGCCTGTAGGTGGTGGGGCAGGGCCACTCCCAGGGAGCTGGCCTCAGTGTGGGCTGCCTGTATTGGGCAGGGATGGGAGGTGAAGGGCCCTGGAAAGTGGTGAAAATGTTCTTTGGAATCAGGAGATTCCTCATCTCTTTGAGTACATATTTAAAACTGTGTTTTCTCCACTGCTGTGGTGTAGTGAAGGTTGACACTGGTGTTTATGTGGTTCTTTGTGGATTACAGGGCACCTTCACCTGCTTTCTCCTTGAAATTCAAAGTGACCTGGACAGTGGGGAGTATGATGCCATTTTAGATAATTGGCAGTGGTGCTTATGGTCCTCAGCGGACCTGAGAGACAGATAATGCTGTCGTCCCCATCCCACCAGTGAATGGACTCCTCCTTGGGGCGGGTGACATGGGGGAATAGGTGGGGTTGTGATGCCAGCCTTGGGCTTCTTTGCAGTGAAGATGAGGGTCCTGGCTGTTCCCACCCACACTGGAGCAGAGCAGAAGGGGAGCTAGCATGTCCTCAGGGTTGGAAATAACGGTGTGGCGGTCACTGCTTTGCAGAGTGCATCCTTACCTTGATAGGAATCCTGAGGCCATCAGGCCAGGCGATTGAGGTTTGGCTGTCAGGTGACTTGCTCACAGTCACAGGGCATGTGAGTGCTGGGACCAAGACAGCCCTGGCGCTCCGTGTGGGATTTGGAGTGGCCTTCATAATGTGGCGTGATACACTATCTAAAAATAAACAGGTAGTAACGTGTTGTGTTTTATGGGTTCCTGCTGTAATCTCTTGAGGTTTAAGTGTTGCTGTTTACTTTGCCAAGTGGGCCTCCCTGTGTAGTTAGGTGAGTCTGATCCCATAGCCTCCCCAGTTAGAGCAGCAGAAGCTTCCAGGGGTCATGAGGCGGCCACAAGATGGGTCCGGACGTCGCCGTGGACAGGTCTGCAGAGTTTCGAAGGTGGCCGTGACCGTCCGCAGCGATCAGGGCCCCACCTGGACGCTGGCCTGTGCTGAGAGAAGGGGCCAGCAGGGATGCAGGAAGTGCCTGGAAGTTAGAAGAAGCAGCAGAGTTGGCACAGGGAGGGAGAGAGCAGAGGAGGCCCCTGGAGGGTGCCATGGTGTCAGGCAGCGAGCTTCACGTGACTCCGGATTCTTAGTGACGGGGACTTCAGGGCTTTACTTTGCACAAACTCAGGTGGAATCAGTCAGGATCCAGCCAGGAGACAGGAAACGCAGCAGTAATTTGAACAGGAAAAATTCAGTATACAGAATCGTTAACAAAGGAAAAGAAGGTTAGCTGCTGAAAGAGAAAAGAAAGGCTAAGGTCATCAGTGTGGAAAGGGGCTGAGTCTAGAAAAGTGGGCGTGGGAGGCTTAGATACCCAGAGTAGGGGCCTTATCTGACAGGACTGTGAGTCCATCGCAGCTGTGAGAGAGTGAAGCAGCTCCAGGTGAGGATTGGTGGCTGTCCCCAGTCCCCAGGAAAAACGATGTGGGACCCTCACATGCCAGTCCACCCCACTCCATCTGGGAGGCAGTGCCTGTGCCCATTGCTGAACATTGAGCCCCTGGGCAGGAGCCATGTGGTCTTCAAGGCCCAGTGCCAGGATCAGAAGCTGGGCACGGCAGGGTGGGTTTGGCGCTGAGAAGAAATGCCTTGGTGTCTGGCACAGTGCCCCGTTAGGCTACCCAGCGTCTGTATGCACCCTTCTTCAGCACCCCCAAGGGCATCTCACTCCCAGCTTCTGCTTTTGAGTCCGCCTTGGCTTGCCTGCACCCCAGGGCAGGGTTTTCTGTGGCTGTGGAGCAGCTCCGGCCTGGACAGCCACGTCAGCTCCTCCCCCCAGTGGACTGCAGGCATGTGGTGTCCAGCGCGCTCTGAGGCCCAGGCCTGGGCAGGGGCCCCTGCTGACGGTGTCCTTGGCTTAGGCACTCGCCCTTAGCCCTAGAACAATCTTCAGCATTCCCTCTACACAGTTATTACTAGTTCTATGAATGTTAAACGTTCCCTTTGAAATTACTGGCACCAGCCTTTCTTAATCTGTATGCAAAATAAGCTGACTATTAGAAGAAATATAATACTGCATCTAGTCACAAGTTGGTCTCTAAGGCCAATAGTTCTGTGTCCTAACTGCCACCAGATTCTCCATTGTTGTCCTTTGCCAACGCTTTTGTCACTGCCGCCTCCATCCTGCTGTCTGCAGGCTCAGCCCGGGTTTCCGCCCTCAGTGGCCACTTGCTCCTGTGAAAGCCTGGGGACCAGCGAGCCAGACCCCTTGTTGCTCGGCATTTCTACGTCTCCTTGGTGAGATGGAAAGCTCTAACCCCCTGCACACCGAGCCACGTGGTGACCTTGTGCCAGCTCATCCTTGTCAGCTTCTCCCTCCTCTGGGGAGGAGCAAGGAAGGGGAGCTGAGTTACTTGTAGACTCGCTGAGGGTCTGAAATTCTTGAAGTGGGTGAGATGATGTTTGGAAGTGGACTGCTTTCCCTTTTGTGTAGTTTGCTCTTTGTCTCTGCCTAATGTCTGTAGCCAGCACAAGCTGGTTCTCATGGAGATAAGCATTCAGGCCTGTGACTAACAAAAGGGGCTGATGTGAAAGAGAACCCAGGATCTCGAAATGCTTCTGTCATCAAAAATGATTGCCTTGTGTTTCATTTAAGGCAAGCGTGTTTAATTCTGTGTCTCTGCAAACTGACTCAAAGTTATATTAATTAATTAAATTAATTAATTAAAATACCTGGTTAAGTAGCAGCACCCAAATTCTTAAAATTTCCATACAATGGATTTTGGAAATTTTAAAAATGAAAATATGTTATTTGTGATATGTAAAGGATTGATTGGTGTAATTTTGAAATGAATGAATACATATTTTTAAATTCCTCAGTTTAATTTCTGGTATGAGAAACATCAGTAGCTGAAACCCACAAAAATAAAGACTCGCTGAGGTGCTCAGTCGTTTGTAGGTACTCCCAGGAGTCCTGAGACCACAGCACTTGAGGACTGCTGCCCGCAGAAGGTTGGATTTGCAGGAGTGAGTTCCTTCTCAACTGTTGCTTACTGAGATAAGACCATTAACAGAGAATGGAGAAATACCTTATGGGTGTACTGGAGTACCCGAGAGCTACATCTGAGTGAGATAGTGGTACCTGCATCACCTGAAGTACATCTGAAAATCGCGCTCATAAAAAAGGCAAAATACAGAAGCCTCAAGCCCGTGAGCAGCGCAGTCTGCTGTCCAGGGTGGCGCGTGCCCCTCGGTGGGAGGACAAGCCAGGGGCGAGCGGGAGGACGAGCAAGCACCAGGCTGGGGGGCCTCTCCCGGGAGGGGTGCCGTGGCGCCTCGCTCGTGTTGGTGCAGTTTTATTTCTTGCGGTGCAGTGTGTTGGTGGGTGCTCATCATCTCATTCTCCACCATTTGTTCATGACGACATACCCAAAGGTACAATCACAGACACAATGCGAACAGCACTGTAAGAGTCAGAGCCTTAGATGCTGCTGCTGCCTCTGCCCCGCTCCGCGCGGGGAGCTGCAGTTCAGAGTTCGCTTCCTTTCATGGACTTACTCTGTTTGCACAGGCTCTTGGATATTCTCTTCCTTTTCCTTCCCTTTATTGAAAATACATGTGACATACTGCTGTGAGTTACTTTTTTCTAAAACAAATTTCTCATGTACATAGTTATATATCAATTTTAAAAACTCTTCTTCATTGTAGTGGCCACGTGGTATTATGTCATATGCCTGTGCCATTTCTTACTGAATCAGTCCCCAGTTGATGGCAACCTTAGACTGTTTCTATATTTAATAATAAGCTGGATTGCAGTAAAAATTCTTAAAGTTCTATCTTTGTATATATGTGAGTTTTCTTTTGGGTAGGTTCCTAGATGTGGAATTGCTGTTTTTAAAAGTGTATGTGCATTTTAAAGTTTGCCAAATTGCTCACCAAAGAGGTTTTCTAGTTTATATTTTTGTCAGTAGTGTGTGTGTGTGTGTGTGTGTGAGAGAGAGAGAGAGAGAGAGAGAGAGAGAGAGAGAATGCCCCCTTTTTTATTGAAGGAGAATTTGTGTTATTTTGATGTACAGAAAACTCAACAGTGTTCATTTCACCCAGTTTATTGGCAGGTTCTGTGGCCTTTGCCTTTTCCAGCTTGGCAACGTGAGCCACAGATTTTGGTCCCAGAGCTAGCTTTCCCAGCGATGGCAGATCTTGTCATATCTGTTGTCGTGGGTCTTGATAGCTTCCACCAGCTTAGAGCTCCCTTGTCTTCCAAGTTAACCTGTGTGAAGGCGACAGTGGAGCAGACTCGTTGGTCCTGCGGGCTTGACGCCCTCGTCAGGCCTTCCCTTGACAGTGCGGTCGGGAACCCCCATCTCAGGACGCAGGCAGGCAGGAAGACAACCAGCTCAGTGGGAGCCACGTCACGTGCGATCACCACCCGCTGAGCCTTCTCGTTCTCCACCAAGGTTGTGACAGTATCAACCCCTGCTGGAAGGACAAGTGGTCCATCTCTTAGTGGGGATGTCCCCTGTGCCAGTGCTGTCTTTTAGTCCAGGCCAACAGTCTCTGCTTCTTCTCTTGCTTGTCTCTGGTTGGTACTGTGGGCCAGCGTACGCCATTGGGTAGCTGCCTGTGGCCTGAGGCCTGGGTGAACCAGTCAATCACAGGAGGTGCTTTCAGCCATTCATGGAGGATGGCCCTTTGCCACTGCAGCCTGATACAGCAGGGCCCTTGACAAAGTGGGCAAGGTCCCTGTAATGGCTGGACGTCCTGTCCACTGCAGAAATTCTTAGGGCTTTCCTCAGACGTCCATCTTCTTGGCCATCTGCTGCTGCATGGTGGCAGGGGCCAGGGCCTCCTCCTTCCCTTTGGCCTTCTTCCCTTTCAGCATCTTAGGTAGCTGGAGAAGAGGCCCTTTTCTTCCTACCCATGTAGCTCTGGAGTTTTATCAGTGTTTTATTTATTTGCCAATATGAGAGGAAAGAAATAGTGTTATTTAATTTCTTAAATTGAGCAATTTTGTATCTTAATAGACCATAAATATTTCTCTTATTGTCTACTCCTGATTCATGTACCTTGGCCATTTTTCTACCTGATTGTAGGCCTTTTTCTTATTGATTAGTAAGAGCTCTTTGTATGTAAAAGAAATTAGTGCTTTGGTCAAAATATTTTAAACTAGTTATAAAAAAATCTGCCAAAGGGGAAAAATTGAAAATGAATGAATTTTTGGTAGCTGGAGGTCAAATAGAGAGTGGGAATTTTCTTGGGAGGAGTTTTCTGAAAGGTGATTTATGCATGCTTGGAGGGTAAAGGATAGGATTCCTTGGTTCAGGAATGCGGCTTAAGTTTTATTTTGATTTGTTTGATATGAACCTTGGCATAAAATCAATTAGTAAATTTGGTTACTTTTATAATTTATTATATAGATTAAAAGCTACATAATAGGGATATGCTATGGTTTGATTGTTTGTCCTCTCTGAAACTCATGTTGAAATGTAATCCCCAATGTGACAGTATTAAGAGGTGAGGCCTTTAAGAGGTGATTAGGTCATGAGGACTCAGCCCTCATGAATGGCAGAATCCATAATCCATTCATCCTTGATAGCTTGTCACAGGAGTGGATTAGTTATCAAAAGGGTGGGTCTGAATAACGAGCAGTGAGATTGAATCAGTAACAAAAACATCTCCTAACAAAGAAAAGTCCAGGGCAAGATAGATTCACAGCCGAATTCTACCAAACCTATGAAGAACTAGTACCAACCCTCCTGAAACGGTTCCAGAAAATGGAGGATGAGGGATTTCTTCCTGACTCATTTTATGAGGCCAGTATCACCCCAGTACCCAAATCAGACAAGGACACAACACCAAAAATACAGACCAATATCCCTATTGAACATAGATTACAAATCCTCAACAAAATACTAGCAAACTGACTCAAGCAGCACATCAAAAAGATAATACGCTATGATGTGTTATGTGCCAGGGATGCAAGGATGGTTCAACATATGCAAATCAATAAATGTGATATATCCCATAAATAGAATTAGGAACAAAACCATATGACCATCTCAATAGACATAGAAAAAGCAGTTGGTAAAATTCAGCATGATAAAAACCCTCAACAAACAAAATATAGAAGGAATATAGCTCAAAATAGTAAAGGCCATCTATGACAAACCCACAGCCAACATCATACCAAAAGGGGAAAAGTTGAAAGCATTCCCTCTAAGAACTGGAACAAGACAAGAATGCCCACTCTCATCACTCCTATTCAACATAGTACTGGAAGTCCTAGCCAGAGCAGTCAGGCAAGAGGAATAAATAAAAGGCATACCAATTAGAGAAGAGGAGGTCAAATTATCGTGGTTTGCTGATGACATAATCTTTTTTTTTGAGACAAAGTCTCGCTCTGTCACCCAGGCTGGAGCACAGTGCTGCTATCCTAGGTCACTGTAACCTCAAACTCTTGGACTCAAGGGATCCTCCCGCCTCAGCCTCCCAAGTAGCTAGAACTACAGGTGCATACTACCATGCCTGGCTAATTTTTAAATTTTTTTGTAGAGGTGGAGTCTCACAGTGTAGCCCAGGCTGGTCTCAAACTTCTGGCTCAAGCAATCTGCCTGCCTCGGCTATCCAAAGTGCTGGGAAGTGTGAGCCACCGCCCCTGGCTAGATGTGATCTTATATCTAGAAAAACCTAAAGACTTGACTGAAAAACTTAGATTGGTTAAACAAATTCAGCAAAGTTGCAGGATACAAAATCAATGTATAAAAATCAGTAGTATTTCTTTATACCAATAATGATCTAGCTGAGAAAGAAATCAAGGAAGCAATCCCATTTACAATAACTACAAAAATAAAATACCTAGGTATCAATTGAACCAAGGAAGTGAAAGATTTCCACAAGGAAAACTACAAAATACTGATGAGAGAAATTGCAGATGACACAAACCAATGGAAAAACATCCATATTCATGGATTGGAATAATTAATATCATTAAAGTGACCATACTGTCTGAAGCAATCTACATATTCAATGTAATCCCTACCAAAATACCTACGTAATTTTTCACGGAAGTAGAAAACGCAATCCTAAAATTTATATGGAACCAAAAAAGAGCCTGAATAGCCAAAGCAATTCTAAGCAAAAAGAACAAAGCTGGAGATATTACATTACCTGACTTCAAATTATACAAGGCTGTAGTAACCAAAATAGCATGTTACTGGTATAAAACTAGACAACAAAATAGAGAACCCAGAATTAAAGCCACATATTTACAGCCAAGTGATCTTTGACAAAGTTAACGAGAGCATACAATGGGGAAAAGACATCCTTTTCAATAAATGGTACTGGGAAAATTGGATTGCCCTGTGTAGAAGAATGAAACTGGACTGCTATCTCTCACCATACACAAAATCAACTCAAGCTGGATTAAAGACTTAAACCTGAAACTATAAAAATACTAGAAGAAAACCTAGGGAAACTCTTTTGGATGTTGGTCTAGGCAAATAATTTATTGTTGAATTCTCAGAAGTACAGACAACAAAAACAAAATTGGACAAGTGGGACTTAAAGAACTTCTGCACAGCAAAAGAAATAATCAACAGAGTGAACAGATAGCCTGCAGGATGGAAGAAAGTATTTCCAAAATATGCACCTGACAAGGGTCTAATATCCAGAATATATGAGCACTCAAACAACTCACAGCAACAAAATAACGCCATTAAAAAGTGGGCAAAGGATACGAATAGACATTTTTCAAAAGAAGATATACAAACGTTCAACAGGCATGTGAGAAAATGCCCAATATCACTAATCATGAGAGAAGTGCAAATTAAAACCACAGTCAGATATCATCTTACCTCACTCAAACAATAACAGATGTTGTCAAGGGAACTCTTATACACTGTAGTTGGGAAGGTAAATTAGTACAACCTCCATGGAAAACAGTATGTAGATTTTTCAGAGTCCTAAAAATAGAGCTACCATTTGAGCCAGCAATCCTACTACTGGGTATCTGTCTACCCATAGGAAAAGAAATCATTATATCAAAAAGATACCTGCACTCTTCTGTTTATTGCAGCACTATCCACAGTAGCAAAGGTATGGAATCAACCTAAGTGTCCATCGGTGGATGAATGGATAAAGGAAACATGGCATCTATACCCAATGGAATACTATTCAGCCATCAAAAGAATGAAATCTTGTCTTTCACAGCCACATGGATGGAATTGGAAGCTACTGTCCTAAGTGAAACAAGTCAGATACAGAAAGACAAATCCCACATGTTCACATTTATAAGCGGGAGCTAAATGATGTGTACACATGGATGGAGAGAGTGGAATGGTAGAGAATGGAGACTTGGAAAGGTGAGGGGTGGGAGGAGGGGTGAGTGATGAGACACTTCTGAATGGGTGCAACGTATGTTGCACAGACTGTGCATAGACTGCACAGACTTCAGCACTGTGCAGTCTATGCATGTATAGTAACAAAATTGCACTTGTACTCCATACGTTTAAACAAATACATTTTCATCGTATCTAAGAAAACTAGAGAGTGGGTCTGTGAAGAGCCAGTTTAGCTCCCTCAACATGCGATGCCCTGTGCTACCTCAGGACTCTGTAGAGTCCCCGCCAGCACGTAGGCCCTCACCAGGTGCAGTCCCTTGACCTCCAGGACGGTGATGAATACATTTCTCTTTTTAAAAAATAAATGACCTAGTCTCAGGTATTCAGTTATAGCAACAGGAAATGGACTACGACTATATATACATACACACAGTAGGGATAGAGAGATACAGGTATAGATATAGTAGTTTTGCAGTTAGGTAGTAATGCAGATGGTAGTGAGATTTCTCTTACTCTAGGGTTCTACGCAAAGTCAGCCGGAGCTGTGTTGGGAGTGTTGGTTTATAATTTTCTCCTGTAAACTTAGAAAACTTTTGACCTGGCTGCCCTGGTTCTTCAAACTACATGCGACTGTGTCCTAAAGGAAGCAAAGTCATGGGGTGTGTGGGCAGCTCTGTGAGCAGAGTGGCCATCTGGGATCTGTTACCTGGCCTGACTTTTCCTCCCCCTTGTCTACTAACCATGTCCAGTCTGGATGGGAGGTCACAGGGTCACCTTTAACTCCAAGGGGAAGTTGTCAGGCCAAGAGGCTCAGCTGTTGGATTCCAGGTTGGAGAGCTGAGGGTTCCGATGAAAGGCACAAAGACCGAGCTGCACACTGCGAGCATCAGTACTTCCTTTCCTACCCTCCCTGTGAGAAATGCCTGAGCTGTGGGTCAAGAAGAGGAGAATTGGAGAGCACCAGGGGGTCAGGTGGGTGGGAGGAGCCTTCACATTCCACTTTGAGTTCCATGGTGGCCCCGATGGAAGCTGCCCTCATGTTTGGGACCCAGGAGTGCAAGAGATCTGTTTTCTTTGGTGTGTTTAGAACTTGGAGGGGGACTGCCCCATAGAAGGTGGGAGTGGGGTCAGGGCAAGGGATGACTCTGAGTGGCATGAGAAGTTCCTCTGGGCTCCTGGGGGTCACAGAGCTTGAGAGAGTGTGTTGCACAGGACAGTAAATGTGCTCATGGGCCTGCACCCAGGCCAGGCAGTGGGAGAAGGAGATGAGCACAGGACCAAACCAAGTGACACCTGAGAGGCTGGTGGCCTTACCCTGTGATGTTGAAGCAACAGTTACACAAACGTCCCCTCATACACTGAAACTGCAGGGAGGGGAACAGTGCGGCGCACCCGAGAGGGCTTGAGTGTGATGCGACTGAAGCACTAAAGAGCAGAATTGATGGAAAAGTTAATTTGACTGTTTACTTAGAAATGACTGAATTAAATCTGTATCAGGTGTAATTTTGGCTTAGAGTTAGAAAATCAGATTGGGTTATATAAAATAAAGGTACATTTTAAAGTTAAATGTCTTACAAACCTGAGTCCATGAGTGCAAAATTTCAGTCTATTACGTTTAGTTGAGGAAGGAGTAAGAGAAGGAATTCCTTTGCCTTTTTAAAACAAATTTTCCCTTTAAGAGAACACAGTGATAAAACTGTTAGGTGCAGCTTTTGGGAGTCACTGATCTTATTGCATATCAAGCTTCCTAATAATTTCTAGGACACATGTAATCGTGAGGCTTTATAGAAGCAGAGAGAAGCTGTCTGCCAAGTACACCGCCTGGTTCTTTCTTGCTGTGTGAGGATGTGCTCTGGCCCAGATTTCACATGGGAGGTCTCTAAGCAAATGCACCTGCTTACATCAGTCACATGGAGGAAGCTGTTGACCATGAAGTATCTCCATTTTGTACTCTGAGAGCTGCATAGTTTATATGGCATTTTTCAGGGATCCATACTCCATAACTCCTAGGATTCCAAGTTTATTTACTGTGAGCAATCCTAGACACACCAAGTACATCCCGCTGAAGGCATTCCACAGATAAGGATTCTCCTGCTAGCAAATATCCTTGGGTTTGCCAGGAGGTCTTTCATTAGCAAGTTTACAGGGAGATTTGATTAGGT
This sequence comes from Homo sapiens, assembly GCF_000001405.40. Taxonomy (NCBI): domain Eukaryota; kingdom Metazoa; phylum Chordata; class Mammalia; order Primates; family Hominidae; genus Homo; species Homo sapiens. The sequence continues at coordinate 3,330,382 of NC_000004.12, forward strand.
CACCTTTCTTGTCTGGGGTAACCCCAGTTAAAGTGAGAGAATGGACTACAGGCTCCTCCTCCTTGCCTTCTTCCTTCACTCAGGGAGAGAAGATACCTGTACTAGAAGGGCGTGAAGAATTGTGATCCAGGATCTTATTGGCAGCCTGTTCGCAACAACAGCACCTAGAACAGTGCCTGGCAGTTAGAAGGCACTTAATATTTTTTTTGATTGAATGAAATTGTCTGTTGACAATGGAGTAAAAAAAATGTAGTATTTCCATACTATGGGATCCATACACTCATTTTAAAGTAATACGAGTTTCTATGCTATAACAGCACAAATTAAAATAATAGTGGTTTAGATAAAGAAGTATAGTTTGAGTAAACCCTCCAGAGCTGGTGTGGAGGCTCCACCCTCCTCAGGAACCCAGGGTGCCTACTGTTGTGTGGTTGCTGCTCTCCACATGTGGCTTTTGCCCTGAACTTTGAGATCGCTCCTTTAGCTTCACTTCCCCATTTCCTTCAGCAGGAAGAGGGAGGTGGAGGCACAGTCTGGAAGTTGCACACATCTCATTGGACAGACTTAGTCATGTAGCTTTGCCTAGTGCAAAGGGCTGGGAGATGTAGTCCTTAGCTGGACAGCCGTGTGTCTAGCTAAGATTTCTATTCCTGTGGAAGAAGGGGAGACTGGTTCTTGCAGGAATGGCGAGCAGCCTGTCACGCAAAGCGGATCAATACATTACTGATAGGAAAAGCTCCCAAGGGCATATCGAGTGGAAAATGCAAGTCACAAAAACACATATATTTAATATCCTGTTTTGGTGTAAAAAATTCTAACACCCCTCAAAGAAACCTATACATTTTAAAGTGCACATATGTTTATATGTAAATATATGGAAAGAATACAAAGGAAACACTCCAAATGGGTAATAGTAGTTATCTCAGAGGTAGTAAATGAAAACTGGGAAGAATCCAGGGAATTTTTATCTTGTGTTGTTTCAACTTCTTATGATGGGAATATGAACATATTTACTAAAAAAAAACTTCCTTTGAAGGAAAAGTAAAAATTATTTAAAAAATTATTTTAATAAGAACAAAGTCGGTGAGAGATGGCCTTGGAAACAAACTGTACTTACATGGTGTAGCCAATGACAGGCTCCTTGGATTGCAGGCCAGGAGAGTTTCAGGTTCAGCACATAGATTTTACGCTGCTTTTCCAGTACAATGAGAGGAAGTTTCAAAATAGATTGTAAAAAAAAAAAAAGTGTGGATAATTCTAAAAGGGTCACAGCTCAGGCCCCATGATGTAAGTCTCTCTGGGAAGGGTGGCGTTGGCCATCACGCTGTGTAAACAGGGATCCCGGGGGCCAGCATCGCACTGCTCTCCATCCCCAGCGAAAGGAAGGGAGGCAGACACTGGGCAGCGGCACTCGGAGTCCACCCAGTCCTGGGAAGGAACGGCGGCTCCAGGGAGAGGAGCCTCATGGGCCTGCGGCAGAGCTGGGGACCTGGGGCTTTGTGCCACCTGCACCAGGTGACCTTTCCTAGTCCCTGCAGCGTTTGCCCATGGGTTTCATCCTGACCACGGCCACCGAGTGCGCTCTCTGGGGAATGGTATCGCAGTGAGGACAGCTTCAGGCCTGTGGAGGGGCTGGGAAGCAGTGGACAGAAGCCCCCACCGTCCTGGAATAGGGCAGGGGCTCCCTGAGAAGCTGGGATCACTAGGACAGATGGCTTGGGGGCCATGGAGGTAGAGGATCCCTGAGCAAAGGGGCAGAGACCAGTGTGGCCCCTTCACTGTTGGCTCGTGTTCTATGGGGTTTCCAGGAAAGTGAGACTGTTCAGGGCAAGGTGGCCGCCACATCCCTGCAGAACCGGAAGTGTCTTAAGAGTTGGAATCGGTGGCGGTGTATTGATTCGTTTTGCTGCTGCTTCAGTTTTATAGAAATGGCTTAATAACACAGTTGTCTGCAACTTGTTTTTAATCACTTCATGTTATTTCAGTGGTTTATCCATGATGTTATTGGTAGTCACAGTCTGTTCATTTTAACACTGTATAATCCATTGTGTGAATCTACTGCTACATACACAGAGCCACTAAAGAATTACTCATAACGCACTAGTGAGCATTCTTGTACCTGTCTCCAGGTAGGCTTGCCAGACTTTTAAATCTTTTGCTAATCTGGGAGCTGTAAAGTGGTGTCTCATGTGGCTTTGATTTGCATTCCCTTGCTTATAAGGCTCTGCGTTTCCTCTCTGTTGAGGCGCCTACTCAAACCTTTTGGTCCCTCTCTCCTCTTGGGCTGTCTTTTCCTCATGGACTGCGGGAATGATAGACGCTGGCTGTTAGTCCCTGGCTGGTTGTGCACTTCGCACGTGTCCCTGCCCCGGGCATGACTCCTGTTTTCACTCTTCTAGCCAGATGTATAATCTTTTCTCCTATGGTTTACACTTTGTGTCTTTTATATATGTATATTTTTGAGATGGAGTCTCACTTTGTCACCCAGGCTGGAGTGCAGTGGTGCGATCTCGGCTCACTGCAACCTCCGCCTCCCTGGGTTCAAGCGATTCTGCTGCCTCAGCCTCCCGAGTAGCTGGGATTACGGGCACATGCCACCACACCTGGCTAATTTTTATATTTTTAGTAGAGACAGGGTTTCACCATGTTGGTCAGGCTGGTCTCAAACTCTTTTTTTTTTTTTTTTTGAGACGGAGTCTCACCGTCTCCCAGGCTGGAGTGCAGTGGCGCGATCTCGGCTCACTGCAGGCTCCGTCCCCCAGGGTTCACGCCATTCTCCTGCCTCAGCCTCCCGCGTAGCTGGGATTACAGGCGCCTGCCACCTTGCCCGGCTAATTTTTTGTATTTTTAGTAGAGACGGGGTTTCACCGTGTTACCCAGGATGGTCTCGATCTCCTGACCTCGTGATCCACCCGCCTCGGCCTCCCAAAGTGCTGGGATTACAGGCGTGAGCTACCGTGCCCGGCCTGGTCTCAAACTCTTGACCTCAAGTGATCCTCTCCCGCCTTGGCCTCCCAAAGTGCCGGGATTACAGGCGTGAGCCACTGCACCCGGTCTGTGTCTTATTTAATACATTTATTACTACTTGAGGTCAAAACAGATTTTCTCCCTTTTTCCCCTTAAAGTTTCTTGGAGTTAATGTTTATGAAAAGAATCAGGTGAGACGAAAGTTAACTTTTTTCTCTGTGGGTAACCAGTGGTTCTAGCACTAATCTCGTCCTTCCACGTGGATCAGCAGTGCTCCCTCTGTCATGGATCATGTGTTCATGTGCGTGTGGGTCTGTTTCTTAGTTCTGTGTTCCTTCCTAGTCAGTATCCCCACCTATACTTTAAAAAATTACTATAGCTTTATAATACGTCTTTCTGTCTTCTAGGGCAGGTTTTCTTGTCTGTGCTTGGGCCTCGCTGTTTTATGTAGATTCTACAACCAGTTTACAAATTCCCCGAAATGCTATTGATATTTTGTGTTTTAATCTGTAGCTCAGTTTGAGGGAATTGATATCTTTAGGAGATCAAGCCTTCCTATCCATGAAAATAGTATCTCTCTTCTCTCTCATTTTGGCTTATTTCAGTAAAACTTTGTAATTTCCTTCATAAACATCTTTAATTAAATTTATTCTCTAGCTAGATTTATTTCTTGGTACCTTATAATTTTATTTGCCATTATAAATGGTACCTTTTAAAAATTGTAAATGCTTCAACCTGAGGAAGCTGGTTGAAAAAGGAATTAAAATAGAATAAATTATGCATGCCAGCTCTTATGATATGTGGAAGTATAATTGACTAGTTGCTTTTTATATCTAGCTACCCTATTAAGGTTAAGAGAGTTCACTTCGTTACTACTTGTTAATATTTGTTTTCATGAATAGGTGTTAAATTTTAGCTGTTTTCTTTGTTATTTTGCATTCATTGAGATCATGTTTCTGCCTTTTGATGCTAACATGGCAAATTACAATGATTGATTTTCAAATAATAGACCATACTTGCATTCCTGAGATAAACCTAACTTATGATCATTTTTTATACACTGATGTATTTGGTTTGCTACTATTTTTGTATAATTTTAAAGTCTGTGTTTGAGTGAGACTATCTCGTACTTTCCCTTCTCATTATCTTTGTCGAGTTTTGGTATCAAGATTACTGTAGTCTCACAAAACAAAAAATTAATGGTAGAACTTTTCTATTCCTCTTCCTTCTCTTTTCCCTCCCTTTCTTCTCCTTTTCCTCGTATATTGAATCTTATATTTTATTTTTATCCTCCCTCCAGAGGATTTCAATAACTTTTTATTTAAAAATTTTAAAATTAGGGATAAAGCCTGTTTTGTCTATTATTAATCTGGTGAAAGCAGCCTTTTCTGAGTCAGCACTCGTCTTTTTATTTAAACTTTTCCATTTCTGTTTTCGAATTGTTACTATAAGTGGCAGATTGTTCTGACAGCTCAAGAAGAAGATCAGGCAGATGCGGGTCACTGATGTGTTGGGTGACTGGCACATTGAGTCTTGGCTCTGGGATATTACTGCATTCTTCCTGTGAATCCACTTTTTCTAGGTTCTCCCTCCCTGCTTTCTTGCCTTATGTTTTGTTTTGTTTTGATTTCAAGCCTGGTTGGTTTATTTCCTTAGTCCACACCCACCTCCTTTACCGGTGAAGAAATTATGTGCTTTGTTTCTGTCGTTAAAGGTTCTAGTCCTAGTCAATTGCTTGGGACATCATAGGCCCTAAGATATTTTGGAATAATTTAAATTAATATCTCTACTTAAATGTCTTTTCATGTGTAATATTCATCTTTTTCTTTCTTGAATAGGACACCCAGTCTTTGTGCACATTTTTCTCCTTCCTTTCACAAAACGTGCTTTGCTATGACCCAGAAACCTTTCTTTGGTTCCTTACACGTTACTCTGTAACCATTGCTGTAAGTTTGTCTAGTTTTATGTTTGAAATGGAATTTTGTTGATTCTAAAATAGTTTTGCTTTTGGGCTTGGAATTCTTCCTGCCGCACAGAGTTTTGTAACAGATTTAACCAGGTGTGCCGGTTACTCAGCTTACTGCCCTCAGCCCTAAGCCCACCCTCTATGACACCGACAGGGTCTCCGCATCACCTTCCTGCTCACAGCTGCATCCCTGTCAGGCTCTGTCCCCAGGGGCGCTCCCCGGAGCTGGCAAGGCAGGAGTGTCACCATAGCAACGTTTCACCCTCACAGGGGCAGTTCCTTCCCCTCTCAGTTTGCAGTTTGCCCAGCTCATTGCGCCAACCTTCTGGCCCCTCAGAAACAATGGATGGGCTGGGTGCCATGGCTCACACCTGTAATCCGAGCATATTGGGAGGCCAGGAATTGGAGGTTACAGTGAACTATGATCGTACCCCTGCGCTCCAGCCTGGGAGATAGAATGAGACTCCCAACTCTAAAAATTCGAAAAAAACTGGGCCGGGCGTGGTGGCTCATACCTGTAATCCCAGCACTTTGGGAGGCCAAGGCAGGCCGATCATTTGAGGTCAGGAGTTCGAGACCAGCCTGGCCAACATAGTGAAACCCCGTCTCTACTAAAAATACAAAAAAATTATCCGGGCATGGTGGTGCGTGCCTGTAGTCCCCGCTACTTGGGAGACTGAGGCAGGAGAATTGCTTGAATCTGGGAGGTGGAGGTTGCAGTGAGCCCAGATCGCACCACTGGACTCCAGCCTGGGTGACAGAGTGAAACGCTGTCTCAACAAACAAGCAGGCAAACAAACAAACAAACAAAACCCAAGGGCTGGAGCCCCATGTCCTGTCCCTCGGTGGTCTGGGCCCCAGCTCCACCGGCTGTTTTCCTGTGAGCTGCCAAGTTGGAGTAATTCCTTCTGCTTCCCTGCATTTTCCCAGCCCTGGGGTGGCAGCGGCTTCCCGAGGTTGCTACTCCATGGCATCTCAGAGTCCCTCTGCCTTTCCATCCCTCAATACCAAGCTACCCCTTCTCTACATAGTACTCTCTGTTAGAACTACGGGTGGTTTCTGTCTCCTGAGTGAACCCTGAAGAATATAGCAGGAGATGCGAAGATGTGAGCTAGAAATCTGACTCCTCGTAAGTCTCTATATTGCCTCTTTTTGGAAATACCTTCGGATGATCTGGTCTCTCTTTTAAGCTACATACTCTCTTGTGTACAGTCTATTTGTTCAGTAAGTATTCATTGAGTACTTGGTATGCACCAAGCACTGTGGGAGGGGTGGGGGTGTAGTCGTGACCAGGACATGGTCCTTGCCCCACTGGGGCTTAGGGACTAGTGTTTATTTAGACCGAATTGGTTAGGAATTTTTAGTTCTAGCAGTGTGGGTAACGAAAGAAAAAAATACATAAATTGCATTACATCAAATGTAAAAACTCTACACATTAAAAAACGCAACCCACAGAATGAAGGCAACCCACAGAATGGGAGAAAACATTTGCAAGCCATGTATCTGATATGCAGTTAATATGCAGAGTCTATAGAGAACTCCTATAACTCAGCAACAGGAACAAACAACCCAGTTAAAAAATGGGCAAAAGTCCAGTGTGAATTCTGTGAAGTAGAAAAGAAAATAAAGAGAAATTAAAATAAAAAAAAATGGGCAAAGATCCAGTGTGAAACTGTGAAGTAGAAAAAAAAATGAAGAAAAAGAAAAATTAAAAAATGAGCAAAGGACTTGAATAGACGTTTCTCCAAAGAAGATACACAAGTAGTCAATGGGCACGTGGAAAGATGCCCAACATCATCAATTATTAGGCCAGCGCCAACTAAACACACAGTGAGTCAGCACCTTACACTCCTTGGGATGGCTACTATAAAACAACTGCCACCACCATCACAAGAGAGAAAAATGACCCGTGTTGGGCAGGATGCGGAGGAGTTGGAGTCCTGGCGCACTGCTGGGAATGCCAAGTGCCGCACCCACCATGGGAAACAGTGTGGTGGCTCCTCAAAAAACCAACAGTACAATGACCACATGGCCCACAGTCCTACTTCTACGTATATACCCAAAGAATTGAAATCAAGGTCTTGAGGAGATGCTCTTTATACACATGTTCATAGCAGTATTATTTGCAATAGCTGAAAGGCAGAAGCCACCCAGATGTCCATCATCAGGTGACGGATAAACACAGTGTGGTCCATCCATACCGCGGAATATTATTCAGCCTTGAAGAGGAAGGCTACAACATGGATGACCCTTGAGGACACCATGCTCAGCAAAATCAGCCAGTCACAGAAGGACACACACTATCTAATTCCACTTATGTGGGATTCCTAGAGCAGTCAAATTCATAAAGACAGAAAGCGGGAGAGGGGGCCTGGGGGAGGGGAATGGAGAGTGCGTGTTAAATGGGGGCAGAGCTTCGTTCTGGGAAGATGAAAAATTCTGGAGGACGGTGGTGATGCTTGCATAACAGTACGAACACACCTAATGCTACTGAGCCAGCTAACTTGGTAAATTTTGTGTTATCTGGATTTTAAAATCAGATTGAATAAATATTTTGAAAGTTTAATAAAAAACGGCAGTGCAGTAGTACAGCAGGAGCTGGGTGTTGTCTCAGGTCAGCCATGAGCTGTGTGACCTTGCACGGACTTGCTTCCCTGACTTCCCAGTTCTCATCTGTGGATTGAGGCGTTGGAATGGTTCTTACGCCAAAATGATTCTTTGCTCCGAACTGATGGTCGCATGGGATGATTCACTGTTTTGTTTTAGACAGAGTTTTGCTCTTGTTGCTCAGGCTGGAGTGCAGTGGTGTGAACTCAGCTCACGGCAACCTCTGCCTCCCAGGTTCAAGCGATTCTCCTGCCTCAGCCTTCTGAGTAGCTGGGATTACAGGCATGTGCCACCATGCCTGGCTAATTTTGTATTTTTAGTAGAGACAGGGTTTCTCCATGTTGGTCAGGCTGGTCTCAAACTCCCAACCTCAGGTGGTCCACCCGCCTCGGCCTCCCAAAGAGTTGGGATTACAGGCGTGAGCCACTGTGCCCAGCAATTCATTGTTGGCACTGAGAGTGGCCAAGAAATTTGGTACCTGAGCAGGGGTTAAGGTTCTACCCTTCCCCTCCCCTCATTTCTAGCGGTTTTACTTTGGAGGGAACCCGATGCTTTTCTGGGCCTGTGTGTGGTAGTAATGCCGGTTGACCGGCCGTCCCTTGGGACCCTGTAGCCAGGCAGGTTGATTGGCCTGAGGCCCTTGGTTCTCCCTGAAGCCGGCTGGCTCAGGCTGGCTCACTGCATCCTGGATGCCTGGGGGCCAGGGTGACCGGCCTCTGTGGTTGGCGGGCGGGCGGTGTCTGCTCCACTCAGTGCCCTTGAGTGCTGGGTGTGGTGGCCGAAGGCTGGGAGGTGGAGATGGTGCCCTGGGGGCCACCTGTCTTCTCAGACAGTCGTGAGGAGTCTTCTCAACTTAAAAGCTGGAGTTTGAACCAAGTGGTCTTTTAGGCCATTTTTATTGTTGTTTTCCCTGTTTAGTACTCTTTGGGGAAGAGTCAAGATTATGTCACACCAGCAGGGGTGCTAAATCGGCGGTGATGATCTGAATTTATTAATTTACAAAACTTTGTCAATTTGAGAAACACGAGTAAACGCTGGTCTCTCCCTGCTGTGGAAGTTGTCACATCTGTTACTGGCCCTCGTTCCATGAGTTGATTTAGTGCTTTGCAAGAATTGTTTTCTGTCTGCTTGTTAGACTTTTCCTTTCTCCTTTACATCTCCAAAGTGCACAGTGCATCCACGTGTGGGCAGGCGTCAGACATCCTTTCTTTTGCCTGTGCTGGGAACAAGTTGCAAGGCTGACTGTGGAAGGGCCGCTCACCTGGGGCGTGGTCAGGGCTGCCAGGTGTGGTGGCTCACACCTGTAATCTCAGCACTTTGGGATGCTGAGGTAAGTGATTGCTTGAGCCCAGGAGTTTCAGCTCAGCCTGGGCAACATAGCAAGACCCAGTCTCTACAAAAAATACAAACATTAGCCGGGCCTGTTGGCACATGCCTGTGGTCCCAGCTACTCAGGAGGCTGAGGTGGGAGGATCACTTGAGCCTGGGAGGTCGCGGCTGCTGTGAGCCATGATCATACCTCTCCCTCCGGCCTGGGCGACAGAGTGAGATCCTGTCTCAAAAGAAAAAAAAAATTAAACTCTCTTATCACTGTCCATCTAAATAACAGAGAGAGGCTCTCTGAAAGAAATGATGTTTATCTGGGAGCAGGGCATTGGAGTAGGCAGATACTTGCCATGGTCTACAGTGCATAGCTGGGGAGGCCAAAGAAGACAAAGGCTTTTAAAGGAAAAATGAGGATCACATGATTGTTTTGAGATAATTATCCTTGCCACAAGGATCAGCACCAAGGATGATACCAGGCTGGAGGTGGGCGGGCGGTTGCTGGGCAGATGTCCTCACAGTGTGTTTTGAGTGAGGCTGTGATGGCCTGTGTGCATGGCTGTGATTTGCACATCTTTGTGATGGATTTGTTTTTCGCAGGCACACTAATGTGTGAGCCCTCCCTTCATGGCCCTCCCCAGCTCTGTTTGTTAGGGTTTTTAACACAAGTGATTCATTTTGATTCTGACAGCCTTAATCTCACAAAGCCATGGGTTCATTCCCCACCCTTCTCAAGAGCAGAAAATACAGAATAGCAAATCTATAATGAGAACAAAGTCACTCATTGCTTTAGCAGTGGACTGAACATTTCCCGTTATTGCTGTTGCCGCAACACACGTCTGCATGCCGTACAGGTGCCCTGCGCTCCCCATTGTTGGGCAGTCAGTCCCCCGTGTTGTGGCCTCCGTGTCGTGTGTCTCATGAGCACTGCCCAGCGCCTTCTCAGGCCTCCCCTCTGCCGGGGCCGCACACCTGCCAGGAGCCGGGCGCTGTGCTGGGCAGCAAGTTTTCAGACAGCATCAGACGAAGCGAAGGGCGCTGCTGCTGTCGTCCCATGGCAGTCCCCTGGGGGAGATTCCTCATGGCTGACAGCGGTGTCACTGGTGGGAAGGAAAAGACCCAAAGACTGGGAGAGAGGACGCTGGGGAGTCTTAACTTAGACGGGGGCTTAAAGGTCTCTTACAAGAGGGGTTGTTTGGGTTGAGGGGTCAGGGGAGGGAAGAACATGCACAAAGGCCATGAGGCGGGCGCCCGGGGTGTGGACCCAGAGCGTGGACACGGACGCCAGCCTAAGCAGGAGGGAGCGGGGGTGGCAATTTATCAGTCACCACAGAAGAGCACGCTGGCAGGACACTCAAGGTGCCTGCCATCAGGAGCAGAGACACCAGGAAGCCACATCTGTGTCCTAATGGGACCACAGGTTCCCTCCAAAGAGTGTCTTACAGGCTGATTTACAGAAGGCAGGAGCTGGCGGGAGCCTGAGCTGAGCCCCATGGGAGCAGCAGGCAGGTGCAGGCAGGTGCAGGCCGGTGCAGGCCAGTGCAGTCCGTTCTCCAGCCTCGGAGGCACGGCGTGCACGGGGGCCTGCTCCTTAGTTTGAAAACAAGCAGTTGTGCCACTAGTGCCTTGGAGTGAGCTGGCAACTGTGGCGCCTCAGCTTGGAGTGTGCTTGACACCTGTGTTGGCCGGTCCATCTGGCACCTGGCCGCTGTGCTTCTAGGCCTCTGCCTGCCGGCTGCCCTCTGCTGGGCATCGCCACTTTCAGGATGACAGCCTTAGAGCCTTCTCTCGGCCTGGTGGGGGCCCAGTGGTGGCGTCCCTCCCCGAGCATCCTCTCGTGTTCCCGGCAGCCACAGCCCCTGGGTGCTGGACCTCTCACCTGCCAAGAGGATAGTGACACCCCTCTGCCCGTCTTTAGGGGCTGTGGGCGGAGGGGAGGGTGGAGAGATGGGGGTGTGGGCAGGGACAAGGGTCGAGAGATGGGGGTGTGTGCGGTGGGGAGGGGACAAGGGTGGAGAGATGGGGGTATGGGGGGAGGGGACAAGGGTAGAGAGATGGGGTATGGGGGGAGGGAGGGTGGAGAGATGGGGGTATGGGGGAGGAGGGGACAAGGGTGGAGAGATGGGGGTACGGGGGGAGGGAGGGTGGAGAGATGGTGTGGGCGGAGGGGAGGGTGGAGAGATGGGGGTATGTGGGGAGGGGACAAGGGTGTAGAGATGGGGGTGCGGGGGGAGGGAGGGTGGAGAGATGGGGGTATGGCGGGGAGGGGACAAGGGTGGAGAGATGGGGGTGTGGGGGGAGGGAGGGTGGAGAGATGGGGGTGTGGGCGGAGGGGAGGGTGGAGAGATGAGGGTGTGGGGAGGGGACAAGGGTGGAGAGATGGTGTGGGGGGAGGGAGGGTGGAGAGATGGGGGTGTGGGGGGAGGGGAGATGGGGGTGTGGGGAGGGAGGGTGGAGAGATGGGGGTGTGGGCGGAGGGGAGGGTGGAGAGATGAGGGTGTGGGGAGGGGACAAGGGTGGAGAGATGGTGTGGGGGGAGGGAGGGTGGAGAGATGGGGGTGTGGACAGAAGGGAGGGTGGAGGATGGAGGTGTGGGCGGAGGGTAGGGGCTGCAGAGGCCCCGGGGTGTGGGGTGGTGTGGGGCTGGGCCGTGACAATGGGTGGGGTAGGAAGGACTTTTCAGTTGAGGAGGAGCAGCGCAGTGCAGGGAGACCCAGGCGGGAATGGGTCTGAGGACATGATGGGGTGTGTCAGCGTGGTGGTCAAGGAGAGGGGAGAGGCGGGAGGGTGGCCTGCTCCATCTGCTTCCAGAAAGGTGCAGGCATGCTGTAGGTTTCCCTAGGGACTCTCAAGGAATTGTGGCAAGGTTTTCTACAAGACTCTTATGCAGGTGGAGAGACAAAAGTAGCTGCAGAGCCTCAAAATCTTGACATAAACAGGTTCCCTTCCTTCAAGCCTGAAATTGGTCACTTAGGATTCCAAGTCCTCAGGAAAGCAGAGCTCCCAACTGTGATGCTTTTTGTTTTTAAGAGGTGGCGACTGATTTGCTGGAGCCAGCTTCTCATCTGGGGAAGTGTCTAGCATAATGATGGGCACAACATAGATGTTTGTCGAATTGAATTAATTCTGGTCATTTCCTGGAGGAGGAGAGACAGGATGTTTTAATAGCCAGTTATTTCCTGCGCCGGAGTTGGTTGGGTCTTCAGACACCAGCTGAATGCTTAGGGATTCTTTCATTTCCTAAAGTGCTTACAAAATTATGAAAAAGCACGACTTTGCTGAAAACCTGCCTTCATCTTTACTAATCATCATACTAGTCATCTTTACTCTCAGTGTACTGTGTCCACTTTCCAAGCACCCTTGCACGTGATTTCATTTGATCTGGGTAACAGCCTTGTGGGTGGGCTGCCGTCATCCTGTTCTGTGTTTACAGAGGTGGAGGCTTTGTCAGAGGCACACAGTTGGCAGAGCAAATACTTGACGATCCTGGGATGACTGTTTTTTTTTCAATTTTGCATGTTTTTCTTGTATAAAATATACCTAAGATTTACCCTGGGATGACTTTTAAATCTCTCTTTTTAAAAAGTCTTTGTTCCACAGTATTCCTTGATTTTCTGCTATGCCATGCATTGGACAAGACTAAACATCTCTTTGCAAAAGAATAACCTGATGCCTTTTTTCTTCGTGTTTAGGGCTCAAAATTTGGGCGGGGAACTGGACTCACTCAGCCTTCTCAACGCACGTCTGCTCGGAGATCATTTGGGAGATCCAAGAGATTCAGTATCACTCGCTCCCTTGATGATCTTGAGGTAATTTAATTTTCATTTTTCTTCTTTTCTCCTTCAAGTTTTAAAAAATGCAAGTCCACCTTGCAGATACGTCTGGCTGTTTTTTGAGTCCCTGTGGTCCCCTCCCCTCCTCCTCTGTAGTGGTAACCCCTGTTTTCTGGGGGACAGCGTCCCATGCACATTTGGGAACCTTTCTACCCTGCAATGTGTCTGAGCTGTCACAGGGCTTTCTGGGGTGCTCTTCTGTGTGCCAGACTCCAGTGAACACTTCTAGAAATGAGCTGGTTTAATCCCCACAAATACTCTACGAGGTAGGGCCTGTCATTGCCCCCTTAAAGACGGGGCGTGATCCACAGACATGGGTAAGTGTCATTTTGTGTGGCTCGTCTATCTGTGTTTCTTTTGTAAAGAACAATGAAAAGATTTTATTTTTTATAGCAGTTTTAGGTTTACAGAAAGTACAGAGAGTTCCCTTATGCCCCCACCCACTTGTTAAAAATGCGCCGTCGGGATCATTACGTCCTGCATTGGTGTGGGTGTTTGTTACAGTTGACAGGCCAGTGTAGACATATGATTATTAGCTTAGGTCCGCAGCTCACACGAGGGTTCCTGCCCGTGCTGTCCTCTCTGTGGGTTTGGACAAATGTCCGTGCCGTGCACCCACCGCTGTGTATCACCGAGAAAGCCGCCGCCCTGGAAATCCTCTATGCCCCACCTGTTTACCCTGCACCCTCCCGTTGAACTCTGACAACCACTGATCCTTTGACTGTCTCATTTGGCATGTTTTAAAATTTTATACAGGTGCAGCTGTATTCTATGTCTTCTTATTAATGTCTTATTCTAGAACATGTGTCATGTTTTCAAGATTTACTCCTGGACTTTCAGTCCAGTCCTTTTACTTGTTGTATGGCATTCTGCTATGAGTATATGACGATGATTGATGCCTTCCGCTATCGATAGACACTCAGTGGGAGTGGGAGAGAGTCTGCCCTTACGGCATTCTTGTACATGTCTCCTTCAGCGCGTGTGGGACGGGCGAGAGTGTTCTTAGCTGGGAAGGATCTGCATGAGCGGTGTGGCCAGACTCCGTCCACAGTGACTGCTCCAGCTCCTGCTCTTCCAGGAGAAAAGGTGGCTTCAGGGATGGCAGGGGTCCTGGGGATTGGCACGTTGTGGCTGCAAATAGGAATCTGCCCTTGGATGGCCTGTTTAGCTTTGGTCTCTCCGGGGAACTCGAGGGCAGGTCAGGGCTAGCGTGCTGTATCTGGGCGGGCAGCAATCAGAATCGGCTGCAATGGGGTGCTCATGCTGCTGATGAAGACTCAAAAGGGGTGTGTGCTACCTAAGGCAGGGCCTAGCTTGAGGCTGAGGACCCCGGGACCATTTTTGGCTCATACTGCCATGCTGAGCTGACCATCTGTGCACAAGTCCTGTTCATTTTCCTCCTTTTCTGTTGGTCATGAGGAACTCACTGTGTGGCCCTAGGTTTGGGCTGACAGAGCTGTGCTGGTGCCCTGGTGAATGATATGTGGGTCTGGGCCACGTGCTCTGCACAACCTGCCCCTTCCCTGCTGGGTGTAAACTTCTATCTCATGGTGGATTGCTGCTGGGTGTGCCCCATGCCAGGGTCAGTGCCATGCTCCTGATAGACAGCTCCAGCGTCTAATCACTGGGTGTCCCCAGTGGATGCTCCATCTCCACCAGGGCCCTGCTGCTTTCCACATGGCTTGTGGTCCCTGCTGTCTTTGCCCCACACCTTAAACTTCCTGGCTGTAAATCTCTTACTGGGGCCAAGGAGGATGGCCCAGGTGGCAGGGCTGCCTGTCCTTTTCTGTGTGGGCCCTGCTCGCTGCTGGCTGCCTTCCATGACTCCTTGGAGAGGGATCTGAGCAGCCTTCCCAAGTGAGGGGTGGTTTGCCTCTTGAGCCCATCGTCCTGAATAACACGGAGGAAGGCTCTCTGTAAGAAAACGATATTTATTAATATTTGGGAATAGGCATTGCAATGAGAATATGCATGCTGTAGTAAACTATGAATATTCAGGGAGGTCAAGAAAGACAGCAGTTTTTCAAGGAAAAATGAGGAGGATCACAGGATTGTTTTGAGATAATTATCTTACAAGGATGGGACCAGTCCAAGGTTGGACAGGCAGTTGCGGGACAGATGTCCTCAGAGGAATATTTTTGTATGTGAGGCTGAGATGGCCTGTGTGCAAGGTTGTGGTTTTGCAGTCTTTTGTGATGGATTTGTTATCAGGTCTATGAGCATGAGAACCCTCCCTTCCTGGCCTTCTCTGGCTCTGTAACACTTTGTTAGGGTTTTTAATACAAGTGACTCCATTTTCTTTCTGACAACTTTCACATTTCCCCCTTTTAATTGAGATCTTTCTCCAAAAGCATAGCTGACCAGTCATCCTGCAGTCAGGCTTTGATTGCCCCTTGGTGCTGGGATGGAGCTGTCCCAGTTTGGTGTGGTCTGGTTCCACATCATCAGGAAGTGACTGGTGACCAGGAGTCAGTGTCAGAGCTCATTTAGCCACATTTGAGCAACCAGGGAGGTGTGGAGGGAGTGGCCCTCAGGCGCAGTCTACCTGAGTCCACTGTTAAGTACGGTTTTGTCTGTTCCATGGGTGTTGGCATCATCTCAACGCGCTGGGCCAGCACGATTCTGTTAGGAGTTGTACTTCTGCAGAGACTTAAGCAACAGATAAAAAATTTATAAAGGGAAAATGCAGAGTGAAATTAATAATAATATGACAATCCTAGTTTGCATAATGTTTTGAGTCATGAACATAGGCTTAAAGACAACCAGTTGAATAAATCAAATGACCATAGGGAATTGGGTGAGACTTTTTATAATATATGGCCTGTTTCCTTTTTTGGTGTGTGTGTACTTTTTCCTTTTTGTGGAGAATGGGGTTTCTCATGTTGCCCGGGCAGATCTTGAATTCCTGGGCTCAATCTGTCTTCCCGCCTCTGCTGAGATTACAGGCATGAGCCACCATGCCCCGACCTGTTTTCTTATTTTGGGTATATGGTCCTTAATTTTCCCAGAAGAATTTATCCAGGTATAGCAGGTAGTATCAGCAATAGCACAGACATTTCCTTCTTTACGCAATGGATAATTTAGAGCAATTTTATCATCTAGTGTCCCATGACTGAGTTGGATTAAAGCAGAGTGAGCACCAGTTGTATTAGGGATGTTCCCAAAGTCACCCACTAGGGGGACTCAAGGATCTCTTAGGGTTCTATCTAGTTCCCAGCAGAAGCTACTGATTGTGAAATTTCGATTACACCATTATTCTGCCGAGTCAAAAAGGTAGGCATTAAGAGGGGTAAATGTGTCTTTATAATATGGACTCTTATTCCAGTGCCTTGGAGAAGCTGCCCACAGCATGAAGCTGTCGGCTTCTAGTCCTGTCTTGTGGTCTAAGTGTCTCTGGTTGTGGCATCAGTGGTTTGGTGAACTCTTGGTGTGGCCCACGCATCAGGAATGGGATTTTGTCCCTTAACATTTAGTTTCAGCTTATAGGGCTTCAGGAATAGAGTAGTTCTCTGCTTTTAGTGATTCTATGGGAGAAAGTTGGATGGGAGGAAGCTGGAAGAATTGAGGAGCTTGGAAACAGTGCACAGGGCTCCAGTCTAATAACAGGAGTATTGCAGCTTTTCTTCAGAAACATGGCTGCTTCTCTCTACATTGATCACACAAGAAAAAAATCACTCCGATTTTAACAACCTCCTGAGGCTGGGAAGCCAAACCAAGGCAGACTATAGATTTTGCCTACAGTCTTAAGGTTTCTGGGCCTGATACGAAGTGACAGTTTTTACTTACCCGCTGTAAGTCTAGGAACCCTTGAAGCAGGGTATTCTATGCACGTTCTCAAATTTGAGATTCCAGACAAGGCATTGGGAACAGAACCACTGGTCTCAGTTGTATCCTGCTACAAAGAGGGAACAGATTTTTTTTTTTTTGTAAATAACCACATTGCCATAAGAATACATGTGAACAGTTTCCAAATTTTGGAGGGATCGAGTAGGGAGAAAAAGCAAATGTTTTTACTTTTGTTTTCACAGAAGTATACTTTACCAGATTGCTGTAAGTTATAAACAGTTTAAGAAAGATAACGTTCTGGCCAGGCACGGTGGCTCACGCCTATAATCCCAGCACTTTGGGAGGCTGAGGTGGGCGGATCACAAGGTCAGGAGATCGAGACCATCCTGGCTAACGTGGTGAGACCCCGTCTCTACTAAAAATACAAAAAATTAGCCGGGCGTGGTGGTGGGCGCCTGTATTCTCAGCTACTCGGGAGGGTGAGGCCGGAGAATGGCGTGATCCTGGGAGGCGGAGTTTGCAGTGAGCCCAGATCCCGCCACTGCACTCCAGCCTAGGCAACAGAGTGAGACTCTGTCTCAAAAAAAGAAAGAAAGAAAACATCCTTAGATCTGGAAAACAAAACATTTAAGTAAAGAACCAACAATGTTTCAAATAAAAGTCATAAAAACATCTCATCAGTTATTTAATCTCATGTAATTAATTTTTGTTCTGCTTGATCTTGATAAGTAGTTTCACAAATTCATCTGTTTCCTTATTAGAGTTCTGAAGAATTTTCAGTTAGTCTGTCGATCTTAAAGTTATTAGAAACCTGTATTTAAGAGTGCTTCTTAGAGTCTTTTCCATGAATCTGATTGCAAATGCTTTTAGAGAAAAATCAAAACAATAACAATGGATAAGGAAAACAGAATAGCTATGGTTTAAAATCTGGTGGAAGTTCATTATAATTAGCAATTGACAAGGAAATCTGGCTATTTCTGTAGCATACAACATAATAACTAGAGTTATGGCATATTAGGTTTCTGAGAGTTTTATACAATTTTGGAACATTCCTATAAAAACACACCCATAAATGTAACTGAAAGAAGGTCTAGCATCACGTATCATTTTACAGTGTTTTTTATACAATTTACCAGATAAGCCTAATCATTTACCAGACGTACCAGATAAGTCTTTGTAAGATGAGAGATACGTCCTTTGAGGCTCTCCAGAAGCTTGACTGGAAAATACTAAAGCTAATTATGGGTCAAAAAGATTTAATTTAGAATTTATATCTTGGGGAAGCCCATCAAAGATGCCAAAAGATTTAAAACGCCTGATCAAAACAGGAGCACAGGTCACTATTAGATAATAGTCATTCATTTAACCAGAATGAGAAAGACTTCAGAAGCAACACAGGGAGTTCCATGAATGTAAACAAACAACCCACTCAAAGCTCAGTTTTCCTACAAAATAAAAAACTTAATAAAGACAACACAGGAAATTATCTTGATAAAACATAAAATCTTTGTTTCGTAGGCCAGTTACCAAAAAGGTAAAGAAAAACCTCCTGTGGTGTGATTGCTTCTCCTCATGGGAAGCCCGTTTGGTTTGCCTGGAAGTAGAAGCTGATGAAAAGTACTTGAATTTAATGAGACATAGGAAGAGGGTGTCCAGTATTACGAGTGCGCACCGTATTATAGAGGAATGTCAATGTGACAGTTAGTGGCTTGAGCAGGGCAGTACAGGGCTCTAAGTCACAGTATGGGAAGTTTTCTGGTTCCATGGAACAATTCAGACACATCCAGAAAAGCCGAATGTACAGAATCGAGTTATACAGGCGGAAAACAGTGCATCAGACCATAGTAACACAGTTAAAACTGGAGAAAAAAGTTCCAGGAGCTGACAAAAAAGTTGAAGGAAAGAGTCCTTGCCCTAGCCAAGCAAGCAGCTGCAGCTTCTCAAGGGGAGAGAGTGGAAGGCAGTGATATGCGGCCAGCAGGTCACACGCAGCAAGGCCAAGCCCAAGCCGAGGCTGTCAGATTCACCTGGAGAGGAAGACCCTGCCTGGAGAAATGAAATTGCCATTCTAAATGAAGACAGCATTTCTAACCTCATACGAGGGAAATTAGATGGAGACTAAAATAGAAAAAAGCTGCAGTTCAGAAGCTTGTTTTATAAACATACTTCAGAATTAAAAATCAAAACGTCCTGCAGTTTTACTAATAGCCGATCAATACTTCAGGAAAACCCTGTTGTTCTAACATAAGCGACCACGTTTTTTGCTTTGTATTAGTGTATTTTTAATATTAAAGTTTGGTCTTTAGAAGGACTTACACATAATTTTCTTCTAATTATAACCAACTTAATCATATAAAATTTATTTCGTAAATTTATCTTTCACAGACTTTTATGACCAATATAGGCCTTCGATGACATCCTTAAGCCTTTCTGCTTTGTTCTGTACTTCCTCTTTCTTAAAACAACAGGCATTTTACTTTAGGACAAAAATTTACCACACAGGAGTCTTTGTCATACAAAATTATTCATTTTTGTTTTTAACCTTCCTTACTAAGATACATCTACATACCTATAACTTTCTTCACATCTCTCGCTCTCCTACTTAGTGGTTTCTTTCTCTTTGCTTTCTAAATCCATATTTTGAAACAAATTTTAAATAATCTCCAAACTAGACAAAATTACTCTTTTTTTCAATAAAGAACACATTTTTATTCCTCTCATAATTTTTCTCATCAGAAACATACCTTACTTTTCGTATACTTTGTATACTGAAATATATATATGTAAGAACTTTAACTCTTAGTAACTGTAATTTTTAGTGAAAACCTTGGAATCAGTATTTTATAGATGAGAACCATTTTATAATTTTTGGAAACATGTTTTCCCGTTACATAATTACTTTGTGTATTAACAGGCAAAAATATATTTAGTCCTTCTCTAAAATTTAATAAGCCAAGAACAAACTTACATTTGTGTTCAGCAATGTATGTTTTAGTACTTTATCTTATATGGAAATGACTTAGACATTTTATGAGTATCATTTAATTTAACATAGCATAACTTTAAGATTTCAGATTACATGACAGTCTATAAGCACTTTCCCATCTACGTTTATGTACTTTATTTATTTTTAATAATTATACCTAGGTTACTTATGAAAACTGAGATATAGAAAAAGCTAGTCTTCATTTCAAGTTATTTCCCTTTTCACCATTTGTATAGCCTATGAGTATCAGGTTTTCACCTGAGAAACTTAAATATAGGGGTATTTTGCTGATAACACAGAAGATACAGCAATTTTGATTAAACTAACAGTGTTAGTCTTAGTCATTAAAAAGTTATACAAATAAAGATAATTGTGTCTTTAGTCTGGATTTATACTTTTATAACCTTAAGACATCTAGTAGAGATAAATATAATCCTCTCTGACCAGTAAAGCTGGGCAAAAATGTATGCTGACAGTTTTGAAGACACTTCTATTTTTATTTTATCAACAAATTTAAAACCAACTTATTTATCCAAGATTTACTTAAGTCAGCTGGGTGTGGTGGCTCATGCCTATAATCCCAGCACTTTGGGAGGCTGAGGCAAGAGGATTGCTTGAGCCCAGGAGTTTGAGACCAGCCTGGGCAACATGGCAAGATCCCATCTCTACAAAAAATAAAAAAATTAGGCAGGTATGATGGTACACACCTGTAGTCCCAGCTACTCAAGAGGCTGAGGTGGAAGGATCACTGGAGCCCAGGAGGTTGAAGCCACAGTGAGCCATGTTTGTCCCACTGCACCCCAGCCTGGGTGACAGAGAAATAACCTATCTCAAAAAAACAAAAAACAAAAAAAACAAAAAAGATTTATTTAAGTCACACGAACTAAAAAGCATTTGGGTTAATTACTATATATTTTACATGAGTGCTTGTTTAAGCCAATCCAAATAGAATTTCTTAAGGGATTTCTGGCTAACTATGTCAGATTTTATCATGTAGATGTAACATACAATATGTATAAACATACATAAAAGCAAATACAGACACAAATAAAGATCTTATGGCTTTCATTTTAGAATTTTGGTCATGAAACAGAAAAACATAGTAATACAAATTCACTGGTTTATAAAATATAGTTGGATCAAATTATATTTTTGACAAAACGGAACTTTTATCTGTGGCTAAGTTCTGTTTACCCTGATAAGTAATTAATGAAGGCTGTGGACCAGAATTATGGATAAAGCAGTTTTCATAGCAGTTTGACTTTTAAAAACCTTTTAATCCTTTTTTCAGATTCAATTGAATTTAGGGTTGAATATTCAAATGTTTACATTTTAGCTAGGCCTGGCTAAATTGTATTAAAAAAAAACAACAAAATTTTCAGGTTGCCTTGAATTAGTAACAAATCTTTTTGTTTGTTTGCTTTTTCTGGCTCTTAAGTGTCAGACAAAATAATTTTTATGTCAGACAGAGATACCTTTTAGTATTGCTCTGAGCTTAAGGTTTTAACCTGTTTGATCTGACAGCCCTTAGCTTATATAAACATTTATAAAGTTTTTTTTTTAGAATATCGATTTTTCAATTAGCTTTTTCATCACCCTAAGCAATTGTTAGACAAACCTAAATTTACATTTCCAAAAGGTGTCTGCATCGTTGGTTGCCATAGATTTGGCATAATTTATAAAGCCATTAGTTTGAAAGCCCTTTAACACTTAAAAGAAAATCTTAGTTTCCATAAGCAATGAGTTTATCTTAATGCTGGCAGAAAAGTCATCAGATTCAAAGTTGGCAGAAAAAAGAGATGGAGAGTTAACCCTGTAGTTAGTTGCAGTTTTTGACAAGCTTAGACAGAAAATGGCTGTCCAGTGCTGCGTTTTTCCTGATGTAGTTTGCCCATCACCACACGAGAACGGACCACAGTATAGCTGGCCAGAGTCCTAGAAGACTTGGTGTGCCTCAATGTTTAAGAATCCCATTTCATTTCTTATTAATCTCTCAAGAGCAAAGAAAATCCTATAATTCCTGTCAGGGAGTTTAGACTGGTGCCTTATGTGGTGCTGACTGCCCTTGTTAATTGGCCATCCCATACCCATTATTTAGAATCTTTATTTTTGCTCTCAGATCATGGCCAGAATCAAGCAAGGGAAAAAAGAGCCAAATCATATACAGATGTGTGTAAGCAAATCAAAATAAAACAAAAAATAAGTGTGTTCACAGAAATTTTAAGCCAGGCATGCAGTCCAAACAAAACATTAAACCGGGTGTGCAGAACCAGACAGAATATAAATTCTGTAGTAACCAGAGGGACATTGTCCTTATACCAGAAGGGGCTTGCCAGAAGAGACAAAAGGTCTTTTATCATCCGAGACAGATGCAAGGTCCTTTATTAAGGTCCTTTATTAACTCAGATCCCAAATGAAGTAAAAAAGAGCTTCTAACAAAAAATGGGAGGCTTGGTTTGAGAGGAGACTTTCAAGGGCAGAAGAGGCGAGTCATGGAAGCAGAGAGCTCAAAGGGCTCAGTTGAGTGCCTCATACCAGTTCTAAGAATTGATGATTCTTTCCACAGGTGATCCTTCTCCACATCCCACTTCTGACACCATTTATGTCATCCTAAATAACAAATAGGGAGGGAGACTCTCCAAAAGAAAATGGTATTTATTCAGGAATAGGCATTGCGATGGGATACACATTATGGTAAACTATGTGCATATTCAGGGAAGTAGTGGAAGATAAAGGTTTCTAATGGAAAAATGAATATGATTACATAATCGTTTTGAGATAATTTTTCTTGGCTACAAGGATCAATAACAAGGGTGGCATGATTCTGAGGCTGGACAGGCAGTTGCTAGGCAGATGTCCTCGCAGAAGTAATTTGCGTATGTGTGTAAGGTTGTTTGGCCTTTGTGCAAGGTTGTAGTTTTCCAGTCTTTTGTAATAAGTCTTGTTATCAGGCATTTGAACCCTGCCTTCCCAACCTTCCCTAGCTCTGTTGATCAGGGTTTTTAACATAGTGACTCCGTTTTGAACCTGACAACTTTCACAAACCCAAAGAGGCCTACCAGCCATTGGCTTCTGTCTGACAGACAAGAGTTGTGAGTTAAAATAATTTGTCCCTTTCTTTGGAAGGGATGTTTGACTCCTAAAACTTTGCCGATGGGGCAGGCCACTGAGTCTCTCTAGGTTCTGTCTCGCACCCTCCAGAGTGCGTGTGGTGTGCCAAGGCCTCCGGCGTACTTTCCGCTTCTTGCTCATCTGCTCCAGTTAGCCTGATGTTAAAGGTATAATGAGCCACTGTGATGTTCTGAGTTGAACCAGATCATACAGGCCCTCTGGGACTACTTTGCTGGAGGGTGGGAGGGTTAACGAGGCCTGGGGCAGGACTACAAACGTACACTACTGCCTAGCCTATGTGAGAGTGAACTGAGTTTCATCTTTCTGATAGGAATGGAAAAGAAGGCATTCCTAGATCAGTGTGTGCACACTGCGTCCTGGGGGGATGTTACTGTACTCTAGCAAAGGTACCACATCTGGCACAGCAGCTGTGAATGGCGCTGCTTCTTAGTTAAGTTTGTGGTAGCTCACTGTCATCACCGTGATCCATCTGAACTTTGTAGGACCGGACTGGTATGAGTTAACTTGGGTATGACAGGGACTACCACTTTCACCTTTTTTGAAGTCTTCGAGGATGGTACCAGTCTGGGCTGTTTCTTCCCTGATGTGGCATTGTTTTTCACTAACCGTCTTGGTTTGAGTTGGGGGAAGGAGACTGTGCCACGGGCTTCTCCTTGACTTTTCCAGCTTAGTAGCTCTTACCTAGTGAGTGAAGGAACCAATGTGAGGGTTCTGCCAGTCATTTCATGTATATATTTGGGAACTAGGGAAATGACCATGGGTGGATCTGTGGATCTGTTGTGAGCTAGACTGGGGCCAGGACTCCCTTCATAACCTGGCTTCCATACGCCCCCTCTTTATAGGGAGAACGTGGTAGTGCTTTGGGTCCACAGATAGTGTCCATTCATACCCTAAGTTCAACAAAACCAGAAAGCTCTGGGCACTCCCCTTTCCTTAACACACTACTTCCCAAGCAAGTGGCCAACAGCCCTATGGAGAAAGACTGGGGAAATGACTATTGATGACACATGCCTTGGTGTTACAGGGACCTGCCTAATTCTGTTCTGGCGTTCCTTTAATTAGTGGCTTCCAGGTTTGAGAAATGGCTCACATTTTTCAAATTGGACAAAGGATCATGACTTTATGGGGGTTGCTGCCCTAGGCCTTGATTCTTTAAAACTGTGTAAATTAAGCAATACCCTTGCTGGCTGCCCAGCCAGCTTGCCCCAGGAACACCTTGTTTTCCTCCCGCAACATGGGAAGCCTGGTGGAGCTGAGAATTCCACTTATTGGAGGCTCTGCTCACCTTTACAAGTCCTGAGTGGGGCTCTGCCATGTCTGCCTTCTGGCTGTAGGGG
Source organism: Homo sapiens (assembly GCF_000001405.40). Classification (NCBI taxonomy): domain Eukaryota; kingdom Metazoa; phylum Chordata; class Mammalia; order Primates; family Hominidae; genus Homo; species Homo sapiens. The sequence continues at coordinate 3,354,319 of NC_000004.12, forward strand.
ATTAGGGCTTTATTAGATTCTGCCAGGTACACACCTGCCTTTCACATTTTGTCTTTAGTTGGTACTTAATCATACTGGGTGTGTTGATGACTCTCTCTCCCAAATGGACTTTCATGTGATGCCACACTCAGTAAGTGCATTCTTCCTAAGCCCTTGGAACATTAACAAAAGCTGATGAACCTGGGCATTACATGTGCTGGACCGTAAAGCAAGTCTCAAAAATATTCAAGCCTGTCCTGCAGAAACTGTTTCCTGCCACAGTGCAGGTACACTGTAAACCAACAGCAAAATGTGTTTGCTAAGTAAGCAGTCCATTGCAAAATAATCCAGAGTTCACAGACGCAATCACAATGGGAGCTAGAAAGCGTTTTGAAACAAACATCAATGAGAATACTACATATCTAAACTTGTGGGATATAGCTGAAACTGCACGTAAAGGAGAGTTCACAGCTTTCAGTGTATACATTAGAAGGAAAATAGAATGTCATCTCAAGAAGTTAGACAAAAAGTTGTAGAACAGAATTACAGGACGTCAAAGCTAGGCAATAATAAAAGGTAAAAGCATCAAATAATGAAACAGAAAAATGACAAACTAACAAAAAATAAAGAAAGATTATTTCCCAACTCATTTTATGAGGCTACCATATAACCTTGGTATCAAAAATCTGACAAAGGACATAAGAAAGGGAAATCATAGGCCAAGCTTGCTAATAAACATAGATGTGAGAATCCTAAACAAAACATTAGCAAGGTGATTCCAGCAATTTATAAAAAGGGTAACATACACATTTGTTTCAAGGACACACTATTTTTTAACATTTGAAAATGAATCAATTTAACTTACTATTTTAACAGAATACATAAAAAAAGTATTATCTCAACAGAAGCAGGAAAGGCATTTGGTGAAATTCGGTATCCATTTATGGTAAAACAAAGTTAAAAGAATTAAAGGGAAATTCCTTAATCTGATAAGGATATCTAAACACTGTGTGGCATCATAATTAAGCTTTCCCTTTGCCATCAGGAACAAGAGAAAGATTTCAATTTAAATCGTTACCGGAAGTCCTGGTTAGTGTACTAAGAAAGTAAAAACAAAAGTTTAAAAAGCTTGCAAAGAAGAAGTGAAAATGTTACTGTTCTCGGATGATGTGATTGTTACTGTTCTCAGATGATGTGATTGTAACAGAAGATCCAAAAGTCCCGTGGTGGCTCACGCCTGTAATCCCAGCACTCTGGGAGGCTGAAGTGGGCAGATCATTTGAGTTCAGGAGTTTGAGACCAGCCTGGACAACATGGCTAAAACCTGTCTCTACAAAAAATACAAAAGTTAGCCGGGTATGGTGGTATGCGCCCATAGTCCCAGCTGCTTGTGGGGCTGAGGTGGGAGGATTGCCTGAGCCTGGGAGGTCAAGGCTGCAGTAAGCTGCGTTTGTGCCGCTGCATTCTAGGCTGGGGGACAAAGTGAGACCTTGTCTCAAAAAAAAAAAAAAAAAAAAAAGGAAAAAAGAAGAAAAAGAAATTCCAAAGTATCTGTAGATCAGTTATTAAAATGAATTAATTCAACAAGGTTGCTAGATATATGGTTAATATACAAAAATCAATTGTATATACATTTAGAAAATGACCTATAGATTCAGTGCAGTTTTAATCAAAATGCCAAGAGGTTTTTGATTAAAGAAGATGATTCTAAAATCTTCATGCAAATATAAAGGGCAGAGATTATCTTTTTCAATTTTTTTTTTTTTTTTTTTTTGAGATAGCTTCTTGCTCTGTCACCCATGCTGGAGTGCAGTGGTGTAATCTTGGCTCACTGCAACCTCTGCCTCCTGGGCTCAGGCGATCCTTTGGCCTCAGCCCCCTCATATAGCTGGGAGTACAGGAGTGAGCCATCATGCCCGGATAATTTTTGTATTTTTTGTAGAGACAGGGTTTCACCATCTTGTCCAGGATGGTCTCAAACTCCTGAGCTCAAGTGATCCACCTGCCTTGGCCTCCCAAAGTGCTAGGATTACAGGCATGAGCCACCATGCCTGGCCTTTCAATTTATTTTAATTGTGGTAAAATACATACAACAAAATTTATTATTTTAACCATTTTTCAATATGCAGTTCAGTGTTATTAAACTCTTTCATAATGTGCAACCATCACCACCATCCATCTCTAGAAGTTGTTTCATCTTGTTAAACTCTATACCCCTTAAACACTAATTCCCCATTCCCCCCACCCCCAACCCCTGGCAGCCACCATTCTACTTTCTATCTCTATGATTTGGACTATTCTAGGTATCACTAGAATAGTATTCACTATTCTAAGTGAAATCGTACAGTATTTGTCTTTTTGTAACTGGCTTATTTCACTTGGCATAATGTTCTGGGGTCATCCATGTTGTAGCTTGTGTCAGAATGTCCTTCCTTTTTAAGGCTGAATGATATTCTACTGTATGGATATACTCACATTTTGCTTATCTGTTCACCTGTTGATAGACACTTGTGTTGCTTCCGTGTTTTAGCTATTGTGAATAACACTGCTATGAATATGGGTGTATAAATACCTGTTCGAGTTCCTGCTTCCCATTCTTTTGGGCATATCCCAAAAGTGGAATTTCTGTATCATACGGTAGTCCTATTTTTAATTTTTGAGGAACCACCGTACTGTTTTCCATAGTGGCTGCACCACTGGATATTCCTAATGACAGTGCACAAGGTTTCCAGCTTCTCCTTGACAACAGCACTTTCTGTTTTTTGATAGTAGTCATCCTAGTGAGTGTGAAGTGGTATCTCATTTTTTTGATTTGTATTTCCCTAATGTTTAGTGATGTTGAGCATCTTTTCATGTGCTTTTTGGCTATTTGCATATTTTCTTTGGAGAAATGTCTACTCAAGTCCTTTGCCCATTTTTTAATTGGATTGTTTGTTTTTGTTGTTGAGTTATAGAAGTTCCTCTGTATGTATTCCAGATATTAACCCCATATCAGATACGTGATTTGCAAATGTTTTCTCATTCTGTGGGTTGCCTTTTTACTCTATTGATATTATCTTTGGTGTACAAAGTTCTTAAATTTTCATGAAGTCCAATTTATCTATTTTTTCATTTGTTGCCTGTGCCTTTGATATCCAGGAAATCATTGCCAAATCCAATGTCTTGAAGAAAACCCTGTTTTCTTCTAAGTTTTATAGTTTCAGGTGTTATTTATGTGTTTGATCCATTTTGAAGTAATTTTTGTATATGGTGTTAGGTAAAGGTCCATTTTTATTCTTTTGCATGTGGATATCCTTTTCCCGGCACCATTTATTGAAGAGATTATCCTTTCCCCATTGAATGGTCTTGGTACCCTTGTCAAAAATGATTTGACTATTTATGTAAGGTTTTATTTCTGGGCTTCCTGTTCTATTCCATTAGTCTTATGTGTATGTCTTTTTGCCAGTGCCACACTGTTTTGATTACTGTAGCTTTGAAATCAGGAAGTACAAGTCCTCTAGCTTTGTTCTTCTTTTTCAAGATTGTTTGGGCTATTTAGGGTCTCTTGAAATTCCAAGTGAATTTTAGGATGGGTTTTTCTATTTCTGTAAAAAAGTCATTGGGATTTCAATAGGGATTACACTGAATCTGCAGATTGCTTTGGGGAGTATTGACATCTTAACTATATCAAGTCTGTCCATCCATCAACATGGGATATGTTATATTTACTTATGTCTTTATTCCTTTCAGCAATGTTTTCTAGTTTTCATTGTACAAGTCTTTCACCTCCTTGGTTCAGTTAATTCCTCAGTATTCTTTTTATACTATTGTTAATGTAATTGTTTTTATAATTTCCTTTTCAGATTATTCACTGTTAGTGTAGAAATGCAACAGATTTTTGTGTGTTGACTTTGTGTCCTCCTGTTGGCAGAATTCATTTGTTAGCTCTAGTAGGTTTTTTTTTGGTGGAATAGTCTACATAAAATATCTTACCATCTGTGAACAGAGATAATTTTACTTGTTTGTTTCCAGTTTGGGGGCCTTTCATTTCTTTTTTTGCCTAATTGCTCTGGCTAGAACTTACAGTACTGTGTTGAAAAGAATTGTCGAAGTGGGCATTCATGCCTTGTTCCTGATCTTAGATGAAAAGCTTTGTCATTCTCCAATGGAGATGATGTTTGTTGTTAATTTTTCACTAATGCCTTTTATATGTTGAGGTAGTTTCCTTCTATTTCTGGTTTACTGAGTGTTTTTTTTTAAGTCATGAAAGGGTACTGAATTTTGTGAAATTTTTTTGCATCAGTTAATGATGTGATTTTCCCTCTTAATTTTGTTAATGGGGTGTATTACAATGATTGATTTTTCATATGTTGAATTACCCTTGCATTATAGGAATAAATTCCACTTGGTGATGGTGTATAATCCTTTTAATATGCTGCTGAATTCAGTTTGCTAGTATTTGGTTGAGGATTTTTACATCAATATTCATCATGAATATTGGTCTCTAGTTTTCTTGTATTGTCTTTGTCTGGCTTGATGTCAGGGTAATACTGTCATAGAAGAGGAAGTATTCCTCCTTCCCCTCCTCCGCCTCCCCCTTCTCTCCTTCCTCCCCCTTCTCCTCCTCCTTCTCCTCCTCTCTGTCCCCCCCTCCTCCTCCCCTTCCTCCCCCTCCCCTTCTTCCTCCTCCTCCCCTCCTCCCTCTCCTCCTACACCCTCCCCCTCCCCTTCTTCCTCCTCCTCCCCTCCCCCTCTTCCTCCTCCTCCCCTCCTCCCTCCTCCCCTCCCCCTCCCCCTCTTCCTCCACCTCCCCTCCTCCCTCTCCTCCTCACCTCCCCCTCTTCCTCCTCCTCCCCTCCTCCCTCCCCTCCCCTCCCCCTCCCATCCCCCCTCCTCCTCCCTCCTCCCCCTCCTCCCCCTCCTCCTCCTCCCCTTCTCCCCCTCCTCCTCCCCTTCTCCCCCTCTTCCTCCTCCCCTTCCCCTCCACCTCCTCCTCTCCCTCACCCTCCTCCCTCTCCTCTCCCTCCTCCCCTTCTCTTCCCCCTCCCCCTCCTCCCCCTTCTTTCCTCCTCCCCGTTCCCCACCTCCTCCTTCTCCCCCTCCCCTTCCTCCTCCCCCTCCCCCTCCTCCCCCTTCTCCTCCCCCTTCTCTTCCTCCTCCCTCTCCCCCTTCTTCTTTTAGAAAGAGTTTGAGAAGGATTGGTATTAGCTCTTCAAATGTTTGGTAGAATTCACCAGTGAAGCCCTCAGGTCCAGGGCTTTCCTTTATCAGGAGATTTTTCTTTATTACTGATTCAGTTTGCTTACTAGTTATAGGTCTATTCAGATTTTCTAGTTCTTTTTTCTTTTCTTTTTTTTTTTTTTTGAGGCAGTGTCTTACTCTTTTGCCCAGGCTGGAGTGCTGTGACACAATCTCAGCTCATTGCAAACTCCACCTCCTGGGTTCAAGTGATCCTCCCACCTCAGCCCCCTGAGTAGCTGGGAGAACAGGTGTGTGCCACCATGCCTGGCTAATTTTTGTATTTTTAGTAGAGATAGGGTTTCGCCATGTTGGCCAGGCTGGTCTCGAACTCCTGACCTCAGGTGATCCGCCCACCTCAGCCTCCCAAAGTGCTGGGATTACAGGCATGAGCCACCGTGCCTAGCCATACTTTTACATTTTTTTTGTAGAGCTGGAGTTTCAACATGTTGCCCATGTTGTCTTGAACTCCTGGGCTCAAGTGATCTGCCTGCCTTGGCCTCCCAAAGTGCTGGGATTACAGGCTTGAGCCACTGCGCCTGGCGAGATTTTCTGTTTCTTTATGATTTGGTCTTGGTAGGTTTTGTGTTTCTAAGAATTTAACCATTTCATCTAGGTTATCCAATGTATTGGTGTAGAGTTGTTCACAGTACTCCTCTATAATTCTTGCTATGTCTGTGGAATTGGTAATAATGTCCCTTTTATCATTTCTGATTTTAGTAATTTGAGTCTTCTCTTTTTTTCCCTTAGTTCATTGAGCAAAGGATTTGTCAATTTTGTTGATCCTTTCAAAGAACCAACTAGGTTTTGTTAATTTTTTTCTTGTTTTTCTATTTTCTATTTCATTGATCTCTGCTCTAATCTTTATTATTTCCTTTCTTCTTCTAGCTTTGGGTTTCGTTTTTTGTTTTTTGTTTTTTCCCTAGTTTCTTAAGTTGTAAAACTAAATTGTTGATTTGAGATCTTTTAAATTTTTTATGTAAGCATTTAAGGCTATAAATTTCCCCTTTAGTACTACTCTTGCTGTGTTCCATACGTTTTGGTATGTTGTATTTTCATTTTAATTTGTCTCAGATATTTTCTAATTGTCCTTATGAAGGGCAAAAGAAAGTTACAGATATATCTTCATGATATTGAGGAGGCAAAAGCTTTTAAAACAGACACAAAAGGCACTTACTGTAAAGGCAGACTGATGATTTTGATTAAATGAATATTAGGAACTTGCACTCATCAAAACATACCGTTCCTAGAAAGAAGGGCGAGAGGACAGTGCGGCTAACCCACAAAGGCCGACGGACCCTGAGAATGCAGCACGTCCATGAGAATGACAAACGGCTCAAATGCACAGTGGGCAAGGGATTTGAGTAGACATTTTACTACAGGTGCTAGCCAAAGTCACATATGAGAAAGTTTCCAGGCAAATTCCTAGAGTTCCATCATGTGTACCAAGAGCATGTGCAAGAATTCAAAATAGCAGTATTCATAAGATCCCTACACGGAAGCAGCCTGACTGCCCACCAGTGGTGGAAAGGACAGATAGCCTGTGATTTATTCTTGCAGTGGGATGCTCGGTGGCTGTAGAAGCTAATGGACTATGGCTGTCTTAATAACATGGATAAACATCACAGAAAGATGGCAGATGCAAGAGAACGCACCTGTGTCATTCCAGTTATAGAAATCTGGAAACAGGCAAGACTGTTGAAAACCATGGTTTTAGGTTACATGCTTCACTGGTAGCACCATAAAGAAGAGCTGGAACATGGTTCTGCTTTTCATTGTGAACGGGGTGAGGGCTACGTGGGCTTCACTTCATGATAAACCACCGAGCCATGCTTTTCTGTTTTGTACTCTTCTGAATTTGTGTTATAGTTGATGACAAAAATGGCAGCTTGATTGTGAGTACTTTTTTCCCGCCCTTTTGAATGGCTGGGGCATCAGCCCGGAGCAGGCTGTGTTAGCGTCTGGGATGAGGGTTTGAAAGTGGGCCTGAAAGCAAGATGGGGCCTGGGACCTGGGCGCATGAGCAGAAATGGCGAGGGGCAGGCTGGCCTGTGAGCCGGGTGGGATGGAAACCGAGGGCATGAACTGGCGCCAGGTAGCAGGAGCGAGGGAAGGCCCTCAGTGGGGAGCACCTGGAGGAGCTCCCGAGGCAAGAGGTGGAGGTCAGAGGATGACATAGCTGCTCTGGGAATTGCAGGGGCGAGTTTTGTTTGTTCTGCAAGGGAGGCAGTGACAGGCCTGTTGAGGAAGGATGCAGTCAGAGGGGACGTCTCTGCCTTCCAGGTGTTAAGTCAGGTTCAGACAGAGATGGTCTAAAGTGTTGGCGAAATGTCTTCGAGCTACACCAAGGGCCTAGAAGACAGGCCCACGTGCATCAGTGCCTCTCACAGGACAGGCTCCTGGTAGAGCTGTGTTCTTGGGACTGAGGCTTGCAGGGAACAATGCCCCCAACCTGCCTGGGGAAGTCAGTGTTGGGAGCCAGGAGCCAGCGTGTAGCGCTCCCCCTCGTCACCCTCACCCACAGCAGGCTGCGGCCCCGAGGGGGATGGAGGGCGGCCGTCCGCTGTGGATGGAGCTGGGCTGGTGCACTTGGGTTTTGTTCACAGGTTTCTCCACGTGTGTTCCCTGTCTCAAAGGGCAGCGGCAGTGAAGGAGGGGTAGGGTGCTGGGGACCGAGGTGGGGGACATGGGGTGTGGGTGGGGTTCCAGACCCTGCCCAAGCCAGGCAGGACTGGGTCTGCAGGACCTCCTGCGAGTGCCAGGTTGAGGGGCACATTTTCCCTTAGCTGTCCTGACCAGTGTGTCGCCTCATGTCATGAAGAGTGAGAGTGTGTGCGTGTGAGGGTGTGTGTGAGGGTGTCAGTGTGTGAGGATGTGTGTGAAGGTATGTGAGGGTGTATCTGTGAGGGTATGTGTTGTGCAAGGGTGTGTGTGTGAGGGTGCGAGGGTGTGTGTGAGGGTGTGTGTATGTGAGGGTGTGTGTGAGGGTGCGAGGATCAGTGTGTGTGAGGGTGTGTTGTGAGGGTTTGTGTGAGGGTGTGTGTGATGTGAGGGTTGGTGTGAGGGTGTGAGGGTGTGTGTGAGGGTGCGAGGATGTCGTGAGGGGGTGTGTGTGAATGTGAGAGTGAGGGTGTGTCAGTGTGGGACTGAGGCTGAGTGTGAGGGTGAGGGTGTGTGTGAGGGTGTGTGTGAGGCTGTGTGAGGGTGAGGGTGCGAGGATGTCTGTGTGAGGGTGTGTGTGAAGATGTGAGGGTGTGAGTTAGGGTGTGTGTGAGGGTGTGTGTGAATATGAGAGTGAGGGTGTGTCAGTGTGTTTGAGTGTGAGACTGAGTGTGAGGGTGTGTGTGTGCGAGGGTGTGTGTGTGTGAGAGCATGTGTGCATCAGTGTGAGTGTGCATGGCAAGGCCATTTGGAACGCGAAGGGGTGTGTGTGCACGTGCCAGTGTGTGAAGGCATGTGTGTGAGGGTGTGTATATGTGTGAGAGTGTGCACGTCTGTGAGTGCATGGCAAGGCCATTTGGAACGCGAGGGTGTATGTGTGTGTGTGTGAAATAGTGTGTGCGCATGTGTGAAGGCGTGTGTATGTGAGTGTGTGTGTGAGAGTGCGCATCAGTGAGTGTGGGGGTGTGTGTGCGCGAGGGCGTGTGTGTGAGTGTGCGTCAGTGAGTGTGCATGGCAAGGCTGTTTGGAACTAGCAGTTCTGTCCCTCTTCTTACCCCATAAATCCTAGTGTTTTTGGAATTATTTCTGCAAAGTGGCATTATGTTAAAATGGAAAAAGTGATCGGCGATTATAATTTTCTATTGTTTCCGTCATCAAAGAGCTTCAGCTGTTTTAAAGAGAAACCATTTTTAAAAATCCTGTTTCAGCTTGGCTCATGCTCTGTTTCTTTGACGTTCGTTTTGGGCTCCAGCCTCCCCGAGAGACCCCAGGCCTTGTGGTTAGTTGACTCCCGGTAAGGAGCCGCGGGGCCTGAACTGCTGCTTGTTGGCGGTGGGGAGAAGTGCAGCGGCAAGAGGCGAGACGGACAGGGGTGTGCGGGTTCTGCGTGTAGGAGAATCTGCTTGGGAAACCACAGCCCTGCCTGCCGTGGAGATGGACGCAGCGTCCCGCTCACCCGGCGCACACTGCAGGGCTCCATGCGGGAGTGAGGCGGCAGCGCGTGGACCTGCCGGCCCTCCTGGGTTGGGGCAGGCTTGGCGGGAACAGCCCAAAGACCAACAGTGGTTCCCAACAAGAGCTGGGAGGGAGTGGGGTCACCAGAGTGAAGGGAGGCAGACAGAACCCCTGGGACCCAGGGGTCAGGGACTGGAAGGAAGCTTGGTACTAGAAACCTGAGGGTGGCCTGGAGGGCTGGGAGGTACTTGAGGAGTGGGCGGGGGAAGCTGGGGAAGGGCAGTGCCGGGATGGGGAGGGCACAGGCCCCCCAGGCTTGCAGAAGCCATGCTGCCGGAGAGGCCGGGCACTGGGAGTCTGGGACTCTGCTCAGTCACATGGTCTGTGGTTTCAAACGCTTCCCTCTCCGATTCTGCACGTGTCTTGAGATGGCCAGGAACTGTATTTTATTCATATTTGTGCTTTTCTCTATTCACCAGGAAAATAAGCAGGATTTATCTTAGATGAATCTTGTAACTGTTTGTAAGGGTTGCTGTATAAGCCCTGGGGATGGCCTTGTCATCTCTTGAGTTCTGGCTTGGATGTCACCATCCGACACTAGCACCGCATCACTGGCTGCACGTCGGGGCTCCTGGGCTCGTTACGTCCATCTGCCGTAACTGTGACTTGGGGCCTCCGTGTCTGAGGGCAGCCCCTGCAGCCTGTGCTGAGCTTCCTGGCACTGGGCTCCTCTCACCCAGAGGCCCTGGCAGGGTGGGTGTATCCGCAGAACCTGCTCCTGCAGATGTCCCCATGGAGGTCGGGCCGCACTGTTCCTGAGCTGCGGTTCAGTAGAGCTGGGCCAGGCAACGTCCTGCCTTTGGGAGCTTGCCCTCTGCTTGGGAGAGTTGAACAAACAGCAGCAGCAGAAGACTGTCCAGGGGCTCGTGGCCCCCGGAAACGAGGCCAGGTGATGTGGGGAGTGCCCGACGCTCAGAGGGAGCCAGGGCAGGTGTTGGGACACAGCCCAGGGCCTGGGGCAGCTGGGTGTCCCAGGGACAGAGGGAGGGAGAGCCGGGCTGACACCTGGACTTAGATATTTTAAGTGTGACAGAAGCTTTGGGTAAATTTATTGCCGGGAGCTGAAGGAGAGGGCGACTGCCCTGTGTGTGGCTTGGAGAATTTGGGGGCCTTGGCTGATTTCCCATCACCTGACTTGGCGGTCGCTGCCTGGGAGAGCCAGGGCCTGGCTGCTGCAGGAGGAAGCTTGGCACCTCTGCTTGGAAGGACCCTCCCCGTGGCGAGAGGAGGCTGGGCAGGGTGCGGGACCCAGAGGGGTGCACCCTACACAAGGCAGGCAGAATCCAGGTGGTCACTGGATGGAGCCTCCTGCACCCAGGGCAGAAGCTGCACCTTTCCAGGGGAGCAGAAGGGGCATCCTGGGTGACAGGAGGATGAGGTGACGGCGGTTTGCAGGTTCCCCGGGAGCTGTTGGAGCCAGGAGCCTGGGCTGGAGCCTGGGAGAGACCTGGACTCAGGGACTGGGCAGAGAGGGGATGTTCAGGGCCAGGGATGGCAGACCGCAGTCCCCGGCCAGATCCACTGCCTGTTCTTGTAAATAGAGTCTCCCTGGGCTGCAGTTCCGTCTGCTGTTTTCATGCTACAGCGGCAGAGTGGGGTCGAGTGCGTGGTGTCGCCTGCACAGCGGGCAGTGCCTACTCTTGGCCCTTTACAGGGAGTCTGGAGGGAGGAGGGAGACAGGTGAGAGGAGGGAGGGAGGACAGGTCTTGAGGGAGGGAGGAGGGAGGGAGGTGGCAGGAGCTTTTGCGTCTGTCCCCAGTGAGTTGCCTTGATTCCATCTTGAGGCCTGTACTGTGATCTTGCCCATCCAGAGCTGTAAATCCCAGCAAAAACCGACGGAGCCCTGAGTCCGACCTAAGCCTTAGTGTGAGTCGGACACGGCCTTCTTGGCTGTTGGGTTGATAATGTTGGCTTCTTCCTGGCCTCCCACTCACCTCTGGGACGACGTGCCGCACGTCACATTGTGTAGGAATGAGATCCTCACAGGCCTTTCAGAATAAGCTCCTTTTACCCTGTCTCTTAGGTTTGCGACTTTGCTATTTTCAGAATTTAACTTAGAAATCTTTGCTTGTCTTGGTCTTTCACACACCAGTCTGCTTTTTAAACCCATTATATGGGAAATTTTCTGAACTGTCCTTAAGATCCTGTGAACTCCGGACATGTAATAGGATTCTTCAGTGCTTCAGGGCCTTCTCATTGAGTGAATGTTTGTTGAACACCTACTATGTGCCCGACATTATTTTGGCTCTGGGGAGGCAGTGGGGAACATGCTCAGTGTTGACCCCTCCCTGCCTTGTGGAGCTGGTCCTGGATGGGCTGCATGGGGCACCGTTGCGTGGGGCGTGCTCGAGGTGGAGACGGCTGTGAGCAGCTGCAGGCCAGGCAGTGGTGGGACCTCATCTGGGGGGTGCTGGCCTGGGCAGCACCATGACCCACCCGAGAAGGGCAATGGGGAAGGAAGGCAGGCAGGCAGGACAGCCAGACTGTTAGGGGTTAGGGGTTAGGCACAGGGCTGGGGCGGGTGCTGGGCAGACTGCAAAGGGTCAGACTGGCATATGGCGGCCAGCTGTCTAGTTGGTTATGCGGGGTCAGGGGTGGAGGGCAGGAGGATGGGAGAGCCCAGCTGGGGGAGATTTGAGGGCCCTGCCCATAGAGGAGCCACACCTGGGCCTTTGGCTTGGCGACCAGAGGCCTCCAGGGTTAAGAGCAGGGAGAGAATCAGGGCCTGTGCTCATATCTGTGAGCTCTGCAGATGTCTCCCGGGCACAGTCAGCAGAGGCGCTCCTCCAGTTCCCGCCTCTCTGCCTCGCACGCCCTCCTAGCTGAGAGTGAGGTGGTCCGGCCCCGTGAAGGAGGCAGCAGGGCTTGCGGCCGGGATCCACCAGGGCCGTCCCGGTTCCTGGGTGTTCCGCGCCCGTCTCCTTTCTGCTGTTGAGAAACCTTCAGGAGAGAGTGCTTCTGTTCCCTCCAGGTCGAGCTGTGCGCCAGGCATGGCCGGAAAGCTCAGGAGGCCCTGGTTAGGCTGGGGCATCACGGGATGTGTCCTCTAGCAGAGACTGGTGTGGGTGGGCGCAGGAACTGGTGAGAGAGGCCTGGGAGACAGGTGAGTCTGTAAGGAGGCCCAGAGTCAAGGAGGAGCTCTTTGGCAGGTCCTGGAGACCCTGGGTCACCCACAGGCCCCTTTGCCTTCACTGGAACTTTCCAGTTAGCCAGGCCTCTCCTGGCCCCAGGACATAGCCCACGTGGGTCCTCACCTCTGCCCGGCTCAGCTCCTCCCCGCCCAGAATGCCCTCTGCCCCGCCACCCCCATCATCCCTGCTGCCCTGGCTGGACCCAGAGCTCCCATCTGCGAACTCCTCCAATCTAGCCCTGCCCCCCTGCTCACCCTGGGTTTCCAGCTCAGGACAGACCCCTGGGGAGGTGAGGGGCTCCCTCTGGGTACTCAGGAAGCATGTCCTGTTGTCCAGCTGGGCGGTGATATGCAGGCCTGAGTCCCCGCTGCACCACAGCTGCCTCCAGGCTCACATGCCCACTTGCCGAGCTCACCACACGGGGGCTTCGCCTTCTCTGGGATCCGCGGTGGGCCTGCGTTGGAGGGCTGAGAACGGCTCGCCCTTTCCGAGCTAGCACTCTGCCCACTTTCTCTTCACGCCCCGTCCTGGTGAGGCGGTGCCTGTGCAGCGCATGATCGGGTGCTCCCGCCTTGCGGTGCTTTCTTCCTGTGCCCAGACTGGCCATGCATGTGTTGGTGAAGGGCTGTGCTGGGCTTCCCGGGCCCGGGGTCTGAACCCGACTCCCACCAGGCACTGAGTAAACACATCCATCCAAACAAGGGAGGTGGAGCACGAAGCAGGGGCAATGGGCTGGGGCCCAGAATCTTCTGGGGATGTGGCTGTCAGCAGCTCCTGGACCTCTGACCATGTGGCAGGGGGCTCATCCCCGTCTCCCCAGGGCACTTGCTGCTGGGGCCCTCAGGCGGTCACAGGAGTTCTCCCAGGCGTGTTCTGGCCCTGCCCCATCCCTTTCCTCACCCATCTGCAGAGGGGAGTTACTGGCTAGGCAGGGGAGGTCAGCAGCTGCAGAAAAGGACAGGCTCCCACAAAAGAGGAGATGGGGGGAGCCTAGAGAGAGACAGGAGAACCCGGAGGCCCTGTTGTTGGAGGCCCTGTTGTTAGTGACCGGACAGCAACAGGCGGACCCCTAGCAGCCTGGGCTGCTTTGTGGGCTTTGCGAATAAACCACGTAGACAATGTGAAATTGTGTTTCTTCCTTTCCGTCCTCGATGGAACACAATGGGATGAAGATGTTTCTGTCTGAAAGAACTGAGGTGAAATCAGTTTAGCACTTAGGTGATAACCCCTCAGCAGAAGGCCCCACGCATGCCCAGGCTGCCTTCGGTTCTCAGGCGCTGGTGGCTGTTCCCAGGGTCTGGGGGCCCTGGGGGGCCAGGATGCTGTTGTCCTCTGCTCCCGCCTGGAGACCACTGTCTCCTCCAAAGCTCTGTAAACTGTCAGTAGTGCAGGCCCCTCAGAAGCCAATGAGGTTAACGGGCAGGTCAGCGTCAGGGGCTCACCCAGCCACCCCAGAACCCCTTGCTGTTGTTCCAGAACCTTCAGATTGCTTTCTCTGAAAGTGTGCCTGTGTGTGTGCCTGTGTGTGTGTGCACCTGTGTGTGTGCGTGCCTGTGTGTGGGTGCCTGTGTGTGTGGGGTGCCTGTGTGTGTGTGAGTGCCTGTGTGTGTGTGGGTGCCTGTGTGTGTGTGGGGTGCCTTTGTGTGTGGGGGTGCCTGTGTGTGAGGTGCCTGTGTGTGTGTGGGTGCCTGTGTGTGTGTGGGGTACGTGTGTGTGTGGGGTACGTGTGTGGGGTGCATGTGTGTGTGTGTGGGGTGCCTGTGTGTGTGCCTGTGTGTGTGTGGGTACCTGTGTGTGGGGGGGTACATGTGTGTGTGTGGTACGTGTGTGGGGTGCATGTGTGTGTAGGGGGGGTGCCTGTGTGTGTGGGGGTGCCTGTGTGTGTTGGGGGTGCCTGTGTGTGTTGGGGGGTGCCTGTGTGTGTTGGGGGGTGCCTGTGTGTGTGTGGTGGGGTGGATGCTGACGGGAAGGCAGGGGACGAGGATGCTGGTTTTGTCTGAGAGATGTGGCTTAGCCCAGGAATGGTGATGTGGTCTGGTCTATACGTGCTCCGCCTTCTGTCATACTGCCTGCCATGCCTGTCGTACCTAATGTAGACCCTCTGGCCCAGAGCCCAGGGGAAGTGGGTGGGGCCATGGTAGGTAGAGGCGGGGCCCTGTCGAGGAACAGGGCTTCTGAGGCCACTCCAGACCTATGGGGCTGACCGGGGGTCCCGGTAGCTTGGGCGGGAGCCCCTTCCTGGGCTGGTGACAGAAGTGGAGGTGGCACCCCTTTCAGCGAGGAGCAGCTGTGCAGAGGGAGGTGTGGCTGCCTTGGGGTGATTCCTCTGCTTGCTGGGGGTGTGGCTGGGCGCCTGCCCCCCGCCCCTGCAGACTCCCCCACACTTTTGTTACGTGCACAGCTCCTGAGAAAAGCCTTCTAAGGAAGCTTGAGCTGCTGCGCATTCTGCAAGCAGCCATTGTGCATTTCTGAAACGAAGTGTGTGTCCAGTGCTGTGGGTTCTGCTCACTGAACACTCTCGTGCGGGGAATGCTCATGTTCCTCCACAGAAAGGCAGAAGCAGAGCTGGCACAGTTCCTTCCCAGCTGGCAGCCCAACCCCAGACCCCAGAGCCATGGACCTAGCCTGGTGGCCCTGTGGGCATTGAGTTTGCAGTTCCTGGCAAGAAGCTTCCCCAGGTCTAATGGCGAAGCTTCCCTCAACCTAACGTTTCAGGGTTAGGACTCCTAGAGCCCATTAGGACGAGACTCTAGGTGGCCCATGCTGCATGATTTTGACAGCAGGGAAGCACTTTGGGATGAGCAGTTTACCCCTAAATCTCTAGAAAATTAACAGATGATTTTGCAGTGATCCCTAGGCTTTACAAATAGTTTTCTTTTTCTTTCCTCCTTCCTTTTTAGAGCCAGGATCCATCATGGTTCACTCGCTTTCTGGTTGTTTCATATATTTGGAGGGTGGGCAGAGCAGATCACGGAATACAGATAGCACTGAGAGGGCTTTAGGCGTGTGCCAGATCCCGCTGGCTGCCACCCAGTAAGCTGGTGCATGTGGAGGCTTAGAATAGATTCATTGGCAGCTGTAATTAAGGTTGTGAACTGCACCACGATGCTAAAAAAAACAAATTCTCTGCAGCTGTTTTACTGACTGAGAAATTACCCCTGTCGGCCGAAGTTTTATTCTTCTGATTTGGTAGAGGAAATAGTTTAAAAATGATCTCACAGCGTGATTTATGTAAACGGCGCTTCTTTCTTTGGATGAGACAATTGAGATAGAGTCTGAAACCCTGGCAAGCCACAGCTTCCTGCAGTGTCCTGTTGCCATGGGTTACGAAGGGAGCGAGAGGGAACTTCATCGGAAATGCCTTTAAACTTTTCTCACACGCACAAGCTGCGGTGTTGAATGGTGTGTCTTAGACCCGGGTGCCTAGTGTGGCTCGGTGCCTTACAATGAATTTGGGGAAAGAGTTGTCAAACGAAACCCATGTTTCTAATGACCAGCAGGTAAGTAGTTCCGGCTTTTTCTTTTCATTTAATCAGTGGTAGGAAAGCGTGGCACCCTGGCTATCCTGTTTTAGCGAGTGGCAGCTGTGGGACCTGCAAATGCTTGTAAGGATAAGCTTTGGAAATGGTTTTCATGTGTCTGCACCACAGCTCAAAGCGAGTGCTGCGGGGGCTCAGCCCAGGCTCTGGGACCGCAGCACGTCCCGGGCCCGACACACCCGGCCGCCGGCCTCAACCCCTCGGGAGCCCAAGCTGCCAGGTTTTAAGTCAGAACTTACGGAAAGCGTCAGATGTTTTTCCTTTACCGTGGTAATTCTCATAGATTTGAAAGATGTGAGTGAATTGATTTTGTTGAAATATTAATTTTAGGCTAGATAAATACATTAAAATCTTAGGCTCTTTAAATGATGGTAGCTTAACATTTCTAAATATGATGAGTTGATTTGGCTATTGTGCATATAGATAGCTACTATAGATCATATTGGTGATTACTATATAAGCTTATGAAGTTGAAGTTACTCTAAAATGGCTTTTTAAAAGATTTGAGATGAAATAAAAATAATTTCTATTTTCCTCTTAAGGCTGTGTTGGTGCAAAGATAAAAATAAATTTAAATTATGTACAGAAGTCTTAGTAATTACTGGGCACTGATTTCGAATTCATTCTTTTCTGGGAATTGTATAATCTTAATGTTTTTCTAATATCTAATTAAAGTCTTCTGTAGAGAAGCGAAGGACAAACTACTAGTTTAGAGATGAGGGGCATGGAGGGGTTGGGAACAGGAAAATGAGCCGCGTCCTTCCTTTTAAGTGGGAAATAGACATGGGTCTGCTGGGCAGGGCCAGCATGAGCCTGATGAAATCAACCGGCTTTCTGTGCACGTGGAAAGCTGCTTGGAAGGTGAAGCTGCGTGAGGCTCGGGGAGCAGCTCTGGTCTTCTTTGGGGCGTGCCTGCCGCGGGCCGCCTCTGGCTGTCTTGGGGCAGGGGGAATGTGTTCCTGTAACCTCTGTTTCATATCCTGCGTCGGAAAGTGAATTTTGGAGCTGTCGTGGGTTTAATGGGCCAGTTAATCAGTTAGCCATTTGTACTTATTTGTAGGCAGCACTTTCATCTCAGTGTATATCCAGGCAAGGTGTAGAAAATTTTGTTTTTTTATTCCGAGTAAAGTCATTAAAAACCTGCCTTTGTAAGTATCTGTTTACATGATTTGGACTTCCTTTTGAAGCTCTTGCAAATGCTTACACTGGCAGATAAGTTGTTCACGGGAGTGTATTGGAATCTGGCTGATGTGGTCGTCAGGCATCAGAAGTGAGCGGCTCCCCCTCTCGCAGTCAGAGGCACAGCGGGTGGGTGGGCGTCTCTGCTGCAGCTCTGCCTGGCTGGGTCCTGGCCAGCAGACGAGGGGCTGGAAAGCCTCTGGGGTCGGCAGAATTGCTTCTCCTTCTAAGCTTCAGGTAGTTGTTCTAAAAAATGGGAGGGTCAGGGAATGCTGGGGTGCCGCCGTCCGTGTCCGCAGCAGCGCTCTTTTGGAGTTCCGTGTGTCTCCAGCTCCCCTCATCTTGAGGGGGAGGATGCCCCCGCCTTTCTAGGAGCTGTTGCCCGACTCCATTCAAAGAGCACGCGGGGGAGCTGCCGGGATTTCCACTTGGAGAGAATGGAGGCTCTGGCTGGCCAGATCAGTCGATGCCTGGTTCCCTGGCTTTGGCAGGCCGGGAAGATGCCCGTGCCTGTCACCTAATCGGGGCACCTCATCCTGTTTCATAAACCATGTGGCGTCAGGTGTTGCAGGCTCTGACACTAGTTAGATGCTGAGAGGAGGCACGGAGACCCCAGCCCCAAAGAAATAGGAATTGCCTGGAGGAAGAGAGCCCTTGTGGTCTGTCTGCGCACCCCTCCCAGGGTGCCCTGCTGTGGGGTGGCCGCTCTGGGCTGGGGGGCTGCTGCAGCCCTGGGCAGCCCAGCTTGAGCCTCCCTGGCAGGCAGCGGCCGTTCAGCCAGCCTGTGGCTGTCACAGGGTCCTGGGTGGGACTTTCCGGGGCAGTTCCACCTCTCCTGTGAGTTGTGGGAACAAGTCCCCACTGCAAGTGAGTGCCCAGGTGAAGGCCCTGCTGGCGCACGGCTGGACAAGCATGACAGTTGTCGCGGAGCCGCCCGAGCTGTTGGCTTCCCCGATGTTCCCCCTGTGCTCGAGCTAGGGGTTTGACTTTAGTCCTCAGCTGTCAGAGGCCGCCTCGGGTGCATCCACGCTGGCCCCCCCAGGTGTGCCCTGTGTGGCCGGCATGGAGGTGGCGGCGGCCATCAGGGTGTGGTTTTGTGACGTCTCAGGGTGTCCTTTCTTTCCTTCATGAGAAGAAGTTCTGCAGTGTCAGACACTTGGCAGAAACTTTGTTTCTCAAGGCAAAGCCCTTTAGAGACTTGGGAGCACATGAGGTGCGGTGTAGATTTGTCTTCATTTCTCTCAGCACGGGGTTGTCTTCAGGCTGCCAGAGCGTGACAGAAAGAACTTTCTAGAGACCACAGGGCTTCTCTCCCCTTCAGGCATTGACGTTCTGTTTAATATTTTAAAAATCTTTAAAAAGGGTTGCACTGTTTAAAAACGTGGAATATTCTCTTGTAGGCAGTGTGGAGGCCATGGTCGCTGAGGAAGGGCAGGAGGGAGGAGGCGTGGGAGCTGGTGCAGTCTGCGGCCCGGCGTGGCTGCGGTCACACAGAGGATGCGGTGAGACCTGGCAGCGAGGCTCGAGGCAGACAGACGCTCATGCAGGGCAGAGGGCAGGACCCGTGTTGGAGCCTGGGGAAGTGAAAGGATAATGAGGAAGACGGAGTGTGGTCACGAGGGGGCGGTGGCTGCTGGCGACACGCAGCAGTCACTCTGGCTGCAGCCTTGGGCCCCATGCCATTTGACTGGAACCTTCACTCTTCCCTCGCGAGTCTACCACGGGCGGGCCGGCTGGGCCAGGCTCCAGGGTCCCCCGACAGAGAGTCCCAGCCCCTGCGGGACCAGGTTGTGTTAGGGCCTGAGGCTGGTGGCAGTGGTGCATGGCTGATGGCCGCCGCAGGACACAAGAGGGTTTCGGGGGCGTGCCTGGGCTGACGTGTCTGTGGACACCTCTGCTGGGTCATTTCTGAGTCTCTGTAGCATGAGCTTGGTGGGCCATCCGGGAAGGTGTTCGCATTTCACCGTGTCTCTTTTCCAGCCTGGATTAACCCAGTCTCTCTCATCAGTGTCACTGACCGCGTCTCTTAAATGGCCCTCGTGTGCCCATGCTCCTTTGGGACCCCGAAGTGCAGTGCTGACTGGTGCTGGGATCGCAGGGCGTGCACACCCTGTGTGCTGTGGCCGTGTGCCTGGCCTCTGCCCGCCTGTGTCCTGCTGTATCGGTCAGCTTACCTTTCGCCCCAGACCTCTGTTGCCCTGAGCCTGGTGCAGGAGGGCCTGGAGTCTGTGCCGGCGAGCATCAGCGCGTCCCACTTCAGATGCTGGTTGCAGATTCTTCTCTCGTTTTCTGACACTCTGAGTCTCGTCATCTATATAAGGAAAGATCCAAGTATATTTGAGAAAAACTGTTTTAATACATTTCTATTTTCACCTCTTCCCCCTTCTTTTCATTAAGAAATTGGACACCTTGTGCTGTAAGCTGTCCGTCCATGTTACATAGTCAGAGGTGTATCCTTCTCGGGCCAAAAACCCCCAGCCCTTTCCCCTGGGTCCTGAGGAGGAAGGCAGCGAGCCCGCTTGGCGAGGCCCTTGAGCACTCAGCACCTTCTCCTACCATGTCCCACGCGGCTCTGTGAACGCAGGCATCCCTGTCTCCGTTGGGCGGATGTGGAGGCTGGTTGAGGTTCCTTGCAACGCTTGCCATCCTACGCATGATGCAGGGACCCCGGCCCTCCGCAGACAGCAGGAGCTGCCGAGCTCCGAGTGCTGGGCCAGCTTGCCTTGGGCTTCTGCAGCAGCGCCCTCCGGGTTCCCCTCCTCTCCTCCGACTCCACTGGCTTTTCACCACTGTCAGGTCTTCACGGGGGAGGCCTAGGCTGGGCGGGGACCGGTCTCCTTCCGCCACCACCTTCCACGACAGGCTCGATTCGTCCCTCGCATGCTGCCCTCCCAGCCTGGCCCTGCAGCAGACACTTCTGCCCTGGGCCCCGGTCTCAGTGACAGGTCCACATCTTCTCACCGTCTCTCCTCGGACATCCAGGAGGCCCCTCAGACTTAAGTACCAAACAAGACTTGGATTCTCCCCTCGCCTCCAGTGTACCCCTCCCTCAGTCTGCCACATCTCAGGAAGGGATGTCCCTGTCCCTTCTGCTTGAGCCCACACCCTCTGATACTCCACGTCAGCAAGCTCCTGGGCTCGGCCTTCAAAATCCCTGAGTTTACACTTTCTCACCCCCATTGCTGCAGCCTGCCCTCGTCCCCATCTCTTGCCTGGAGCACCACAGAGCCTCCAGCTGCCCCTGCCCTGCCCTGTCCATGCACCTGCCAGAGTGAGCAGCGCCATCCTAGCCGCCCCTGCTCTTTGCCCCATGGCTTTCTGCCTTGGACTGGGCTCTGCGGGGCAGGGCTGCCAGTTTGGGGTTTGCATGTTGATTTTGTACATCCAGCATCTCAGGATGGCTCGCCACGTCATGGGGGCTCAGCAGATGCTTTGCCAAGTGAGTGGGAGCGTTCTCAGCTTGCGTTTGCCATGCACCGCCTGTCCCTGTGGGCAGAGCAGTTCATAACCCCGTAACCAACCCATGGGTATGCCAGACACCGCCAAGGGGGCTGCCAGGAGGGGTCGGAGCTCAGGGGCCAGACTGAGGGAGACAGGAGGCTCAGAGACCAGGGTTTAGCTGCACGGGAGGTCATTTTGAGACAGTCGCTGAGTCTTGGTTCATATGAGGAAACGTTTCCCTGGGCGTGAACTCCAGCCTCATCTCCAGCCCTCATCTCCAGCCCTCATCTCCAGCCTCATCTCCAGCCCTCATCTCCAGCCCTCATCTCCAGCCCTCATCTCCAGCCTCATCTCCAGCCCTCATCTCCAGCCTCATCTCCAGCCCTCATCTTCAGCCCTCATCTCCAGCCTCATCTCCAGCCTCATCTCCAGCCTCATCTCCAGCCCTCATCTCCAGCCTCATCTCCAGCCTCATCTCCATCCCTCATCTCCAGCCCTCATCTCCAGCCTCATCTCCAGCCCTCATCTCCAGCCTCATCTCCAGCCCTCATCTCCAGCCCTCATCTCCAGCCTCATCTCCAGCCCTCATCTCCAGCCTCATCTCCAGCCCTCATCTCCAGCCTCATCTCCAGCCCTCATCTCCAGCCTCATCTCCAGCCCTCATCTCCAGCCCTCATCTCCAGCCCTCATCTCCAGCCCTCATCTCCAGCCTCATCTCCAGCCCTCATCTCCAGCCTCATCTCCAGCCCTCATCTCCAGCCCTCATCTCCAGCCTCATCTCCAGCCTCATCTCCAGCACGGGATGAGCTCCTGGTGGCCAGCTGTGTTACGCCAGTCCCTGTCCAGAACCTCTCAGCACAGCTGACTTTTACACTCATCTTTCCTTGCGGGGGGTTGGCACTGACACATTGGAAACCTGAGTCACGAATGTCGGCCTGGATGCCTGGCAGCCTGCCACCTGTCTGCGTGCTGGAGGGCCCTTGGCTTCTGAGACTGGGCGAGCTGAGGAGGGCAAAGGCCTGTGTGGTGTTTGTCCCAACAGAGGGTTATGGTGTGACAAGGAGGAGCATCCCAAAGTCAGATGGCCCCTACTGCTGTCCCAGGAGGACACTACTTTGGGCTCAAAAGTTGTCAGAATATATTATCTTAGGCTCCGCCAAGGATATGAAATGAATATTAGCTGCTGCTGCTTTGAAAGGCTGTCATTTTGGTTTTTGCCCTGGTTCAGTTCCTTCTGATTTTATTCAAGGTTGAAAAGCTCCTTGGAACACACACACACACACACACACACACACACACACACACACACACACTTTAAAGGGAGAAGCGCAGGTCTGTGTCTCAGCCCCAGGTGTGCTGCCCTCCCCGCAGACCGTGGTGGCTGCTCTGCCAGGCGAGGTTGCACGTGGGAGCTGGGCTGCAGTGAGGAGGGCACCATGCTGAGGAGTGGAGAGGGAGATGGAACAGGAGGGGACTGGGTCCCTCTGTGCAGGGGCCATCGAAGTCCTTGCGCTGCCACCCTGGGGGGAGACACGTGCCCTCCAAGACCCTGCTCACAGGCATGCACATGCACTGTGTCCACACACAGACTTGCAGCTCAGAAGTGGGGTTCACAGACAGCACGGGCCTGGAGACATGCTGCATGCTTCCCTTCCGTGTTGTTCTGTTTCATCCCATTTCATTTTTCAAAAAATGCTGCTCACAGACTGTGAATTGATTTGCCGGTCCCTTGGAGGGTCATGGCTGGGTCTGAAGACCCCTGTGCTAGTGGAGCAGAGAGCACCCCAGCATGTGGGAGTGCAGTGAGCCACTAAGCCAGGGCATCTTCTCCTGAACACTCACTCTGTGCTGCACTCAGCCTTGCCCGCCTCAGAGACCCTCCCAGATGCACCTTTCCGAGGCCTCAGTCTCAGCCTCTGGCGTGGATGCTGTGCTCTTCTGCATTTAGTCCAGCAAGAGATTGCCTTGAAATATGAATGATGAAATTTTAAAAGGTAAAGCATATATTAGGTGCAAATTGGATTGTTAAATTCTTTTTTTTTTTTTTTTGAGACAGGGTCTCACTCTGCCACCCAGGCTGGAGTGCAGTGGTGTGATCACGGCTCACTGCAGCCTTGATTTTCTTCCAGCAGGAAGGGACTGGGTCCCTCTGTGCAGGAGCCATCAGAGTCCCAGCTACTTAGGGGGCTCAAGCGATCCTCCTGCCTCAGCCCCCCAAGTAGCTGGAGCTATAGGCACACACCACCACACCCAGCTAATTTTTGTATTTTTTGTAGTGGCAGTGTCTTGCCATGTTGCCCAGGCTGGTCTCGAACTCCTGAGCTCAAGTGATCCTCCTTTCTAGGCCTCCTAAATTCTGGGATTACAGGCATGAGTCACGATGCCCAGCTGATTATTAAATTCTTAATTCATTTATTTATATTTCTTCTCTTTGTATTGAAAACATTTAGTGCATTTGAGCACCTTGCAGGCCTTTGGTCCGTTTTTTTAGGAACATCAAGTGGTGATTGAATAGTTTTTATGTTCAAGGTAGAAAATTTTGTCAGTGGCTGAAAATGAAAAATGTATATTACAGTATATTACTGTAAACCAATAGAATTTGGAAATTATGTGTTTTAATAATTCCTTTTGTCTAGTGTTACTAACAATAAACCTTAATAAAGGTTAGATTCCTCATGTGACACTACTCATATAAATAATTTAAAACTTTCAAAACATTCATTTCAAAATATCCGTGAATGTGGGTGGCCCAGACAGACTGCCTGCAGAGGAGCAGTTGAGTCCTTGTCAGCTGAGCTGCCGCGTTCAAGAGACCCACCGAGGAGCAGAGGTTGTGTGGACTTAAGTTACATTTTAAAATACTTCGTCAGTTTCTTTAAAACAGAAATGTGTTTACTTGAGTGTAAATTCCAATTCTGGAGGCATGTTATAGAAATTTTTAGAGCTGTTTAATTACGGTATATGTTTAAATTGTAAGCACCGAAAAGTGCTGACTTACTGGGGTCTTTTTCCATGGGTGGCTTTGTTTTTGTGGCTGTACTTTTTTTGTAAGTATAATGTGTATATATGGAAATTTGGGAAGAATCCAAGAAGTATAGGCCAATGAAAACAAGTTATTAATACAAATAGTACTGTATATGAGAGTACACATTAGGAATGCTGTGCTTTAATGCATAAACATGTTTACAGTGGTCCACATGTGCCAGGAGATGTGGGAATGGCTACCCCTGAAGTCATATGGAGAAATGGGGTCCTCATCGCACACCATACACAAACATCATCTCACAAATGGATTAAAGACACTTAAGACCTGAAACCAAAAAAACTCCTAGGAGAAAACACAGGGGAAAGCTCCATGACATCAGTTTCGGCGATGATTTTTTTTTGGACATGACACTAAAAGAACAAGCAACAAAACTAAAAGTAAACAGGTGGGATTACATTGAAGTAAAAAGTTTCTGCACAACAAAGGAAACAACCAACAAAATGAAAAACGAACCTGTGAATGGGAGAAAATACTTGCAAACTGTATATCCAGTAAGGGGTTAATATCCAAATACATAAGGAACTCATACAACTCAGTGGCAAAAACCAAATAACCCAATTGAAAAATGGCAAAGAGCCATAGTAGACATTTTTCCAGAGAAGCTCTACAGATGGCCAACAGGTATATGCAGAGGTCTCAGCATCACCCATCACCAGAGAAATGCAGTCACAACAGTGAGCTGTCACTGCATGTCTGTAGAATGGTTGTTATCAGAAAGGCAAAAGATAACAAGTGTGGGTGAGGATAGGAGAAGAGGGAACCCTTGCACTGTTGGTGGGAATGTAAATTGTACAGCCATTGTGGAAAACAGCATGGAGGTTCCTTGAAAAATTAAATATGGAACTACCATATGATCCACTACTGGGTATATCTCCAGAGGAAATAAAATCAGTCTCTCATAGTTGTGCTCCCATGTTCATGGAAGTGTTAATCACAATAGCTAAGATATGAAAACCTAAGGGATAAAGGAAATGTGCGATGTGTGTGTGTGTGTGTGTGTGTGTGTGTGTGTGTGTGTGTTTAGAGAGAGAATGAGAATAGCATATTCTGCCTTAAAGGAACTCCTGCCATTTGCAACAACATGGATGAAGCCAAACATGTGTGGCTTCACTTACATGTGGACTCTAAAAACATTGAATTCATGGACGCAGAGAGTAGATTGGTGCTTACCAGTGCCTGGCGGTAGTGGTGGAGAGATGTTGGACACAGGATACAGACTTCCAATTATAAGATGAATAAGTTCTAGAGACCTGATGTACAGCTTGGTGGTTGTAGTTAATAATGCTGCATTTATTGTATGCTTGAAATTTGCTAAGAGAGTAAATCTTAATTTGCTAAGAGAATAGATTCTCACCACACACAAAAAAGGCAACTAAGTGAGGTGGTGGAGGTACATGTTAATTCACTTGATTGTGATAATCATATTACAGTGTATACATATATTAAAATATCATATCACATACATTAAATAAAAATTTAATATTACCTGTTGTATTAGTCTGTTCTCGTGCTGCTATGAAGAAATACTTGAGACTGGGTAATTTTTAAAGGAAAGAGGTTTGATTAACTCACAGTTTCACATGGCTGGGGAGGCCTCAGGGAACTTACAATCATGATAGAAGGGGAAGCAACCATGTCCTTCTTCATATGGCAGTAGGAGAGAGAAGTGCCAAGCAAAAGGGGGAAAGCCCCTTATAAAACCGTCAGCTGTCATGAGAACTCACTCACTATCACCAGGGGGTAACTGCCCCCATGATTCAATTACCTCCCACTGACTCCCTCCCATGACACATGGGGATTATGGGAACTACAATTCAAGATTAGGTTTGGGTGGTGACATAGCGAAACTGCATCGTTCCACCCCTGACCCCTCCAAAATCTCATATCCTCACATTTTGAAACACAATCATGCCCTTCCAACAGTTCCCCCAAAGTCTTAACTCATTCTAGCATTAACTCAAAAGTCCAAGTCCAAAGTCTTATCTGAGACAAGGCAAGTCCCTTCTGTCTATGAGCCTATAAAATCAAAAGCAAGTTAGTTGCTTCCAGGATACAATCGGATTACAGGTATTGGGTCTATATCCCCATTCCAAATGGGAGAAATTGGCCATAACAAAGGGGCTGCAGGCCCCATGCAAGTCCAAAATGCAATAGGGCAGTCATTAAACCAAAATGATCTCCTTTGACTCCCATGTCCCACATCCAGGGCATGCTGATGCAAGAGGTGGGCTCCCACGGCCTTGGGCATCTCTGCCTCTTTGGCTTTGCAGGGTACACTTCCCCTCCAAGCTGCTTTCACGGGTTGGCATTGAGCGTCTGCAGCTTTTCCAGGTGCATGATGCAAGCTGTTGGTGGATCTACCATTTTGAGGTGTGGAGGAGGGTGGCCCTCTTCTCCCAGCTCCACTAGGCAGTGTCCCAGTGGGGACTCTGTGTGGGGACTCTAACCCCACATTTCCCTTTCACACTGCCCTAGCAGAGGTTCTGCACGAGGGCCCCACCCCTGCAGCTAACTTCTACTTGGACATCCAGGCATTTCCATGCATCCTCTGAAATCTAGGCAGAGGTTCCCAAACCTCAATTCTTGACTTCTTTGCCCAATACCACATGTAAGCTGCCAAGGCTTGAGGCTTTCACCCTCTGAAGCAATGGCCTGAGCTCTACGTTAGCCCCTTTTATCCATGGCTGGAGCTGAAGCAGCTGGGATTCAGGGCACCATGTCCTGAGGTTGCATAGAGCAGGGAGGCCTTGGGTCCAGCCCAGGAAACAATTTTTCCCTCCTCGGCCTCCAGGCCTGTGATGAGAGGGGCTGCCCCAAAGGTCTCTGATGTGCCCTGGAGACATTTTCATCATTGTCTCAGTGATTAACATTTGGCTCCTTATTACTTATGCAAATTTATGCAGCAGGCTTGAATTTCTCCCCAGAAAATTTTTTCTTCTTTTCTGTCACATCGTCAGGCTGCAAATTTTTCAAACTTTTATGTTCTGCTTCCTCTTGAATGCTTTGCTGCTTAGAAATTTCTTCTGCATGACACCCTAAATCATCTCTCTTACGTTCAAAGTTCCGCAGATATCTAGGGCAGGGACAAAGTGCCATCAGTCTCTTTGCTAAAGCATAGCAGGAGTGACCATTACTCTACTTCCCAACAAGTTCCTCATCTCTGTCTGAGACCATCTCAGCCTGGACTTCGTTGTCCATATCACTGTCAGCATTTTGGTCAAAGCCATTCAACAGATCTCTAGGAAGTTCAAACTTTCACACATATTTCTGTCTTCTTCTGAGCCCTCCAAACAGTTCCAACCTCTGCCTGTTACCCAGTTCCAAAGTCACTTGCACATTTTCAGATATCTTTACGGCAGCACCCTACTTCTGGTAGCAATTTACTATATTAGTCCGTTATCATGCTGCTGTGAAGAAATACCTGGGACTGGGTAATTTATAAAGGAAATGGGTTTAATTGACTCACAGTTCCACATGGCTAGGGAGGCCTCCGGGAACTTACAATCATGGCAGAAGGGAAAGCAAACACGTCCTTCTTCACATGGTGGCAGTAGAGAGAAGTGCTGAGCAAAAGAGGGACTAACCCCTTATAAAACCGTCAGATCTTGTGAGAACTCACTATCACAACAGCATGAGGGTAACTGTTCCCATGATTCAGTTACCTCCCAACTGGGTGCCTCCCACAACACGGGATTATTGGAACTACAAGATGAGATTTCGGTGGGGACACAACAAAACCATATCACCTGGACATCAAACTGCTGTCCTCCAAGTTTTCATACTTTCAGAGAAATTGGTCATGACTTTTCCTGACAAGATTACTTAATTTGCAAAGAGATCATTTATAATTACCATGAATCTTACTGCTTTTGTTTAATGAATATACCTGGGAGTGAGAGAGCTGTGCACTGTGTAAACTGGGGTCCAGCCACCTGTATGTGAAGGCCAGAGGCTTCCCTGCCAGCACCCAGCACCACTTTGTACACCACAAAGTTTTATTTGTCAAAAAATAGTCGTAACGTCACCGTTCAAGGGCGGTTGACTGCTGTTAGCTTTGGATATTGTTCCTTTGTGGCTAGTTACGTCTTTTCAGTATTTAAGAGTGTATTTTCACAGATCTTACATTTTAAAGAAAATTTTACATATTTGTGATTATACCATGATATCATTTTGCATTATTTTTTCCACTTGCATTGATGACATAACTTCTAAAAGTTCTTGTCAGAGATATAATGTCCCTTTTTGAAATGAAGAAAGGAACCGCAAGGTGCCCTCTCCTTCCCTGCCCTTCCTGATGCTGAGACAAGCCCTCAGTCCCTCTGCCTCCTCCTCAGCTCCACTCCTGAGCACAGACAAGCCCAGCCGTGGCCTGGAAGCGACACTGATGATTAGTATATCTGTGCTGAGTGCCGACTGGATGCTGTGCTGAGCCACTGTGGTGGGTGTCTTGATTCCTGTGACCACCTTGGGAGATCAACATCATGGGATCCACTGAAAAGTCTTGCTGGCTTGCATTAGTCCTGCTCACAGCACCATTTGTAGGTGACGGTCTTCAGGAGTTCTCCACAGTCGTTTTTGAATCTCAGATCCTGAGGAGACCACCTCAGTTCTCTGCTGCTCTCTCTCTCTCCTCCTTATTTTCTCTGCCCATCCCTCTGTACTGTGGTCAGTGTAATTGTTTTCAGTTCCATCTTCCAGTTCCCAAATCCTCTCTTCAACTGCCTAATCTCTGTTTAGCCTTCCTATTGAATCTTTAACTTCACTTACTGTATTTTCACTGTCGGACATTCCATATGGTTCTGTTTCCGACCTGCACTGTGCTCGTGTTCTGCTTCAGCCTTTGTTTCTCGACAGCTTCACAGATGGTTACTCAACGCTCTGCATTAGATTGTTCCCATGTCTGAGACTCTGCTCATTGTTGTCTCTGCTGATACCCACTCATGCTGGGCTTCTCCTTGGGTTTTTCATAGTGAACTCATATTCGAGTGGGCTCACTATCTGGAACTCCTGAGGGCCCCTGTTGGGCTGTTTTCTTTCTGGAAGGATTTGCATTAATATATGTGGCTTCCAGGAGTGTTGCACCTAGGACAACACTACTCCCCGAGGGCCATGGCTGAGCTGGATGGAGGATCTCAGGTTGAGGGGACAACCGTGCTGTGGCTGAGGCTCACTGCGGGCTACCCGGCCCTAGTGGCATTGGCATTTTCTAACTGCTTCCCCCTCTGTTCCTTCCTCGTCTCTTTTCAGGGATTTCCCTTTACTCTTTTTGGAGTAGCGGTATATTAAAAAGCATGTTTGGGTGGGGCATGGAGGCTCACACCTGTAATCCTAGCACTTTGAGAGGTCAAGGTGGGAGGATTGCTTGAGGCCAGGAATTCAAGACCAGCCTGGGCAACAGAATGAGACCCCATCTCTACAAAAAATACACAAAGTAGCTGAGCATGTTGGTGAACTCCTGGATCCCAGCTACTTAGGAGGCTGACATGGGAGGATTGCTCAAACCCAGGAGGATTGAGGCTGCAATGAGCCATCATTATGCCACTGTACTCTATCCTGGTGACAGAGCGAGACTGTCAAAAAAAAAAAGTATGTGTATCTCTCTACTGTCTTTAAAATAATTTTTTCCATAAATTTAAAGCTGTTTGAAAAGGTAAAGTTTACTTTTAAAACAGCTCTACACTTTACCTGCATCCGTGCACTGTCTTAGAGCCTCCCAGAGGCTCTGGTCTAGCCCTACGTGCCCGCAGCCTGTGCCCATCACAGGAGCAGCGATGGCCCATGCCCATATTCTTTGGCCTCTCAGTGGGCATCACACACTCCCTGGCCACCTTCTCCTTCAGTCTGTTTGGCCTCTGGGACACTCCTCTCTCCTGGTTCTCAAGTTTCAGCTAATTTGGGGGATGTAAATGCTGCGTGTATAGAGGTTTTCTAGAGCACTTTGTTCGGCCTGCCAGATTCTGAGAATTGAATTTTACTCATGAGCGTGACATGAAGTGAAACACCTCCTTCATATTTATGAAGTTTACATTTTATGATTTATCTTTCAGATCTTATTGACAGCATTTCTGATTTTGTGTATGGCCTTGTGGATTTTCTTCTCATAATCTCAAAGGTATAGATTGCCTGTGATATTATTTATTTATTTTAAGACGGAGTCTCACTCTCTCACCCAGGCTGGAGTGTAGTGGCACGATCTCGGCTCATTGCAACCTCTACCTCCCGGGTTCAAGCGATTCTCCTGCCTCAGCCTCCCGAGTAGCTGGGATTATAGGCATCTGCTTCCACGCTCGGCTAATTTTTATATTTTAGTAGAGACGAGGTCTCTTCATGTTGACCAGGCTGGTCTCGAACTCCTGACCTCAGGTGATCCACTCACCTCGGCTTCCCAAAGTGCTGGGATTACAGGTGTGAGCCACTGCGCCCAGCCTTCCTGTGATATTATTTAGATTGCGACATGATTGTGGATGATTTATTGCGGGCATGGAAGGAATGACAGCCTTCCAAAATGTGTATGTCAGCATCTGTGACGTGGCTGCCCCAGAGCCTCTGATAAAAACCAGTTCCTGCGGCTGAGGGCCAAGGGCCACATGGTGGCTTCAGGGGTGTGTGCTCTTTCCCCTTCCTGGCCAATGAGAGGACAGTGAAGAGATGGATGCAGGCTGCTGTGTGTTTTCACTACTGGGAAGTGGGTTGGGGGGCAGGACCCTCCGAAGCTGGCCCCAGGTGGTCTCACACAGTGCCTGTCAGGGGGCTTACTTTGGGTGCCAGAGGACAGACTCTGCGGGGGAGGAGGATGCGCATAGCTGGTGTAGGTCGCAGGGCCAGGGCTGGCAGTGGACCCCGGATGGCCAGGCTGCGTCGGGGCATGGTTGCCCTTGCCGGCAGGCTGGGAGGCAGGGCTGGGGCCCTGTGCCGAGGTTGGGGTGGTCAGACAGGATGTGCAGAATTCCAGTGGGTGTACCGCTCGTGTTAAAACCCATACAGTGTGTGTCCCGGAGGGCCACACGGTAGGGGCAGCAGCTGGAAGCCCTGGCTCCTTTTCCTTGGTCCCCTCCCCCTTGGGAGGTTCCTCTGGGCCTCACTTGTTTGGACTTTGGCGTGGGGGGGTCTTAAAGCCCCAGTGACCTCCACTTCTCGGGAGTGGCCAGGAGGTACCAGGTTGCCCATCACGGCAGCACCTTCTCGTTCGCTCCCCTGGCCCTGGCAGCCCTCGCCTTGGCAGAGAGGAGGACAGAAGTGGGTCCTTGCCAGGCCGTCTGGGAGGTCCCCGCAGGAAGGGGTTCCTGCCTAGATAGCAGCAGAGTGCCTGCCCAGGGATCAGATCAAACACGGGTTTGTCCAGCCTCTGGAGCTCCATTCTGCTCACCCCCTCTCACTTCCTGGCATCCGTGTCCCCTGGTGAGCCAGCCTCTTCTGATTCCTCTCCTTCCTGGGCTGAGTCCTGGGCTTGTCCCGTACCTGCCTGACGGCTCTGCGCCCTGGGCCCTTCCTGCCAGTGCAGTGCCAGGTCGCCCTGATCAGGGCTCCCGTTGGGGCCGCCGTGGCTTCCTGTTCTTTTCGGCTTCCTCCTGGCTCAGCTGACTGTCTCGAGTTCTCGGCCTCCTCCTGGTCACGCTGGCCTTCCGGTACCGCCTGCCACCCCTCCTTCATAACTTGACTTGTCTGTTCTTGTCCCTGGTGCCTTTAAGCCAGCCACCCTGCTCTCCTCCAGCCCCTTCCACTGTTCCAAGCCCCTTCCTCGGAGGCGTCTCCCCAACCCTCCTGCTGGTGGCCGCTCTTGCACTGCTTGGGTGGGCGGGCACCAGATCCGGGGCTTGGCTCTGGGCTTGACTCCTCTGCTGCCACCCTGAGTGGTCATTGCGCCTCTCTAGGCCCCGTTCCACTCCTGTGGGAGGGCAGTGATGCTGGAGAGCGTGAGGGGCGGCGAGTATGGCCCTGGGTGGCGTCATGGCACACAGGCACTGAGTGGACTGTTGGTGGCTGCCCCCGAGTGTGGTCCTGGGTGGCGTCACGGCACGTGGGCACTGAGTGGGCTGTTGGTGGCTGCCCCCAGTGTGTGTGTCACTTACAGGGCATGATGCTACTGAAGTTTGTGAAGTTGGTTTCATTGACGCTGTTACTAAGACTGTAATGTCAGACATGTTGGGATCTGTTCTTTTCACATGAAAAGGATGACTTCCTCTTGTTGGGTGTCACCTAGTTTGGGCGGAGTGGGAGCCGTGACTCTTGACTCATTGGGCCGTCTGGCTTTCCCGGGACACCTCCACCTGGAGAGTGCCTCTGAGAACCTCCCAGAGTCTGCCCCTTGTGTTCCTCAGATGGACTTTTCGTTTCCTGGAGTTTTGTCATGAGGCTTAATTAACTCATGTCTCTCTCTCTTTTCTTTCAGTCTGCAACTGTGTCTGATGGCGGTAAGTCACAATTTCTGATGTATATATTTTTTATTTTTCATAAAGTTTTCAAATTGTGAAAGTGTATTTGCCATTTGATGCCCTCAGGAAGGACGGGTTGTTTGCCTTTCCCTGTCTCCTTGTGGGCGGGTTCTAGGTGAGTTAATTCTGGGGGCGCTTTCTGTGACACCCAGGTGGCCTCGGCGTGTGTTTTGGAAGCTGTTTGTTAAGAGAACTGCCATGGCCCTGAACACCAGTGTGATAGAGCGCTGTGTGTCTGAGGAGTGCACCCACCCGCCTGCCTGTGTCTGACAAGTTAAAACGTGTTTTTGCTCTTCCCTTGTTGTATAACCAGCTTTTAAACCAGCAAGTTAAGATTTCAAAGTGCTTTCTGAATTTGAGCAATTCAGGAAATTTGGGTGAGACCCAGAATTTTCTCAAGAAAAGTATAATAGACGAATTGAGAGTGTGGGATGAAGAGGAATCAAAAACTTACTTTCTGTGTTTAAAGAATTTTGTGCACAGGGATTCTTTTCATGGACTGATTGAAAAGGAAGTAGGCAGGAATGTCTTATTTCACTGAAGATTTCTCTGATGTCATCCTTATCATTTTGGTTCAATGATTTAAAAAAACCTCTCCAAAGTAAGGAGAGTTCCTCCGAAATATTCCTCTTTTCTTCTAACACTCCTGACAGTCCGCAGGCTCTCGGGTTTCATCGTCACCTCACGCTTTTGTCCCCACTTCTGTCCCTGAGAGCTGGAATAGGTGCACCTGGCATCGCTGTGGGCCAGGGATGGGCTGAGGCACAGGCTGTGCTGCAGAAGCTGCCCAGGGGCCGGTGGGTTTGAGGTGCCACTGTATTTGTGCGTTAAAGAGAAACCAAATGTCGTTCTCTCACTTTCTGT
This sequence comes from Homo sapiens, assembly GCF_000001405.40. Classification (NCBI taxonomy): domain Eukaryota; kingdom Metazoa; phylum Chordata; class Mammalia; order Primates; family Hominidae; genus Homo; species Homo sapiens. Next base: position 3,387,323 of record NC_000004.12, read on the forward strand.
GGTCCTGCAGCTGCTGGCCTCAGTCCTCGGCCTCGGAAAGGGCTGCTGTCCCCAGGTAGGCAGACAGAGCTCAGAGCCCTCGCAGGCCAGCCACTCTGTAGGAAGGCCAGGAGGACCCCAGGTGGGCAGACAGAGCTCAGAGCCCTTGTGGGCCAGCGGCTCTGTAGGAGGAGGAGCATATCTTGGGTTACACACGCACTGGCACCTGAAGCCGAGACCAGAGGGATCCCGACACTCGTGTGGTGGAGATGTATTTTGTAGAATAAAAGGAATTCTATTTCCTATTTTATGTACAATGAAAATCATGTCATTTAATCAGTCTTAAGGTGGAGGGAGGATAAACTTCCTTAATGAAAAGAAACAGGACCCGGAACCAAATCCAGGATAAAGTGACCGGTGTTTTGAATGATCTGTTCATGCTTTCTCTTTCTGCCGTGTTCTCACTTCTCCTTTCTGGCAGAAGACATTCATTTCTTGCAGGCAATTTATACATGAAAGATTTGCCTAATATGTTTAGTTTCACCATATATAATAAGTTTTATTTGCCTCCAAAAGATTGCTTCTGTCAGCAATAGATGCAGGAACCCAGAGTTGTGTTATGTGTCCATTTTACAGTTGTTTAAAAACCTGCACCTCCCAAGGGTGGGAAGTCTCTAGCTCCTCGCCGTGCTGGCTCTGTGTGTCCCTCTGAGGAAGTGTGTCCTGGCTCCTCGCCACGCTGGCTCTGTGTGTCCCTCTGAGGAAGTGTATCCTGGCCACGCAGAGATCCCCTGGTGCTAGGGCTTTCCACCCCCTGCTCCTCCTTCTTTTCCCAGTGTCAGACCCTGGGGCCACTGGGACAGGCCCGTCCCTCCATGGAGAGCCCCAGTCACAGAGGAGGAGACGGGAGGGAGGAGGAGACGGGAGGGAGGAGGAGACGGGAGGGAGGAGGAGACGGGAGGGAGGAGACAGTCATCAGCACACCCTGAATTTCAGGAACCGCAGTGGGCGGGCTGGATGTTTATTTAGTTCCTTTTTGTGTTTTTGTTATTTTTCCATCTTCAGTTTCTTTGCTTATAAGAGTAAAAAGAGCCAGTTATCTTGTTTAATGTGCACATGAGCTCTAGATCGGTGTCACATTCTGCCGTTGTTAGATGTAGGGCACCGAGGCAGAGTGGGGAGATCCAGCAGCTCACAGTAGTCTGCAGGTGAGATGGCCAGACTCAGGCCTGCAGGGGAAAGCCCTGGCTGAGAGGCCCCTCCACCCTGGCTCCCACCCACCCCCCAGCCCTGGGCCTCCACACGCCCAGCCCCATGGTCCTGGAGAGTCCCCCGCTCCAGCCCTGGACCCTCCAGCGCCTGCAGCCCCTGCTGCCCCTTCTGGTGCCTCAGGCAGAAAGAGGCCCCCTCCCCCACACCCTGCCCTCCACGGCAGTGACAGGAGCCTGGGCGGGGTCGGGGTGGGGGGGTGGTCCCAGGGAAACTCTGGCTGTGTTTCCACACAGAGATCTTTTTATAGGCTGTGGTCAGTGGGAGACTCAGTGCACTGAGGTGGGCCTGGGAACTCCAGCACCCCAGTGTTTTTATGGGAAAAATGCTCCCCGAGTTCCAAGGAGGGACTGAGGAGTTGGCTTGGGGAGCAATCTGCTCAGCTGGGCTGTCTCTGCCTGGTCATCCTGTCTAGTTTTGGTGATTAATAGATCACTCACTTAGAAATATTTTGTGTTCAACGAGCCGTGCCAGTGAGAGAGTTCGTGTTCATGCCACGGTTTCATTCTGTGACGCGTATCGTGCTTTTATAGCTTAGGCTCTCGCTGGAGAGTTTTAGTTTTGTGGCTCGGTTTTAAGGAAGTTGGACTATGCTATTTTGGCAATCTTTGTCAAGTTGGAGTGTGTTTTTTCACTTTTTCAGAAGAAAGGGGCTGATAATGGCCACCCGTTTGTAGCCAAAGAGTGCCCTCGGGAAAAAGGGTTACAGCTGGTCTCTGGGGGGCACGGCAGGGCTGTGGGTGGGGGCAGGGAGCAGATTCCAGCTGGAGAGAAGGAAGCACATTCTAGCATTATAGAGAGGCTTAGCAGGGGAATGGTCTGCCTTGTGGGAAGTTATTCAGACAGAAGTGTGAGGTCGAGCTGGAGGGAGATGGGGCGTTGTGAAGAAATGAGAAAAGGAAGATGCCCGGTTGCTCCTGGAAAAAGGAACCTCTCACCTCTCCTGGTCTGGCTCTGCACAGAGCTGGAGCCGCGGCCGCACAGAAGCCCGTTCTTGTGGCTTCCTCCGTTGGTCAAGCTCTGTGCCAAGAGGCCTGCCAGAATCCCCTCACCCACTGCAGCCTCCACAGGTGGATGTTCCCGCTGTGACCACCTCACCTTCTGAAGTCGGGGTGTGGAGACTATCGGGGAGCTCCCAGAGCGCCCACCTCCTCCTGCGTACGGCGTCTGTGCCAGCAGGAAAGCCGGGGAACTGTGCGGCTCTGGCTTTGGGGGACGGTGGCAGGTCCACATGACACCCCACATACATGACCCCGGTGCTCCAGCTGCTTCTCAAACACTCCGTTCTCGCAGCCTCACCCTGGGGACCCCCGACACGTACTAGTCGCAGTCCTCCATCCCCATGTCCTCCTCATGCCTTGTGCCTCAGCTCTGCCCTGACCCCACTCTGTCCACTCAGCTGCCCCCCTACTCGTCCTCCATGCAGACCTCAGTCTTGGCCCTGTCTCTGCAGCCATCCTCCCGCTCCCTTCTCCTGAACGCTGGTGGTTGCCCCCACAGCAGCAGCAGTGATCTGCCCAGCCCCTGCACTGGACCCCTCCACCAGCTCAGAGCCCCTGTTCCCCCAACCATCCTGCGTCCCACCCTGGTCTCCAATGGTGCCTCAGGCACATGCGGTTTCCCTCTTCCCTTCCTGACCACCTGCCCCCATCCTGAGCGATGGCCACTGTCAATTTCCTGCCCGTGCTAGGGGCAGCTTCCATCATTTTAATTATTCATCTGTGTTGGTGCTTTTGTCCCCCCAGCTGGTGTGACCTCCACGTGGCAGGTCAGAGTTGTCCCGGCACCCGGCACAGCGGCTGGCACGAGAGCTGTCTGTTGAGTGAATGATCGGGTGTTCAGCAGACATCAGCCAGAGCGTCAGGGCGAGGCTTGGGCGGGGACAGTGGCTTTCAGTGATTTTCCTTTTAGTCGTGAAACCTTCTCAAAAAGCACACACAAGCACAGAAGCAGAAACTCCTGTGTGACTGGTGTTGCGGGGTGGACCCACTGCCGCCGCCTCCTCCTGGGCTGCTCTGCGCGCCTGCCAGGCTCTTCCAGTGCCTTCACCCAACACGCGGGCCTTTGGAGCTCAGACCTGGCCATGGCGGAAGATTCGGGCTCCACCTGCAGCTCCACAGCTGACAGGCCGATCTCTTGGGGCAAGTCACTTTCTCTCTCCTAGCCTTGTGTCTTCATCTCGCCGGTCCTTGTTAGCGAACAGGCACTGAGGCCTGGGGAGCTGTCACAAACGGCTGCCTGATGGGGGAGGGTTACCGTAATTGCCGGATTAACTTGGGGGACTTTAAACTGCATTCCTCTTTAAAATATAAAGTATAATTGTTGATATTTTTGGCAAATGCCAAAATTTGTATTCTATACAATTTTGAAAGAGAAAGGGAAAAGCTTGAGAGTAGAACCATCAGTACTTACATAGAATTAGTTGATAAATTTACATTTTCCTCATCAGAAAAACAGTGCAGCCTAATTGCACATTTTCCAAAAATGTTTGCTAAATAGCAGAAACAGAATGTTAATTTGTAATGCGCTATTGTGGGAGTGGTTGTTTTAACCAGAACCCTTTACTTGATTTAATATGTCACATTCTTTTGGTTTGCTTTTGGACTTCAAAATGATGCTCAGAATCACACAGTGTATTTGTAGGGTGTGGAATACCGTATTAGTATTTGTAAACAGGAGTCAGACTGGAGATTTTCAGTTTTGGAAGTGTGGAGACTTGATTTCTGCCAGGATGCCTTCCGATGTACTTGTTTCTTTCCAATTCTACAAGATATTTGGAGAGTTTTTATTACTAGTTTTTAATATTGTGAAATTATTTTTTCAAGCAAACAAATTCAAAGGTAATAAAACCACTAACTGCATACCTATCTTCCAGAGTTAACGTGTGCTAGCCAGGGGGCCTGTGCCTGAGAATTGACTCAGGGCTGGGGTGACCACAGAAGCCCTTGGTGCCCCTGCGGCTGCATCCCCTCCCCAGAGGCCACACTTGGAAGCAGGCGCCACCCCTTCCCACTCCAAGGGAGTTTCTTAGTTAGATTCTTGGGGAAAAGATAAAACAAACGAAGAACTCCTCTCATGCAACCCTAGGCGTGAGAAGCAGTGTCCGCCCTGTTTGGTGGTCTGGAGGCCATGTCAGAGAGGGCTGCCTGGCGTGTTTGGGGGCCTCGTCAGAGAGGGCTGCCTGGGGTGTTTGGGGGCCTCACCAGAGAGGGCTGCCTGGGGTGTTTGGGGGCGTCAGAGAGGGCTGCCTGGGTGCTCCAGGGAAGCTCCTCCTGCTCAGCTTCTCGGTCTGGGAGGATGTTCACCTGCAAAACTCCACCAAGCCATATGCTCATAATCTGTGCACTTTTCTGTATATCTTAATAGTTTACTAAAATAATTAATATTTTAAATTTCTGGAACTTTTAACCTAAGGACTTTCAAAATGGTCTGAAAATGTTAATAGATTTGCTCTCAGGAGAGTATGTATGAAGTTTGCAGAAAGAAAGCATTATGTAGATTGGATTGAAAATCAGATTGGCCAAAATGATTTAAGGAAAAGGTCTAGAAGTAGATCCTGAGTGTGGGGAGAGCTCAAGGGCTTTTCTCAGGGACAGGACCTGTGCAGTTTTATGCAGTTGAGGAAGATCCTTCCCCTACCCCCAGGCTAGATAGACTGTGGGAAGAGATCCCCTCTGGGCATACCACCTAACAGAAAGCTTTTAAGACTTTCTCCTTATTGTCGGTTTTCAGCAATTTGATTATGATGAGTCTCAGGTTGGTTTTTCTGTGTCTGTTGTGTTTGGGATTTGTTGGGGTTCAGGTATTTTTTTCATTGTTTCCCACTTTTGAGACTCTAATTATGCAAGCATGTTAGGCCACCTGGTTTTCCCTTCAGCTCATGGAGGCCGTTTCATGTTCAGGCTTCTGTGTCGCCTGCATGCTTGCCATTTCATTGTTTCTCTTGCTCTATCCTGCAGTTCACTGATCTGTCATTTTAGTGTCAGATATACAGCTCATTCCCTCCTGTGAGGGAATTCCTGCCGATCAGCCTGTCATCTCAGAGACTGTGTTTTCATCTTTAGCAGTTCCTTCTATTTTTTTCATTTCTTTCTACTGATTCTCTTCACGCTTTGCTTTAAAACCCCAAAAATGTTGGCTGGGTGCAGTGGTTCATGCCTGTAATCCCAGCACTTTGGGAGGCTGAGGTGGGCGGATCAGCTGAGGTCAGGAGTTCAAGACCACCCCGGCCAACATGGTGAAACCCCGTGTCTAATAAAAATATAAAAATAGCTGGGCATGGTGGCAGATGCCTGTAATCCCAGCTACTCGGGAGGCTGAGGCAGGAGAATCTCTTGAACTCAGGAGGCAGAGGTTGTAGTGAGCTGAGATGGTGCCACTGCACTCCAGCCTGGGGGCAGAGTGAGACTGTCTCAAAACAAAAACAAAAAACCCCAAAATGTTTGTATATTTATAAGACATGTAAAGCCCTTAGATGCCAGTGCTATCATCTCTGTCTTTCTGGGTCCCTTTATTGACTGACTTTTCTCCTGGTTATGGGTTACATTTTTCTGAGTATTCATTTGTCTGGCAGTTCTTGACTGAGTGCTGAATTTTGTTGCCTTCCTTTAAAAAATACAGAGGTTTGTAAAGCTACATTTGGGGACTCCTCTAAAAGCTGGGGATTCACCCAGAACTGGCTGGAACTCGGGAACCCCCTGACCCTGTGTGAGTTCTGGCAGCTGTTCCCGCCGCAGCCCCCGGCTGATCTTTGCCTGCCTCGTGGGGTCTCGGCTGTGCATGCACAGCTTAGAACTCAGCCACAGGTGGAGGCTCCTGTGAGGTCCCTGGGCACTTTCCCTGCTAGGTCTCTCCTGCACCTGCAGCTCCAGCCACCCTGGCCTTCCCCGATTCTGACCTGTCTCCTCAGCTCTGGACGGTGGTTCTACCTGGGCCCCACCTTGTGCTGTGGTTCATGGAGTGCCTCTGGGCTGACAGCTCTGGGTGGTCACAGGGCTCACCTTATTAATTTTTTCATCAGGAATTACACCCCTTCTGGTGACTGTGGTCCAATTTTGGGAACTGTTGCTTCGCATATTTTGCTTTTCTTTTTTCTGTCTTTTCCCGCAGGTTCTGATGCTCTGCGTATTTTGTCTACTATTCTACTGTCTGGCAGGAGGGGAAGGCCTGTCCCAGGTGCTCTCCCACGGCAGATAGAGTTCTGTGATATAATTTTTTTCACCTTACTTGTGGGATGTGGTCTGTAAAGTTCAGAACAAAACTCAGGTCATGACGGCACCTTGTACAAAGAGCTTCACTGATTTCCCAAAAGCTGCCTCACAACCCAGAAAGAGCAGGTTCTCCTCTCCCCAGGCCCGTCCCTGGAGCATCTGAGGCCAGCACCATGCTGGGTCTATGGGGAAATGGCTGGAATTTGGGGAGGAAGCTGCCCAGCCCAGGTTGGACTTGGCCTGGCTGGCTCCCTAGGTGAAGTGCAGAGACCAAGCCTCTGCCCGGCCCTCAGAGCACCTGCGACTGACCCTTCCTGCCGGCATCTCTCTGAACGTGGTGCCCTTCCACGGCATTTCATCCGTCTGCTCCTTCAGCACATCTTTTTTTTTTTTCTTTTTTGAGACAGAGTCTCGCTCTGTCACCCAGGCTAGAGTACAGTGGTGCAATCTTGACTCACTACAACCTCTGCCTCTTGGGTTCAAGTGATTCTTGTGCCTCAGTCTCTCAAGTAGCTGGTATTGCAGATGTACACCACCACGCCTGGCTAATTTTTGTATTTTTAGTAGAGATGGTGTTTCACCATGTTGCCCAGGCTGGTCTCGAACTCCTGACCTCAGGTGATAGACCCACCTTGGCCTCCCAAAGTGGTGGGATTACAGGCGTGAGCTACCATGCTCAGCCGAATATGTGAAATGTAAATAACAAATCTAGAAAGGAATGTAGGTAACAAATATCTAATGAGAATACTCTATTAGGAATTGCATTTTATATTAAATGATACTGATGTAGAAAGGTGGCTCTATTCTGCTCACATTTCGTGACACTATTTAAACACTTCAGATGCATTTTTGTTGCAATTGTTTTTCAAGTAATGAAAACTTTTTATTGAAGAATAGCTTACACGCTGAAAGGTACATACATGATCAATAAGCAATTTGAGAGATTTTCACAGAATGAACACATGTGTGTTATCAGCACTCAGACCAAGAGACAGAACATTACCAGCAGCCCAAGCGCCCCTGCAGGCCCTCAGTCACCAGCTCCGGAAGGGACCTCTCACCCGACGGCTGTTGCCTGTTTTCAAACTTAAAAAAAAAAGAAGACTGACTGGGCACAGTGGTTCACATCTGTAATCCCAGCACTTTGGGAGGCCGAGACAGGTGGATTCCTTGAGGCCAAGAGTTCAAGACCAGCCTGGCCAATATGGCAAAACCCCGTCTCTACCAAAAATACAAAAAAACAAAACAAAACAAAAAAAAACATTAGCTGGATGTGGTGGCGCATGCCTGTAATCCCAGCTACTAGGGTAGCTGAGGCAGGAGAATCTCTTGAACCTGGGAGGTGAAGGTTATAGTAGGCAGAGGTTGCAGTGAGCAGAGTTTGCGCCACTGCACTCCAGCCTGGGTAACAGAGTGAGAGTCCATCTAAAAAAAAAAAAAAAGACTCAACGCAGCGTATGCTGTTTAGTGTCTAGCTTCCTTTATTTAACATAGGATGGTGCATTTTGCTCCTGTGAGTCTATCAGGAGCTGTTTACTCTCCTAGCTGTGGACTGTCCATGGTGCAAATATGGCATCGTTCCTCCATTCTTCTCTTGATGACATCGTGTTGGTTCTGACTTTTGGCCGTTACAGATGGTGCCATATAACATGCTTGTACAGGTCTTTTGGGTGGGCATCTGCATACATTTCTGCTCTGATAGGCTGGGGGTTTGTATATATTCACCTATAGTAAATACTGCCAATTTCCAAATGATTTTTACAGTGTCCACATTGACTAGCAGTATATAAGAATTCTAGGTGTTCAACATCCTCTCAACACTTTCCCTGTAGCCACATACATAGGGCTTTAATTGTATTAATAGTTTTAGTTCTCAGTCCCCTGATGACTATGAATTGATCACCTTTTCATATATTTTTGGCCCTTTGAATATCTTATTTTGTGAAGTGCTTGTTCAAGACTTTTGCTTATTTTTCTGTTAGGTTATCTGCCTTTCCTTATTGATTTATAGAATATTTTAAAAATATATTCTGGAAATGATTTTATGGTGGATTTACGTATAGTTTTCCCTTAGTGTCTCTAGGGAATTGGTTCCAAGACCCCTTGAGGATACCAAAATCTGCAGATACTTGAGTCCCTGATATAAAATGGTGTAGCGTTTGCATATAACCTACCCATACCTTCCTGGGTACTTTAAATCATTTCTAGATTACTGATAACAGCTAATACAATGTAAATGGTATGTAAACAGTTGTTATACTATATTGTTTTTATTTGTATTTTTTGTTGTATTGTTATTTTTTTTCCATTAATTTTTTTTCCAAATATTTTCCCAAATATTTTCCATCCACAGTTGGTTGAATCTGTGGATGCAGAACTGTGGGTGCGGAGGGCTGGCTGTATTAGATATACCTTGTGTTTTGGATTTATGTGTTTGTGATAGATTTATGTATGTAGTTAAGCCTTTCTATACCTTACCTGTTCATTCTCTTAGTGGTATCTTGTGATGACTGAAAGTTCTTAATATAATCCAGTTTATCATTTTTCCCCTTAGGGTAATGCTTATGTCCCTTTAGAGCAGGCTTTGCCCTTCCCAAGACCATGAAAGTAAATCTGTTTTGTTTTATCTTCAATATTTAAATCTCTGATTCATCTGGAATTGGTATTTTTGTCTATGGTGTGAGGTAGGGGTAAGATTCATTTTTTCTACATGGTATTCAGTTGTCCCAGCTCCATGTAATGAAAAGACAATCCTTCCCAATAACTTGAAGCAACACCTGTATCAGGTAATCATATATTTGTGGGTCTGTTTCTGGCCTCTGTATTCTGTTCCATTGGTCTGTTTGTCTATCATTGGATCAGGACTTCATGTCGTAATTCTCGTCCCTGGCATTTGGATATCTAGTGCTATAGTCTTCATTTTGCTTGTCTTTAAGATTGCCTTGGTTATTCCTGGCCCTTGCATTTCCTTATATATTTTGGAGGCAATTTTCAAGTCACTGGCAGCTTTCCAGAGTCATCTTCACTTTTGTCCAAGCTGGTTGAGACATAGCATTTCTGGAATCTGTGTTGATGCTTTTCCTGGAAATGTTATCACAAGCCACATGCAGCCATTGACATTTGGACAATTGGGGTTTTTTTTTTTTAATTGCTGTAATTATACATATGTGATCTTCAATATGTAGTTACTCATTCTTGCTCTCAAAGTCTTGAGACCATTCCTCCCAGGAATAAATACTAAATCTGGCTTGGTTTGCCTTTTAAAAAACCATCTCTTCTGGATGAATGACCTCTATAAGTATCTAACACCAGCATTAATGGAGATGATTTCAGGCTAATGCATCACCCTCAAATAGACTCTTGCTCGAAAGAAGGTGAGGGAGCAGCCTGGGACACACAAGACCTTGCAAGGACTTGAGAAAAAAGGGACTGGTTGCATCAGAGAAGCCAGTGGGAAGCCCCTGTGTGCCTCTGGGTGCCGAGGTGGGCTGTGGTGGGATGCCACACTGGCTGCGATAGAAGAAGAAGGAGCTGTGCAAGTGCGTGGCCGGGCCAGAGCCCACCCTGTGGTCAGGATGGCCGAGCAGAGCTGAGACCTGACAGATGGGTGAGGATTAACCCTCATATGAGTTTGGGAAGACAGGAAGAACCAGGAAAAAGCTGAGATGGCAGCCAGGGGGTCGCGAGGAACCCAAGAGAGAGTAGTCGTGTGTGCACATGTCCATGGGAGGAGCAGTGGAACGACGTGAGAGGGGTCCCAAGACTAACCTCAGGGTTTTGCCTCAGGCAGCTCGGAGGATGAGGGTGTTTGCAGAGATGGGGAAGACTAGGGTGGGAGGAGCAGATAGGGGGGTGATAACCAAGAATTCTGCTTTGGACATGGGATTTTTGAGATGTTTATTCAAAATCTACTGGAGATATTGTGTAGACAGTTGGATAAATGAGTACAGAATGCAGAAAAGTGGTTGGGCTTGAAAATAGAAATTTGGGAGTCATCAGCGTTTCAATGAAACTCATTGGCTTGGTAAACTTGAGTAATTATAGATCATGCAGAAAAGGCGAGTCTCAAACCCATAAGACACATGGGAAACCAGAAGATGCTGAAGATGTGGTTTGAGAGGCAATAGGACATAGAACAATTAAGAGTATGGCCTCTGGAGCCAAATTATTTAGGTTTACATCCTAATTCTGCTACTTCCTAGCTGTGGGTCTCATTTCTCTCATCTGTAAAATGGAATAATAGTAGGACCCATTACTTACAGACTTCTTACAGGAAGTAAATGATTTAATATATGTGAAGTACATCGGACAATACCTGGTACATTATAAGGAGTTATATAAATGATAACTGCCATTATTTGTAATGGCATTTTAATTGCATTTTCAATATAATTGACCACTGGAAGTGAATAAAATTATTTAGAGGGACTGGGTAGAGAAAATAAGCCAGGAGGTCCTGAAGAAGCTTACAAGATCAACAAGAGAAAGAGCATCAGAGGAGAAAAACTCTCCACTTTGATTGTTAAAAACCCAATTTTAAAATAAGCGATGTTGAACCAGGCACGGTGGTGCACACCTATAATCCTAGCTGTGGATTATAGGGAATGCTTGGGAAGCTGAGGCAGGAGGCTCACTTGAGGCCAAAAGTTTGAGACCAGCCTGGGCAATATAGTTTGACTCCTTCTGAAAACAAACAAACAAACAACAATAAGTGACAAAAGTTTGAAAACAACTAAATGAGAGGATATAACAAGCAATATTAAGAAAAAAGAGAAGTGGCATAACAATATTAATATCAGACAAAGTGAAAAAGCAATAAAAAGAACAAAAAAGACAGTGTGCACCAAAAGTAGCATGAGATTTGCAGAACAGAAGTAAATGGCACGGTATCAACATGGGTAAGTACTCCGAGGGGGAATTATTACACACCTTTTTCAGAAACCAAGAGATCAAGCTGAAAAAAAAAAATAGTAAGATTACAAAGTATGTGAATGGAAAAATGAGCAAATTAAATCTAACAGACACATAGAGAGCTTTGTACCAAATGGAAAATACACTTTTTTTCTAAAGTACGTGGAACATTTACTAAAGTTGTGGCATACAATATGCCACACATGCAGTTGCTACAAATTTAAAAAAATTATAGCATACAGAGAATAGCTCCTGACAGCAGTGTATTTGAATAGAAGTCGATCATAAAATGATAACAAAAAAGAATTCATACATTTTAAAGTTTAAAACCATACTTCTAAATAATCCATGGGTCAAGGAAGAAATTAAAATGGGAGTTATCATACAGTTTAGAACCATTTATGGTTCTATACTACACATCATCACCAGTAGAATATAATCAAAGTGATTTTCAGTGAAAAAATTGTAGCATTAAATGTATATATTAGAAAAAAGTTTGAAAATATAGGAAATAAGTTTTCAACAGAAGCAAGTACGGAAAAAAGGAAATGCAAATTAAGGAAATGAAGATAAATGCAGAAATTATCAAAATAGAAAAAACCAAACAGTATACAACTAAAAGTATGAACAAAAGTATAATCAAGAAAAAGAGGGAGGCCAGGCACAGTGGCTTATGCCTGTAATCTCAGCACTTTGGGAGGCTGATGCAGGAGGATCACTTGGGCCCAGGAATTTGAGACCAGCCTGGACAAAACACCATCTCTACAAAAAAAGAAAAAGAGGAAGAGGACAAAGATAACATCAAGAATGAAAGACAGGTCCTAAGTACAGTTAGAGACTAAGAAGTAACACTATAGGACAATTCCATTAACAACTTTATACTGTACATTTGATTAACCGGACAATCTTTAGGAAAATATAAATGATCAAAGTTGGCCTAAGAAGAAGTAGAAACTGATTAGATAAATCAACATAGGCAAAAATGATTTGGAAGTCAAAGATCAAAACCCCCATAGGCACCATGCCCAAACCAATATACAGATGAGTATATCAGTCAGCTTAGGCTAAGTAATATTGCAATAACAAATAACACCAAAAATCCTGGTGGGTTTAACAAAGCAGATGTTCATTTCTTACACTACATTACATGCCTACTGCAGTTTGGCTTTGTTTTTGTTCTAAGTGTTTTCCTCCAGGAGCCAGGCTATTGGAGCGCTTCCTAAATGGGGCACTGCAGGCCTTGTGGCCGAGGGAAAAGACGGCAGGGCAGAATCAGGTCATGGCTCTCAGCCATACTGTTTCACATTCATTGGCCAAAGCATAACACATGGTTTGCCTGACGTCAGTACACAGGGCTTGAATGATCTTCCACAAGGGGGGGCAACAAACATTTCCAACTTAATATTGTCTTTACACAGGGCATAGAAGATGGGAAGCTTCTCACCTCAGTTTGCAAGACTGGCATATTCCTGATACCAATATTGGAGAAAGATGGCACAGGAAAATTGAATTATTGGCCAGTTTCACTTATGAGTAAATATAGAAGTTTGTAAATAAAATAATTAGCAAATCAAATCCAGTAGCATTTTTTAATGCATCCTTGTGAAGTTTGGTTTACACAAGAAATGCAAAGATAGTTCACCCTTAGGGAATTTTCCATTCATCCCACCATTCATTCAACAGTGATTTTTGTGGGGCTCTCACTTTTCTTCAAAAAACTCTTCTAGGAACTAGGGATACATTGGTGAACAAAACAACGGATTGTGTTACATTAATAGATTAAAGGACGAAAATCATATTATTACCACACTGGAGGCCAAAGGAGCATCTAATAGAATTACTGATAAAAAGCACTCATTCCTTTTTTAAAAAGTTATACTTAATAGAATACATGAATGTACTCTATTAATTATTATATATTATATATTCTATTAGTAATAGTATTAGTTTTAGTAATACTAACTACTAGCTAGTATTACTATTAGAATTAGTATTAGTATTAGTAATACTAATTGCTTATTAGTATTAGTAATACTCATTAGTAATACTCATTAGTATTAATAATTAGTAATAGAATATATATGATAATGAATAGAAAAAGCACTCATTCCTTTTTTACAAAGTTATACTTAATAGAATACATATAATAATAATTATACTATTAGTAATAGTATATATATTAGAAAAATTCCTATTAGAGCCAGGAATAGGCAAGGATGTTCTCTATCTCAGCAACTGTTTTAACATTGTATTGAGATTCTGGCCAGCACTACATGGCAAGAAAAAAATATTAAACTTGGGAAGAAAAAAGATAATCATCATTTACAAATAATATTATTATCTAACTATTATACAAAACCGAAAGCATAGCCCATGGCCAGGTCCAACTTTTAAACCTGGCAGAGTTCAGTGAGATCAACCCTGGCGGCTTTCCTAAGCAAAACACATGATTTCCATGGGAGCATATGTATGTTGGTAAAAATGCTTTAAAAATTCGACAGACCAACACCAAATTAATAAGATGGATTATCTTTGGGGAGGGGGTATAGGACCAGAATTTTAGGTGATAAGCCCAATAGGGATTTTAGATTTATATTTACATTTTTTCAAGGAAGAAAATATTTTATGAATTATGCATTATAATGTCAGTTTATATCCCTTTCAGCCTGTAGTCTCTCATTAGCTGTTACTTGGGACAAGCAATCCACTTAGTCAGACGATGTTATTGGATGCCTAGGATGTGCCTCGCACTGTTTGTCACAGTGTTCCTTTCATGTCAGCATAGACGCATAGTTATTATCCCAGCTTTATAGGAAAGTTAAGTAACTCGTAAGTTACTTGGTGAGGAGGGGAGTTCTCACGCTGTCCCTGTGAAGTCCGAGCACGGTTTTTACTGCGGTTTTACAGCGGGGGGAGTGTCTTGCCCAGTGAGGAAGGAGCGGAGCTCTGAGTCAGATCCAAACAGTGTGACTCTGGAACCACGCCGTGAACCGGCACACTGTGGACTAGGTAACACCAGGCTGAGGATCCACCTCCTAGAATACAGCTTGCCATAGAGCAGACATCCCGTCAGCACCTGTGAATCGTGAGAAGGAGGCGGTGGCCTCATTTACCGCATGCTCACCTTAAACTTGCCCACCCGGTTTTAGGAAGAGAATGGGCAGAATGGCTGGGTTCCCCATGGAGGAGAGCCCTGCCTTAGCCTCGTCTCTTGCTGCGTAAAAGTCCAGGGCTTTGCAGAGCCTCTCCACAGTCAGCAAGGAGAAGCAGTCTCCAGAGGTGGCCCCCTGAGCCCCAGCTCCACCCCTGGGAAGGGGCCAGACCACAGGCAGCAGGCCCTGGAGCCCGTGAGCGCTGCCTACCTCCCTGGGCCAGTGGACATGGGACCAGCATGGTGACCAGATTTTTGGAAGCCCGGTTTAGGACAAATGACTTTTTAAGTTTGATTGTTTGATATCAGAAGTTATATAAAAGGTACAAACATTGCATTATGCTTAGTTTTACATCTAACATATTATATTTATTATTAAAATTATGTGAAGTCATCACAGTCCCAGCAAATACCATTTATATGGCCACCATGGCTGAGAGCATCCACCATCTGCCCCTGATGTGTAGAGTAGGCCTTTTTTCCGTGTCTTGTGTTACCTCTTTTTGGCTTATGGGGTGGCCTCTAAATGTCACAAATCCTTTATGCTTTTACACACTCAGGCCCTTCCTCCTTCCCTGAAGCCTGGTCCTCTGGCCTCAGTCCTGCTGGGTAGGGTGCCCTTTCGTCCTCTCTATCCCTGGACTCTTTCAGTGGAAGCACAGGTCCCCAGGACTGTGTCTTCAGTTTTCTGTGTGGGTGGCCCCACCTTGGCTTGAGGGAAGGGTTTAGGACCACTTTTGAGTCTTCCTCATGAGGTCAGCATTTGGGGCCCCTGGGCTTCTGCATTGGGTGGCGTCCTCTGCGTTGGGTGGCGTCCTCTGCGTTGGGTGGTGTCCTCTGGTGGGGCCAAGCCACAACCAGAAGGTCTGAACTTCCTGTGTGGCCACTGGCACAAGAATAGAAGAAGAATGTCTTTACAAAGTATAAATATTTTATTCATCAAAATGAAGTAAGTCAGTTTCACAAAGGAATTAACCACTAAATGAGTAATGTGAAGTTTTTTCAGCTCAAGTAAGCATAATAAATGAAGTCAGTTAGGGTTGATCTTTGAAAAATGTTCTGTGTCTTTTCTTGGAGCATCCTGAGGGCTCCCTGTGGTCAGATGTGACCTCACCAACTACTTATGGTCATAGTTGGTAGCTCTAAGCCTAGAATCCTAAAAATTCAGAGTGACAAGTGACATAATTCACTCGTCTTTGCACATCGCCTAACACTTCCCACACTGACCTTCGCAGGAGCCGCTCTGCTCACTCGCATGGCCTCATGGGCTCTGGCAGCATTTCACCCCCGCCTGTTGGCATTTCACTCTCCAGAAGGACTTGGTGTCACTTCAGACGTAGAGAGTTTGTTTTGCTGGGCTCTGCCAGAATAGTTATAAATCACACGTTTCTAGTACTGACTCCAGGAAAGACCCAGAATTCAGATTTCTCCTGTTTGGGCCCACATTTCTTCTGGCCCTCTGAGGTAACGGGAAGTACACTATATCTCGAGGGGTCCGTGAGACCTGCCAGGCGTGGCAGCTCCTCTGCAGGGCTGTGAGGTCTGGCTGTGGGGGCCAGACTCACGGTCAGCCCAGAAAGTGCTGCTGGGGATACCGGGACCTCACCATGGAGAATGTGGAGTCTGGGCCCAGCATAGTCACTGATGTCAGCCCAGGCAGGTCATGGAATGTTTTGGACCTCAGCAGCTTCATCTGTAAAATGGGCTGATTGACTGAGATCGATAGCATGTAAACACTTTTCTGAGGAGGTGCTATTCCAGATCCCTGTTTTCTAACCCTCAGCAGGCTCTGCTGTTGTGGCAGGCTTTTGTTGAGATGCAGAGCTGGGCCGGCCTCCGCAGCCTGTGCTGCTTAAAGCAGAGGGGGCCTGAGCCTACCCTACCTGTTCTTGCCCGACATGTCCTCCTTCCTCCGCAAGCCAGCCCCTCACAGGGATTCCCGTAAGATTTCTCTGGGAAGAAAGGCCTCATTGCTTTAAGTTTGAAAAGCATCTTCCAGTTGATAACTGGGGAATGAAATAGATACTCTGAGACCCAAAGGGGGCTATTGACGTGGGGTGATGTGACAAAATGTGGATACAAAATTTCACACCCCAGTATGAGGCTGGGGTGAAGCTAAGGGAGTAAGGAGGGGGCTATGGGCTGTGGCAGCCCTCCCTGCACTACCACACTTCTGTGCAGAACTTAGGTTCCAGAATTCTAAATTAAACCTGGCCTTCCAGGTTGTTGGAGGGTAGCGAGATGGCATATAGCTTATTTAACAATGTGTTAGCCTTTGTTACAATTTTCCAGCATTTAGATATATGGTGTAAGCTCCTTCGTCTACACTTGCCCCAAGCCTTGCAAAGATTAGTTCTCTTCCATGAGAAAACCAAGGCACAGACATGCTCAAGGCCATGTGATCAATCACATCATGGCAGCCAGAGACAGAAGGATTGTCCTGAGGCACAAGTCTCCACATGGGGATTTTCTGTGAAAGTGAATTTTGCCGCTGTAGTGACTGCATGGTAGGTATTCACGAGGCCTGGCTGTTTCGAAAGGGAAACAAAATCACTTTGGTGATCAAGTGCAGGCTTTAAACAGTAGGTGGTAGGATTTTAAGCTGGGCGAGTAAGTAGGTCTGTCTGTGCAGGGGTGTGGGTCAGTCGTTCTTAAGCTGCTTTCTGTTTGTGCCAGGCTTGAGCACAGGGACAAACACATCAGAGCTCATGGGAGCCAGTTCCCCACTGCCAGCAGGGAGTTACAGAGATGGAAGAGGAGGTGAGGATGTGCTCAGGGTGTTGGGTTGGCATTGGAGGCGTCAGTATGAACCGATGGCTTTCAATAGAGGGATGTGTGGATGGAGAGATAGACATAGCAGTGTGTGCGTGTGCATCCACATTTCCCAGCTCTGTCCACCAGGGTGGGGCTGGAGGCAGGGAAACCCCAGTAGCAGTGAGCACCTGCATGTCCAGATTTTGGTGTCTATACCTCTTTTCTGTAGAGGGTGTCAGGCTCTGTGGAGCAAAGACTAATTCCTGGGCTGGAGTGGGAAAAACACAGGATGAAGCTGGAGCTTCGCTTTTATTTTTTTTCACACCAGAAAATAAGGCAGTGCTTAAGGCATGATGAGGACACATGAGCAGGATACAGGTGCCAGCCTGAAGGAGGGACTGAGCTTCCAAAAAAGAAAGGTGTTCATGGGGTATGAGCCATGGACTAAAATAAAAACCCAGCAAGTCCACACTAACACAGATAAATGGCTTTGTAGTAACAGGAGGGGGGCTCTTAGAGCAGAATACAGCTGAACAGTGCGTCAGGAAATCATCAGAGGGTGCTAAAGTTGTGGACTCAGGCTTGATGCGAAGCAAGACACTTACAGAGCCTCGGGGTAGTTCTGCACGAAGCTTATTATCACCAGGGAACCCTAGAAACGACAGCGGACAAATCTGGTGCCCCAGCCACATGATGAGAGCCAGCGTCACCCACCCTGCAGTAAACTGACACCACGTGCCTCCTCAGAGGAGGTCCCAGAGGGACACCGCATGGCTTCCAGGGCATTCCAGCCAGTCACAAAGAAACATCAGCCAAGCCCAAACTGAGGGGCAGTCTTAAAAATAACCAGCCTCTGTCAGGGTTGGAACCACAGAGAGGCTGGGGAACATTCCAGATGGAAGGAGACTGCAGACACACAGCAGCAGCCACCCTGAGTTCCACCCTGCTCTGGGGAAAAGAGCTGGAAAGGACAGGATTGACGAAGCTGGAAGATGGCTTGTTAAATTTCCTGATTTTGATGTCGGTACTTGGTTATGAGAGAATGTCCACCTTCTTAGGAAATCTACACTGACGTGTTTAGGGGCAAAGAGGCATGCTGTCTCCAACTTAATCTCAGATAGTCTGGAAAAAGGTTGCGTGTGTGCAGGTGTGAACGTGTTTAGAGGAAGGGAGAATGGGCGGAAGGGAGAGGGACGGGATGATACAGCAAGCAGGAAGAATGCGGACATTTGGTGAATCTGGGCAAACGGATATGGGAGTCCCTTTTATTATTCTTATAATTTTTCTGCAAGTTTGAAATTATTTCAAAAGAAAAAGTTGCCCCCCCAAAAAGGATGGCACACATTGTCTAGGAGAGGGCTGGTTTGGGTGTGAACAAAGGTTTCCTGTGGCATCTCGGTGCTCGTATGTCCCGGCTCCCCCATAAGCACATTTAGCTGCACTGATAGTGCCTACATCTGGGCTTCGGCCACTTGCCCATCTTCATTCTCCTGGCCCTCACAACAGCCCTGCAAGCCCCTGCCAGCCGCAGATGGACACGGGGACTGAGGCCCACGGGACTGTGGGGCCCCGCCGAGGTGACCGGCCAGAAAGGAGTGCAGAACTCCGGCCAGGGCGGGCTCAGAGCCTGCACCCACGCCTCCTGCCTGGGCCGCCCTGTGAATGGGGGAGAAGGGCTTCCTGTGCCTCAGAAACTGGAGGCCAAGAAGCACATGATGGACGGGTGGGCCGAATGAGGCCAAGCTCTGCCTTCTACAGCCTTTCCAGGACTTTTTTCTTGGAAAATGTGGAGCTTGATTGGATGCCTTTGTAGTGGAGCTTCCATCAAGTTAGAGCTGCTTGTGTGGCAGTGTCCATCCGGGAGTCAGTAGATGGGGTCAACAAACAGCGCCTTCAGCCAAACCCTGCCACCAACCAGCTTTGTGTAATGAAGTGTCAGTGGGATGGCCATGCCCATTCCTGCAGTTGCTGTCGGGGGCCGCTTCTGTCCTAACTGCAGAGAGTGCAGTGTCCTAGAAAAATGGAGACTGTGTGTCACCCGCCCTCTCCAGGGAACTTTGCTGGGCCTCACCTGTGGTGTTAGCGGATGTTTCCTAACCCTTGAACCAAGACCCAGGAGATCCTCTCAGAGATGAGGCCCTGCTCGGCCTGGGGGCAGGAGCAACAGAGGTGGGTGTGGCACCCCACCTCGGAAAGGGACCACCCCATGTGGTGGGCAGGCCGCCTCCAGGATGCCCACAGGTTGTTCAGAAATGTCTGTGAGTTGGCATATTTTGCTTGGTTGTAAAAATGTTCCTTATGGTTCACAGGTGGTCCAGTTTGGTATAGTTGCTTATTTCCTAACTAAATACATATTCCTGATAACACGCTGTTTGAGTGATCACCTGCTTATAAAAAGATAGGTTTTATATTTATGGGACTAAAAATTTTTTAATTTAAGTTACATGTGGAAAGAAGAGTTAAAAACTATACAAAAAGCCTACAAGTACTTTTTTTTCCTTTGCCACTGCTTGTTTAATAAAGCACAAATTGCTGAAGTGGAGTAGCGTGTTGGGAGGCCGGGGTTCCATCTGCAGTGTTTATGCCACGTGCAGTCACCTAGCTGTGCTCGGCCCGCCTTCAATAATTCAGGCTCCGTGGCGGCAGCAGCTGAGGGGCTGCTGTGAATTATGCATGCGTCTTCGGCAAGGCTTCGTGCGACGTCTCCTGTTGGCTTCCCATCCGTGAGCCTGCGTGCAGGCAGGGCAGAGCCGTCTTTGTCAGCCGTGTGCTGGGATCGCGGGAGAAACTGCAATAATTGGCCTCCTGGGAGTGTGAGCTCAGGAGCAATGTCCCTGTGTGGGACGCAGGCCTTTGCTCGGGGCCGCCCGGGCTCTGCCGGCTGACCCTGGTATGGACTCAGAGGGGTGGTTTGCAGTGCATGGTTGGAAGTATTTGGTTAAGTGGCATCACAGTGGCTCTTATCAGCTCTACCCAGGTAAAGTCCCTTGTCCCCATCTGCGTACCTTGTCGCGTTGTCAGGGGCACACTGACTTATGTGGTCTTCAGGTATGTTTGCCGCAGCGGGATTGTGTCGGGGATGAGGGGCCCATAGGGGTGCCTGTGCAGTGACGTGTTTCGTGATCTGACTTGGAGTTATGACTTAAAGAGTCAGAGTGTTTGAGGTTACGGTTTGGATGAGATAACAACGGGCCCGGGCCGTGTGTTACAGAACTAACTGCAAACTTTTCATCTTACGGTATTAACATTTGTAACGTAACCTACATGTTTGACCCACCAATATATACATGGCGGCTTTTCCAATTAGCAGCAAATCTAAACAGACTTTAAACTCTTTTTCACCAGGAAAGCATTTCTTTGACTCAGATGGGTCAGTCGAAAGAAAAAATCCCACAACAATACCGTAAACTGGACCGTGTTCTCTAAGGTGGTGTTGGGATGTGGGCTGTGTTTTGTGGATCTCTTTTCTTCTTTGGCTTAGATCACAAGTGTGGGTTTGACTCACGTGTTCAGCACCAGAGAATCAGGCAAGCCACTGCAAGCAGGCCAGTGAGTTACAGACGTGGTGGCATCCCTCCCGCGTTCTGGCCTTGGAGCTGGGGTCGGAATGGTGGCTTGTGCAAGGAATTTTATTTTAGGTGAGTGCTGCTCAGGGTTCAAGGTCAGGCCTTCTGTGACTGTGCACTATTTTCCACGTGACGAGAACAACTCCAGAGCACATGAAAGTGCTGTGAATTGTGAAATCCATAATTGAAAGTGAGTGTTAGAGAGGAGACGACTTTCCGTGTGTGTTGAGCCACGTAGCAAAGAAAAATGGTGCTCAGGGGGCTCTGCCTCGCACCTGGCTCTGCTGTGTTCCTCTGCAAGTCACCTGCATGAATTTTGTCCAGATGGAATCGTAAAAATTCACCAGGAGAGCTTATGATTGCAAGAATTCCGGGTGGACGTTTTCCGGTAGCCAGTTTTTGAAAAACGTGTGTGTTGCTGGAGATTCCACTGTCCTTTGCGAATCGCTGGACTCAGTGCCTGGACTCAGGAGGGTCCACGTGCCCAGCAGGTCCCGTCTGTGCCCTCGGGAAGCTGAGGAGCTGGGTCATGAGTTTTCTGTCCTGATCCTTAGGCAGGGGTGGCATGGGCAGCCGGGGCTGTGGCCCAGAGGCTTCTCTTTCCGGCTCCTCCAGGTAATGTGTCTGCTTCCTCTACTCTCCAGGCTCCTGTGCTTGAGTTGAGGCCCCCGCTTGCTGTGGCCTCACACTGGGAGGAATTACTGGAGCACAATTCCTATGTCAGCAGAAAGCTACAAAATGAGATTGTGTGAAGGGGGCGTGGCTCTCACCCCCAGCAGTGCTGGGAGCAATTGGCAAGGTGACGCCTCCTGTCTTTGCAATACCAGAGAAGAGCATGGACTGCAACCTCTTTCCCTTCCTTGGAAATGGTTTATTTGCAGCTAAAGCAACTCTCACTTGAGTGGGTCCTGGAGCCTGGGCAGGCCCAGGAGAGGGTCTGGCACCCACACCGCCCCCAAGCCATGCCTGCATCTGCTCTCTGCCGTGCTCCTCTGTACCCGAGGCTGTGCTCTCTCAGGAGGGTCTGCCATGTGGTTTCCTGTACACAGCATCTGCCTCTGCAGGACCCCAAGGGCAGGAGCAGGAGCACACTGGGGAGGGAATACAGATTCCCTGGGCGGGCACACCAGGCACAGGGGAGCCGAGCACACCAGACAGGTCATCATTTACTGTTTAAAATACAATCATGTTTCTTTCTTGATTAGACTTTTAAAGGGTCAGTTATTGATTTGTGAGTCTTAGAAAATAATTAGTATCTGCCAAAACTTTTGAACATGATGTTAGTCAATACACCAGTCATCTTTCACTCAGAATTTATATCAGTCACCATTCATTCATTCCACAAATACACCAGTGTGGGAATGGGGAGAGCAGCCCTGTGGGTAGCTGGTCCCATTGCTGAGGGAGGCGGCAAGGCCTAGGGAGTGGCCAGGGAACAGGGGAGGTGGGCCCGGGGGCTGGTGTGGGACTTCCACATGGTACCAGGGAGAGGCCCATCTCCCCTCCACCGGCAGCAAGGGAGGCAGACGGTTCACGTCACCGTGCTTGTGTGTTGGAATTGAAACACCTTTTGTTTGAGGAGCAAAAGCGTCAGCAACCGTGGGGGGTTGAGCTGTGCCAGCCACAGCGTGCAGTGGGGCAGCCTCCTTTCTGCCTCCCCTGTCTTCCCGTCCTGGTTCTTCCCAGGGCCCCTCAGCTGGGCCTCGCCTAGGCAGCCTCCAGGCCACCCTCCAGGCAGCCAGAGGGACCCTGCAGTCTCTTGCTCATCACTGTCCCCCAGGGTGAACTTCGTGCTGCTCCGTGCTGGCTCCCTGCTCTGCCCAGCTCAGCGTGGCTTGTCCTGTCATGGAAGTTCTCCCTTGCTCCCTGGAGGCCAGTTAACGTCTATTTCTCCCTCAGTTCTCAGCTAGCCTTTATTGTCTCAGGAAAAAAAGCTGGAGGAAAAATGTCATGGTGCTCATAATGCAGAAACTTCATTCATGAGGATTGCCTCATTTGTCAGCATAAAATATAGCAAGGTTAGCAACACTGCTGCCTCGAATTCTGGGCTCAAGCCATCCTCTGGAATAGCTGGGACCACAGGTGCCTGCTACCCTGCCCAGCTAATTTTTTAATTTATTTTCATTTTCTGTAGAGATAGGGTCTCACTGTGTTGCCCAGGCTGGTCTTAAACTCTTGGCCTCAAGTGATCATCCAGCCTGCATGATCTTATTTTTTAAATAGGTAGTATGTGCCCATGCACTGGAATGTACACAGAACAGGATCGGCCCCCGAGGCTGTTTCTGGTGCAGGGCGTGCCATTGTGTATTCTGTGCCTTTGGGGGGGCTGTCCAGCCAGCTCTGGTCTTCCGTCTCCCAGCACTGGGCGGGAGGTCCTACAGCTTCACCGTGGCTGATGAACGAAGTGCACCCCGGCAGCAGTAGCCGGCTCTGGGCATTTATACTTCATGTTTGATCAATATAATCAGAGGGGTTGATCTGCGTTTGCTCCTCCCAGCAGTGCAGAAGGTGCCTCTTGGCTCAGACTTCACTGCCATCGTGATCTTGGCCAGGAGGATGGCTACAAACAGCCTGAGGCTTAGGCTCATGGCTGGCGTTCTGTGATGAGGCCAGTGAACCTACGAGTGTCCGGGGGCCTCCTCCTACCTGGTGGCTGCCTGTACCCTTCTGTTTTCCTTTTGGCTTGTTGATGGTTTTCTTCTTGGCGTTTAGGTGCTCTGATGTAGAAAAGGGAGCCAGCCCGCCACCTGTGTGATGTGTGGCCGGTGCCCCACAGTTTCCTGTCCAGGGACTTGGCTGATGGTGCTTTTCCCTACTGAGATTTGCGCCTCTGTGCCGTGCACTGTATCAGTGTTGCCTTCGTGGCTCTGGGCTTCGTGTCTTCCTTCCGGAGGCTTTCCTCACTCCAATGTTTTAAAAGATCATCCCACATTTTCTTCTGGTATTTCTCTAATTTACACTTAAATCTTTGATTCATTGGGATTTGTTTCAGTGTGTGCTGGAAGGAAGAGATCCGACTAGATAGTTTTTCAGAGGTCATCTTCCCCGTGCACCCCACTCACTACCCTGACCGTGACTTAGACACTCAGGGTTTGTTTCTGTACTCTGTTGTGTCCTGCAGGTGACACCGATGCTGTCCCCTGCGTGTTCGGGATTGTGGTCTGTGTGTGTTCTCGTGTTAGGCCTGTCTGGCTCTGCGTGTTCGGGATTGTGGTCTGTGTGTGTTCTCGTGTTAGGCCTGTCTGGCTCTGCGTGTTCGGGATTGTGGTCTGTGTGTGTTCTCGTGTTAGGCTGGCCTGCTCTGGCGTCTTGCTCATCTTGTTTGTTCCCCTCATTTCTGCTTAGCTTTCCACGGGAGCTTTCACGCTCCACTTGTGTGGTTCTAACAAGACACCCATAGGCAAGTATCGGCGTGATATGTCCATTTAGGGAGAATTCCTGTCTGTGATGTTTTGCTCCTCACTTCCCTGGTGACAGGATATTAGGCAAGCACAAAGAGTCAGCCCACTCCAAGGACCCCTGCCCCAGAGAGAGTGAGTGTGCAAGTTGAGTGTGTGTGAGAGTTTCACACCTGGCTTACATGCAGAACGGGGCACTTGCCACATGGGGGGGAGTCTTGGATGTTGGGATTCTTTGAGGGAGCCTCACATGGCCCCTGTCCTTCTGTCCTTGGCCCCAGCCCTCCTGGCTTGGCCGCCCTGTCCTGCGTGTGAGCGCTGGTGCGCGTCTTCTTGCAGTGCGTGCCGCCCCTTCCACCGCAGCTCGGAGTCAGGGCTTCCGTGTGAGCCCCAGCCGCAGGCCTCTGAAACTTCAGTGCGTGCTGGCGGCCACCGCGGTCACACATTTGATCTATAACAGATCAACAGCATGGTGGATTCAAGGAAACATTACCACCGTGTTTCTGATCCTATCCCAGAACTTCCTTTCGGTCTTCTTTTAATTTTTTTCTATAGCAGTTTACATTATTTGATTATTCTTTAACATTTTCTTTTTTAATCTAAATGCTCTTCGCACTTTGAATGACTCCTGCCGAGCGTAGCCTCTGGCTGCCATGCTGACCATGAGGGACACTGTTGGATCAAAGCCCTGGTTTGGTCTCCTGGGCTCTAGGGCTCCACTTTTCTCTGGATTAGCGGGGCCCACGCTGTGGCCTCCTTGGAAGCCTCCTGCCAGGCCTCTGCCTGTCGCCTACAGCACGTCTGCAGACTGGGCTGAATCCATAAGGTTTAGTGTCGCTTCTGCCCCTGAGAGGAGTTGATGCTGCCTCACTGACCCCCTCCTGGTCTCTTTCTACCCCTGGCCCCTTGCTGATAATAAGATGTGTTCTATTTGCTGGCCTGGAGCTGGAGCCCATCAGCTCGTCCGCTGGGATCAGTCCTGTGGCCTTGACTTTACAGCAGTGCCAGCCTGGGCGGCTTATCCTGCGCACCGTGCCACAGGAGGCTGGTGAAGGGGCAGGAGGGGAACATAGCGTATTTTATTATGCTGCTGAGAACATTCTGTGAGGCTGCTCTGTCAGTCAGCTGCATTCCATAAAGCTGCAGCAGAAAACCAAGCCCAAAGCCCAGGGCTTCTTAACAACACAGGTTTAGTGGCCACCTTGTCACACGTCATCTGTGGTCAGCAGGGCATGGCTCAGCTGCAGGCTAAGGACAGCCCGTGTGGGACACCCTATGCTCACAGAGGAGACATACGTGCTCTGGCACGGTGGGCAGCGGTCCCTGAAGCTGGGCTCACACTGGCCCACATCCCTTCTTGGGCTCAGGCCAGGCCGGCCACTCTGGGACAGGGGCGCCCCCACACTGCTCACGTCAGGAGGGACGGGGGCGCCCCCACACTGCTCGCGTCAGGAGGGACGGGGGCGCCCCCACACTGCTCGCGTCAGGAGGGACGGGGGCGCCCCCACACTGCTCACGTCAGGAGGGACGGGGGCGCCCCCACACTGCTCGCGTCAGGAGGGACGGGGGCGCCCCCACACTGCTCGCGTCAGGAGGGACGGGGGCGCCCCCACACTGCTCGCGTCAGGAGGGACGGGGGCGCCCCCACACTGCTCGCATCCAGTGGACAAGGGTGATGAACGGGGATTTCCTGGGGACCTCCCTTCTCTTTATTCGAGAGCTCAGGAGATACTGGGAACCAAAGGCTACTGAGGGCCGTTTTGCAGACACGTCAGGCAGGATCCGGTGTCCTGGGAGCGCGCTGTGCCATATCCCACATCGGGTCTCCTGTAAATGAGCCGCCGAGCCGACATGCGTGGCTGAGGGCTTAGCTCTGGACACTGTGCCTGAGAGTTTCGTGTTGAGAAGGAGCCCACATGCAGAGCAGTGTGCAGTCACGGGTGTGTGGGCTTCGCATCCGGAAGGTGAGCCTCGTGCCCCCTTCGACTGAGCACGCTCCCGAGGGCACCGTGGGTCAGGACGTAACTCACGTGGCATACGCGGCGCCCCGCGCCCAGCTGCTTTCGCTCTAGCAAGCCTGTTTGGGAAACATCTTGTTGCCATGATGGTCTTAGTGCTCTGTGTGCACATGCTCCTGTGTAAGGTTAGTTGCTTTTCCTGTTCAACCCTGTGGCTGTAGTTTGTTGTTGCTTGGGCGAGTGTGCACGTGTGAGCATATGAGTGTGCGTGCAAGGGTGCTGTGTGGGCCTGCACATGTGAACATGTGTGTGTGCTCGTGCACACACATGTGCAGCCGCTCAAGGTTGGGGTCTGTGTTTTGTTCCCTGCTCCATCCCTGTGTGTAGAATGCACTGGCAGGTGGTAGGTGTGCTGTGCATAGTTGTTGACTGAATGGGTGTTGGAGGGGACAGAGCTTGCTGCGTGTCCCAGGGTCTCCTGTGGGCGGGCAGAGCAGTCACTGGGCCGGGGCGGAGGGCAGGGGTGCAGGTGCTGTCTGTGCTGGTCCCGCAGAGTTGACGGGCGCCGACCTGAAGGACTGCGTCAGCAACAACAGCCTGAGCAGCAATGCCAGCCTCCCCAGCGTGCAGAGCTGCCGGCGCCTGCGTGAGAGGAGGGTCGCCAGCTGGGCCGTGTCCTTTGAGCGCCTGCTGCAGGACCCCGTCGGTGTCCGCTACTTCTCTGTGAGTAGGGAAGGGCCCAGGAGCAGCGGAGCGGTCTGTGCTCTGCAGAGACTACCGAGCAGGATCTGTGGGCCGCCCTAGAGACAGCGGCACCCTGCGGGCCCTGAGCAGCCCCGTGGCAGGGGTCTCCCCTCCCTGGACCGCCACCCTCTCAAGAGCTCAGAGGAGGGTGGGTTGAATCCTGCCCCTGGTTCTGCCCCCAGGGAGCGTCCCTGGCCCTCCCGCTCTCTACTGGGGTCTCTCTGCAGCCCGCAGCACTGGAGCTTCCTATCTGTGTTAAGAAGCCAGGTGCCTGTTGCCAGCTCTTCAAAGAGATGTTTTGCTTTTGGGGAAACAGCTGGAAGCAGCAGTGCGGTTCCCTAAAGTGCTGGGCAGCGATGAGGTTTCTCTCTCCAGGCCCTCGGGCAGCTCACTGAGCAGCCAGTGACCCCGTGGTTTCTGTAGAAGGGGAAGTAGGAAAAAGGAGGACCCTGTGTCAGTGTTAATAAATGGTGTCTTTGTCTTTCTTAGGATTTTCTAAGGAAAGAATTCAGTGAAGAAAACATTTTATTCTGGCAGGCCTGTGAATATTTTAATCATGTTCCTGCACATGACAAAAAGGAGGTAAGTCCACGCTTGGGAAGTGGGGGCTGTGTGAGAGTGGCGTGTGAGAGAGACGCATGTGAGGGGTGTGTGAGAGGGCCACGTGTGTGAGGGGCATGTGAGGGGTGTGTGTGAGGGGCGTGAGAGGGGCGTGTGAGAGGTTGCGTGTGAGGGGCGTGTGAGGGGCGTGTGTGAGAGGGGCGTGTGAGAGGGACGTGTGAGAGGGCCACCTGTGTGTGAGGGGCGTGTGAGGTCGCGTGTGTGAGGGGCGTGTGAGAGGTCGCGTGTGAGAGGGCCGCGTGTGTGTGAGGGGCGTGTGTGAGAGGGCCGCGTGTGTGTGAGGGGCGTGTGTGATAGGGCCGCGTGTGAGAGGGCCGCGTGTGTGTGAGAGGGCCGCGTGGCCTCATTGGAGGCTGGCTCGGTGCAGGGAGCATCTAGAGCAGTTGGAAAGTGGATGATAAAATATTTTCACATGGCTTGAAAAAAATCATTTCTTTTTCAGAATAAATTTTTAAATATACATGATATTTAATTTTGCCTAAACCTGGTTTGTATAACGCCCTCAGCCACAGCTTTCACAGCAGATGGGGTGTCTTTCAGTGTGCTGGAATTCTGAGGAAGGAACGTGTATTTAGGGGAATTTGAAAGCAAATTGGAGGCAGGAGGGCATCCCGGGCCGTGCTTTCGCAGCTCCTCCTGCGCCTCGTGGGAGGTGCAGGAGAAGCCTGGGAGAGACGCCTTGGCCTGGCCCGGCCTGGCTGCTGTTTCCTCAGTTGGCCTGTGGCCTGGCTTCCAGGCTTCGGGGCTGCTTTCGTCTGCTCGCAATGCTCAGAGGGCGCTGCTCTCCTGCACTCCCACCTTGCCAAGACCAGGTGTGTGGCGACACACGGCAGTATTGCCCCTGCGCAGCTGCTGCTGGGCTAGCATCGCCCGGGTCTTTGGGACACTTTAAGTATCCGTTTAAACAATCGTAGAGGAGCCCGCGCAGTGCTGCTGCATTCTGGCCACACTTTTATTTATTTATTCAAGCAAGAGGTATTTACTGGGGCCCGTGAGAACACATCTGTAGAGCCCGGGGGTGTCGGGCCTTGGCAGGCAGCAGGAGTGCGGGG
Organism: Homo sapiens; assembly: GCF_000001405.40. Taxonomy (NCBI): domain Eukaryota; kingdom Metazoa; phylum Chordata; class Mammalia; order Primates; family Hominidae; genus Homo; species Homo sapiens. Next base: position 3,415,936 of record NC_000004.12, read on the forward strand.
AGAGGAAGCCTTGCCGGGCTGCTCAGGTGCCTTTCCTGTCAGCTTTCCTACAGGGCCCGGGAGATTTTCAGTAAGTTTCTCTGCAGCAAAGCCACCACCCCGGTCAACATCGACAGCCAGGCCCAGCTAGCAGACGACGTCCTCCGCGCACCTCACCCAGACATGTTCAAGGAGCAGCAGCTGCAGGTAACCGCAGGCTGTGGGAGCTTGTGGGGAGTCCAGGCTAGGGCTCGGGGTATAGGGTCCACCTTCAAAGAACACGTGCTATCAGGCAGGCCAGTGGATCGAGAGCATCACAGACGCAGGTAGAGAAACGCAGACAGAAAGTGGGGCTTTCAGTAGGGTAGAGAAACGCAGACAGAAAGTGGGGCTTTCAGTAGGGCCATGAAATAAGTCCCGAACCACTGCGTGTCTGTCTGCAATGAGCCGGCTGTTCACGCTGGCTCATGTTTCGATCCTGTGCGTGTGTGGAATCACACCTGCCTGGGGGATGGCGCATCTGCGTTTGAAGTTTTGCATCGTAGGACATTGCTGTGGTCATGGGCATTAGGCCCCAGGCTATTCGAGACGTGCCTGTGCATGTCGCTGCGGCACGTGGGTCACGTTCACAGAAGCATAGGGTGGCATTTTCAAAGCAGTCTACTGTAAGATTTCTAGTCGCTTTTGGTTTTAATCTTATTTAACAAAATAAAAGTTCTCTGGGGTCTGCTCGTGTTGATGGCTTCTGTAAGTTGTCAGGATTCACTTAATTTTAAGAGTGATAAAGGCTGGTTCGTTATGAGAAAGAAGACTCAGATATAGAGGCACACTGGAAATAACTCTTAAGTACCCTCAGGGCTGGCGGGGGAAAATGGACTGAAACGATGTCCTTTCAGGACAGGGCCAGTGGTTGCCTACAGGTCGCCAAGCAGCCTCGCGCCTGAGGCTGCATGTCTGGGTCCCTCCTGTGACTGTCCCACCTTACATCTTCTCCCCAGATCTTCAATCTCATGAAGTTTGATAGCTACACTCGCTTTCTGAAGTCCCCGCTGTACCAGGAATGCATCCTGGCGGAAGTGGAGGGCCGTGCACTCCCGGACTCGCAGCAGGTCCCCAGCAGCCCGGCTTCCAAGCACAGCCTCGGTTCAGACCACTCCAGTGTGTCCACGCCAAAAAAGGTGACCTCCCCGAGGCTGGCCTCACGCCCCTGTGGGTTGTGTGTCATCAGCTGAGAGCTGTTCTGTGGGGAGTGAAAAGAGGCCCTGTCGGCGTCTTCACCAGTGGTGGGTGACGCTCCATGCTGGAAAGTTCCAGCTGCTGTCTGGAGTCCTGTCAGGGCCACACCATGACCTGTAGAAGTGATACCATCCCATAGAGTGCTTGTGTTTACAGCTCAGTATTGCCTCCTTTGCACTTAACGTAATAGTAAAATAACTTCACATTGTTTTAACCAAGGTTTCCATTTGATGACAGTTAAGTGGAAAATCAAAATCCGGCCGATCCCTGAATGAAGAGCTGGGGGATGAGGACAGCGAGAAGAAGCGGAAAGGCGCGTTTTTCTCGTGGTCGCGGACCAGGAGCACCGGGAGGTCCCAGAAAAAGAGGGAGCACGGGGACCACGCAGACGGTTTGTGGGGTGGCTCCTGGGCTGTGGTGTCCAGGCCAGGCAGCCGCGTCCCCGTCCTGGCGTCGCTCTGGTGGTTGGCGGTGACCTTGGGCCATGTGTGCAGTGAGAGGCCCTGTTGGCGGGTCGAGGAAGCTTCTCTGAATGAATAAGGAATGCCGCTGTGTCTGGGGACACGACCTGTCAGCCAGCCAGAGGGCAGCAGGGCTGCTCCAGAATCTTCCAGAGAAAAGGGCTCAATACATTTCAGCCCATGCCTACCTCAGGCCTACCCCACACAGTGGCGGCTGAACATCTGTGTCCTCTCCTGCTTTTCACTATCCAAGTAATAGGTGTTTTTGGTAGAAAATTTGGAAAATACAATCAAGTAAAAATAGGAACACACAAATGTGCTATTGGGTGTCTCCCCCAGTGGCAGCTTGGTTCTCTGCCAGGGCTTTTTCCTAGGTAGATGTCAGGGTCCATGTGCCTTTTACATGTGTGTGGTTTTTTAAAATGTAGTAGCATAGTTGGAGTAGTGAGCATTTTTCAAGTTAAGATTGGTATTTGATATTGGGGGCTGCCCATTCTGGATGCTCTGTCCCTTTTTTCTTCGCACATCTGAGACTTCCTGTAACAAAAGTTAGGCAGAGAGACGGCTCCCAGGGCGCCAGGGGGTGGGGCTGCAGGGCCCTTGGCGGCTCCTGGCCGAGCTCCAGACACCAGCCGGGTGGTTTTGGCAGGTGGCAGGGCAGAGGGCATGGAGATGCCCATGCTGAACGCTGGCGAAGATGAGGCTGTTCTGTACCAGGTGCTGAAAAGCACATAGGGGAGAACTGGGAAGATTTTCTTCTCTAGAGATTTTTGGGAAAGGGATTAGTTTTCAGGAATGAGTGTCCTGCCTGAAGGCAGGGGACTGGCACTTAGCCTGTGGTCTCCAAGTTTAAATCAGGCAGTGAGGTGATTGCGATAGCACCAGCTGGCATGGCCCTGGTGGAGGCAGGTGAGCAGGGTGCTCTGCGCTCCGTGGCTGCGGCTCCTGTGTGTGCCCTGCAGTGCCAAGCATTTGTGCGTGGCTGCTCCCCGCCTGCAGGGGGAAGCGTTGTTCCCGGGGCGCTGAAGGACGCGCTGGTGAGGGCTTGACGTGGGCAGCCCTGAGCTTCTGGCCATGCTGTGAGGTGCTCTTCTCCGAGCAAAGGCAGCTGAGAGTTGCAGAGTTCACCTTTGTCGGAGGCCACCTGGGAGATGGACACTATGTTATTAGGTGGGGCCAGGCCTCCCGAGTACCTGGGAGATGGGAGTGTTCGCTTCAGACAGTCCATCCACTCGTGCCCATCCCCATACCTGGCAGATCTGCAAAGGGCTTTGAAAACCTTGATAGAGCCAGGCGTGGGAGCTCACGCCTGTAATCCCAGCACTTTGGGAGGCCGAGGCAGGCGGATTGCCTGAGCTCAGGAGTTGGTGACCAGCCTGGGCAACATGGTAAGGCTCTACTAAAAATCCAAAAAAAAAAAAAAAAAAAAAAATTAGGGGCCAGGCACGGTGGCTCATGCCTGTAATCCCATCACTTTGGGAGGCTGAGGTGGGCAGATCAACTGAGGTCAGAAGTTCGAGACCAGCCTGGCCAACATGATGAAACCCCGTCTCTACTAAAAATACAAAAATTAGCCAGATGTGATGGCACATGCCTGTAATCCCAGCTACTCAGGAGGCTGAGACAGGAGAATTAGTTGAACCCGGGAGGTGGAGGTTGCAGTGAGCTGAGATTGTGCCATTGAACTCCAGCCTGGGCAACAGAGCGAGACTCCGTCTCAAAAAAAAAAAAAAAATTAGCTGGGTGTGATGGTGGGTACTTTCAGTCCCAGTTACTTGGGAGGCTGAGGCATGAGAATCGCTTGAACCCGGGAGGCAGAGGTTGCAGTGAGTGGAGAACTACACTCCAGTTTGTGTGACAGAACAAGACTGTCTCAAAATAAATAAATAAATAAATAAATGAAAGCAAACCTTGATAGCAGTGGCGCCTGGTGGCTCATGCCTTTAAATCCCAGCGCTTTGGCGGTGGGGCGAGGTGTGAGGATCGTTTGAGTCTAGGAGTTCAATACCAGCCTGGGCAACACAGCAAGACACTCATCTCTACAAAAAAAAATTAAAAATTAGCCAAGTGTGGTGGCGCACCTGTTGCCCTAGCTACTGGGGAGGCTGAGGTGGGAAGAAAATTGCTTGGGTCCTGGAGTTGGAGGCTGCAGTGAGCTATGATTGTGCCACTGTACTCCAGCCTGGGGGACACAGCGACGCTCTGTCTCTAAAAAACACAAAGCCAACCAAAAAATAAAACCCAGACTGCAGGCACCCCCAGAAGTAACACATTCTGATCTTGGCCCAGGATGTGGCCTGGGCATCTGTTCCTGTGGAAGGTGGCTGCAGTCTGCAGGCCAGTAGGTCTGGGAGCTGCCTTCCCCTCTCTCCTCAGGCCCCAGAGCCCATGTGCAGCGGTGTGGTTTGGGAGCAGGTGCTGTTTGAAAAGTCCTGTGTCCGAATTTTCATGATTTGTAGGTTAGCCTAAGAATATAGTTAGTTGAGGTTGGTGAAAATTGACACTTCATTACGGTTCATGTCAGGACGTCAGAGGAAAAGGACGTGGACCGAGTGGGTCTGGAGGCCGCATCCGGCTGAGAGCGCTGGCTGTTGCCACAGTTGGGGGTTTCCAGTTAGGCCCAGAAACTACATTTGGGGATGAAAGCTCCAGATGGAATGGAGGAAAGGCCCTTACCGGGACATGCACCTGGGTCTGTGCTGTGTAACTGCACGTACTGATGTGATTTGTTGGGCACCTGCCATGAGCCAAGCATGTTTTGGAGCCAGGATGTGGCAGTAGACAGGGCAGAGAGTAGCATCTCTGCTGCATGGTGGGTAGAGCCTTGTTGGTCCCTGACTGGCTTCCAGGGTTAGGAAGACACATGTGACTCGTCTCCACCAGAGACGGCAAAGTGATGCCTGGTGGGGGATGGGTGGGGGGGGCTTCCTGGCGTCTGTCTGCTCAGCCTAAAGGGGGCAGAGGGTTGGGAGATGTGACCGAATAAACAGGGTTCTGATTGACGTGAGTCACTGTGTTTCCCCTGTCAAGACGCCCTGCATGCCAATGGAGGCCTGTGTCGCCGAGAGTCGCAGGGCTCTGTGTCCTCTGCGGGGAGCCTGGACCTGGTGAGTCACTGTCTCCCCTCGTCCCACAGGCCTCAGGGGTGTCCCCACCAGCTGACTGATGACACCTCTCTCCCATGGAAACCTGTGTTTACAAAACTCAGCGTTCACTTTGTAAAGCTGGGGGACAAGGCTCGGGTGCCGGCCCAGGCACAGTGGCAAAGTGCAGGGTGGCCCAGTGCCCCATCAGGCCCCGGCCTCATGGTCCCCCAGCCTAGGGCTCCTGAGAGGGCACGAAAAACTATTAGTTATACGAGGGAGGGAACTCAAAGTATCTTTGGATTTATTTCTTAAGTCTTTTTGTTGTAATTTAGTTTTTGTGAACTCCCACTAAGAATCAACAGAAGGTGTCGAAATCAGGCGCTCCCTGTCTCAGCGCGTGAGCATCCCACCCACTCCCACACTGCAGGATTTACCCCTCTGCCTGCGGGCCGCCTGTCTCACCCACACCCTCTCACACCTGCTCACTGCTTGGCTGGTGCTCGTCCTGGCCCCAGTTTCCAGCAGATGAGGGAGATGAGCAGGCGCAGGCAGGACTCGTGAGCTTGTTAGATGTTGTTTGATAGGAATTTTGGAAAACCTCACTGGTTGCCAGCATCCTGGTCATTTGAAATTTTCAGGCAGGAATGAATGTAGAATATAATTTCTTCTTCAGTTGTTCCAAATAACATTGAAAGCTGTAAGGATTTACCAGGTATCAGTTAGCTCTTGTTGCCTAATACCTCCGCACCCCCAAACTCAGAGGCTGGAAACAATTACTGTTGTGCTGGGTGTCTGGGTCGCCTGGGTGGTTCTGCCCATTCTGGCCGGCCTTGCCGTGTGTTTCTGGTTACCTGGCACGTGAGCCAGCTGGCTGGTCCCAGAGGCCCTCAGTTGCATGGCTGGCCCTTGGCTGGGGAAGGAGCACTGACAGGACCCTTCGTTCGCCTCACTCAGCGGAGGCCAGTTCACCCCGTCCCACAGCCGGCTCAGGGACCCTGACAGTGAGCAGAGTAAGGACGGCCTCTGGAGGCCCAGGCTTGGAGCCGCTCCTTCTGCCCACCCAGGTCTGGGCTGGGGCTGACTCCACCTCTTCATGGGAGGAGCCACAGAGCCGCATTATGAGGGGCACAGATACAGGGAAGGGGATGGTTGGGAACCACTTGTGCAGCCAGCCTACCACTGTACAAACTAGTTTCCTGAAATAATGCTCAGGGAAAAGAGACCTCAGACTACCGGAAGGCAGTGCCGACGAAGTCACAGTCCAGGCGACGTTTCCATTGGAACGATGTGCATGGGGAGCTGTGTATAGAGAGGACAGGGTGCTGGAACCCAGAGCCCTGGGAGGGAGTGGTCCTCACAGGGCAGCTTCAGTGGGCCCCGCAGGACAGCCCTGCTTCTGGGTGGAGAAGCCCAGATGTGCCTTCTGAGCACGATGGCCCTTGAGGCCCAGAGCTGAGAGAATGATGACCGCTCTCTCGTGTTAATTCACAAAACCCAGCACCTCAGGCAGTGTGGACTGAGCCTGAGATGTGTGCACCTGGGGAGCTGCAGGTGGGACCGTGGCAGGGCGCCAGCCTCCCCAGCACGTGCGGCCTGGGCCAGCTGGGCTGCTCTGGGAGGTGCCCCGCACCCCTGTGACGCTGGTTCCCTCACGGCTGCTTGTCTCGCTGCTCCCCAGTCGGAGGCCTGCAGGACTTTGGCACCCGAGAAGGACAAGGCCACCAAGCACTGCTGCATTCATCTCCCGGATGGGACATCCTGCGTGGTGGCTGTCAAGGCGGGCTTCTCCATCAAAGACATCCTGTCCGGACTCTGTGAGCGGCATGGCATCAACGGGGCGGCCGCGGACCTCTTCCTGGTGGGCGGGGACAAGGTACTGGGCCCGCCTGACCCTCGTGCTGCCCTCAGGCCATGACCTCCCCGCTCCCTGGCCCCCAGCTTTGTCAGAGTCCTCAGGCTGCCCCCTCCTGCGCTCCTCATTTCAACAGCGCCTGGGGCGGAGGCCGGATTATCTGAACTGAGCTATCTGCTGGGAGCACTTTGCACGTGGGTGCTGGGTTGGTGTGGAAAGGGTGATCGCTTTCTTTGGATGGCTGTTTTTGAAGCTGCTCTTCTGCTCTGCACAGCTGTGTGCCTGGGGCACGTGGGTCTGCGTTTGGGGGGCTGCCTGCTGTGCCCACGTTGATTCTGGTCTCTCTGTTCCTCAGCCTCTGGTGCTGCACCAAGACAGTAGCATCTTGGAGTCAAGGGACCTGCGCCTAGAAAAGCGCACCTTGTTTCGGTAAGAGGAAGATCGCTGTCATTCACCTGAGGCTCCCAGAGCCAACCCCGTGTGCCCACCACCTGCTGGTCTCTGCGCTTAGCGGGCGGCCTGTGGATGCTCCATGCTGGGCTACGATGGGGTGTCGGGGCGGGGGGAGGGTGGAGGCCCACACGAGGCAGCCCCCCTACAAGCCCGGGGGTGAGAGGCGCCCTCTCCTCCCTGTCCCGTGAACAGGGACTGCCCTGGCCTGGTGAGCCCAGCCCCCTAAGATGCCGAGAGGGAGGGGCAGGAGTGCTCTCTGTAGGGTGGATGCCCCACAGGTAGCCAGGCTGCTGTGCAGGACACTGCTATCCCTGGAGGAGGAGACCATAGCCCTTGCTTGGCCTGACTTTTCCCACGTGGAGGAAGGCACGTTCTGATCAGCTGGGGCTGAACTGGGGGGCACACCGAGGCCTTGAGGGCGGCCTGGGGCTGTGCTGTAGTTCTGCTCGTGAGACTGATCTCCTAATGAGGGCTGACATGAGTTGGTAGTGAATTTTTTCATCCCCCACCAGGCTGGATCTTGTTCCGATTAACCGGTCAGTGGGACTCAAGGCCAAGCCCACCAAGCCCGTCACGGAGGTGCTGCGGCCCGTGGTGGCCAGATACGGCCTGGACCTCAGTGGCCTGCTGGTGAGGCTGGTGAGTGTTGCACGGGGCCCGGGCGTCGTCACCGCAGGCACTGTCTGTTCCCTTTGGCAGCCTCTGTGTTGTTCACTGAAGAGGGCACACCAAGAAGCGGTGTCTTCCCCTGATCTGGTTGTCCCCCTTGGAGGAGAGGAGACAGCCTCTGCCATCCCCAGTTCTCGTTCTGTGCAGTGGGAGCCATCATGGTTTATTTGTACCTTGGTCATTCCAAAAAGAATTGATATTTGAGAGGTGGTTTTGCTCCAGGGAGGCCAAAATGAGAAACAAAGCAACCAACCCTGGACTATCCTCCGCTGTTGGCCAATGTGATCAGATAAGAGAGTGCGGATGGCCCTGCCCCCACTGCACCTGCTGGGCCCGGGCATTGTGCTCATGCCCCCAGTGCACGGTCACATGGAGATGTCCTGATTCTCACCTGCACTTTGTAGATGGAAGAACTCAGCTGGCATTTCCAGGCTGCGCCATTATGATGTGAATGGGGTTAAGAAAGAAAACACCGCGTGGGGTGGTGACCGCAGGTGCTGGGCAGGCCACGCGAGATGGCGAGAGCTGGGCCCCGCTGAGGGTGCTCTGGAGCGTGGGGGTTCCGGGCACAGTGTCTGCCTAGTCTTCTTTCCTTGAAAACTTTATTGGAGCAATGATTTCAAGTATTTTCAGGATTTTAGTTTTCCCTGAAACTACACTCAAAATTATTCAAGAGCTTTGAAGTGAACAAGAAGAACCTATTAAATTATTTACAGACACCACCTCCGAGGGTAACCTGAAGCCTCTTCCCCGCGCTGCAGGCTCCATCCTGGAGTCCAGAAATCTGCAGGTGGGAGACAGACCTGGCCTGGCTCCCAGGTGTGCCCCTCTGGCCGACTCTGGGGAGACGCTGCGCAATTGTTTAGCCCCTGTGTGTCACAGTTTCCCTGACTGTAAAATGGGGTTGGTCGTGGCAGCGTGCTCGTGGCATGGTTGGGGGGCACCAGGGTGGAAGGGCTGGCTGCGGTCAGGCTCGTTCCCTGTGAGCTGCGGCCCTCGGCTGCCGAGGCTGTGGGGGCTATGGAGGATTCGTGTGGAATGGGTTGTTTGGGATGTGGCTTTTCCTTGGACGCTGTCTCCTGACCTCTCCAGTGAATTCTGTGGCCCCCTGTGTCCACGAATGTGGTGGAGAAGGCGGGACCTGGGGCAGTTCCTCTGCTTCCCCCGCAGGGCCCACCACGCCTGCCCAGCGGACCAGCCCCTTCAGGAGCTTAGAGCCTCTCCCGCCTGGCATTGGACAGCTGTCATTCCCCTGACTGACAGATCGTGAATGCCAAACATGTTCAGATGTCTTTTCTTAACAGTGACTATGGCAGGTGAAGAGTCAGATTCTCTGCCAGAGGAGAGCTCTGATGCAGAGACAAGAACTCCAGCCCGGTGGCTAGTGGCGCTTCATTTCAGCCTCAAACCTGGTCCTAAAGTTGTCTGTCTTTGCTTCCTTGTTTACAAAGGGGAACATCTGCTCTCAGTATTCCCCTCATAGCAGTTTCGAGGGTCAGTATTTCCCTCATAGCAGCGTCCGAGGGTCAGTGTTCCCCTTGTAGCAGCGACCAAGGGTTGCCACCTCCTGCGTGATTCCATCGAGCTTAGGATGGTCGTGTAGTCGGGACCCATGTCAGGAGCATGGCTCAGCCCCAGCTTGTGTGCCTCAGTCAGGCAGGCCTCACCTCGGGGCCATCTCCTGCGTGACTCCATCAAGCCTAGGACAGTCATGCAGTCGGGTGGGATCACACACATCTGTTCCCTGAAGTTCCAGTCTGGGTAAATTATTCAGTGCTGATCTCTGCCCTAGAGTGGAGAGAAGGAGCCCCTGGACCTTGGCGCCCCTATATCGAGTCTGGACGGACAGCGGGTTGTCTTGGAGGAGAAGGATCCTTCCAGAGGAAAGGGTGAGTAGGGCTGGTGCAGCGGATGGGGAGAGGGTGAGTGGGTCCAGTGCAGGGGAGGGGGCTATGGAGCCGGTGCAGGGGAGGGGGTGAGTGGGGCCAGTGCAGGGGAGGGGCAGGTGGGGCTTGCGCAGGAGAGGGGGTGGGCGGGGCCTGCACAGAGTAGAGGGTAAGTGGGGCCAGCGCAGGGGAGGGGGCTGTGGCGTTGGCATAGGGGAGAGGGTGAGCGGGGCCAGTGCAGGGGAGGGGGCTGTGGCGTTGGCATAGGGGAGAGGGCGAGCGGGGCCAGTGCAGGGGAGGGGGCTGTGGCGTTGGCATAGGGGAGAGGGTGAGCGGGGCCAGTGCAGGGGAGGGGGCTGTGGAGTTGGCACAGGGGAGAGGGCGAGTGGGGCCAGCGCAGGGGAGGGGGCTGTGGGGCCTGCACAGGGTAGGGGGCAGGGGTTGGCATAGGGGAGAGGGTGAGCGGGGCCAGTGCAGGGGAGGGGGCTGTGGAGTTGGCACAGGGGAGAGGGCGAGCGGGGCCAGTGCAGGGGAGGGGGCTGTGGGGTTGGCATAGGGGAGAGGGCGAGTGGGGCCAGTGCAGGGGAGGGGGCTGTGGGGTTGGCATAGGGGAGAGGGCGAGTGGGGCCAGTGCAGGGGAGGGGGCTGTGGGGTTGGCATAGGGGAGAGGGCGAGTGGGGCCAGTGCAGGGGAGGGGGCTGTGGGGTTGGCATAGGGGAGAGGGCGAGCGGGGCCAGTGCAGGGGAGGGGGTGAGTGGGGCTTGTGCAGGAGAGAGGGCAGGCGGGGCTGGCCCAGGGGAGGGGGAGGCTTTGGAGTTAGTACACAAAAGAGAATTGGTCTGGGCCCCCTGGTCCCTCCTTGGTGCCCTGATCTGGCGCCCTTCCCTCCAGGCACAAAACAGGAAGCCAGGGCAGTAGGCGCCTGTGCTCTGCCCGGCAAAATGGAGGCTGCAGGCTCGGTCATTTGGGCTGGTTCTGCAGTTCCTTGCGTGCAGGGAATCGGGCGGTCGACAGAGCTCTTTCCAACGTGTTGCCTTGGTCATGACAGTCCTGCCCTGGGGAAGCTGGGTCCGGCCAGCAGCCTTCGGAGATGGGCTCGTCGCCCGGCCCCCACCTCATCCTGACGCGCAGGAGCCGGCCCTCCTTAGAGCCCTTGTTGAGAACCGTGCGTGAGGAAGGTTACTCAGACCCAGGAGGGTGGGTCCTGTTTGTAGCTGTCCCCAGGGACAGGCAGAGGCGTGGCCTTGGGGCCTGCAGGTGCAGGTGCCGTAGGGAGGTGTGTCTTGGAAAGAGCTTTCTGGAAACCCACCTGCAGATGTTCTAGGTAGAGAGCTCACTTTGTGAGGAGCCACTTCAGGTGACATTGGGCTGCCCCTCTGCCTTTCAGGTTGTTGGCCCTGATGATGTCACGCAGGGAGCACGTGGCTCACTTGTCCCCACCCAGGGAGACCTGGGCCATGGGTCCCAGTCAGAAGCAAGCGCTGAGGCCATTAGTCCTGGAGCTCCAACTCTTGCTCCCCTCCCCAACTCCTCACAGAGCAGAGACCCTTCCCCGAGCCCACCCTTTGCTCTAGGGAAAGCCTTACGCTGGGCCCTGACACCCACCCAGGCAGGTGGGGCAGGCACAGCATGTGTAACCCAGCAGGGCGGCCAGCAGCTTTGCCCCGGCTGACCCTCTGTGCCCAGGGCCTGCTGGGCCTCGGGGCTTGTTTGTGTACAGGCAAGTCCTGTGGTGGAGCTTGGCGCTCAGCGTTTTTGTAGGGCTGTATGTGGGGCAGGAGCGCGACTCCTCCAGTCACATTTGGGCCACAGAAATGGGCTTGAGGCCGTTAGTGCCAGCAGAGGCCAGCCTGTGGCCCTGGCATGGGGCAAAGGCTGTATTTGAAAATATGTCATGGACTGGCACAGTGGCTCATGCCTGTAATCCCAGCACTTTTGGAGGCCAAGGTGGGTGGATCACCTGAGGTCAGGAGTTCGAAACCAGCCTGGCCAGCATGGTGAAACCTCGTTTCTACTAAAAATACAAAAATTAGCTGGGTGTGGTGGCACATGCCTGTAATCCCAGCTACATGGGAGGCTGAGGCAGGAGAATTGCTTGAACCCAGGATGCGGGGGTTGCAGTGAGCCGAGATCGTGCCACTGCACTCCAGCCTGGGAGACAGAGTGAGACTCTGTCTCAAAAAAAGAAAAAAAAGAAAGAAAAGAGAAAGAAAATATGTCATAAATGTAAGACTCTGACTTTCTAGAGAATATTTATGCCAAATAGTATATGAAATGAGCTTTTCAATTTCAACATCACTCCTCCAGCAAGTCCCTAGTTAGATGTACGGAGCCCGGCTGTGTGCGTGGAGGACGGGCCCTCTCTCCTGTCCCATGGGGACTCCCCTCAGGGCTGTGCGTGGTGAATAAGGGCAGCAGATGCCTTGTGGCTTCTCTACAGCTTTGCTCTCAGAGACAGTAGGAGCAGGTTGTCTATGAAACATTCAGATGGATTTGCGAGTCCCTGAAGTCATAAAGCTTTCTTATGTTTAGCATCCGCAGATAAACAGAAAGGTGTGCCAGTGAAACAGAACACAGCTGTAAATTCCAGCTCCAGAAACCACTCGGCTACGGTAATTCCCCACCCTGGCCCACCCTGTGCCCTGCTCCTCTCGCTGTGGCCCCCGCCTGCCCTGCGCAGTGCCCTGGTGCTTCCTTACCGCCTGCTTATCACTGTGTGTCTCCCCCACGCTCCTTGGCGGGGTCTCTCTCGTCCCTGCCGATGCCCAGCTCCCTCTTACCTGTGAAGGACTGGCTTTCTTTTCTTCTGAGGTGGGAGTGGTTGTGCCTTAAATGCTATTCTTGTTTGTAATCCTTATCATTGCAATGGTTTTTCTGCAATGCATGTAAATTCTGTATCAATGCAATCTATTTCATAGAGCCTTCTACTCTCTAACTAATGAATGATGTATTGTCGTGTATTGAAATGAAAGTAGAACTTTGACTTTCCTTCTAATGCAGGGAGAGGAAAGAACACTAGGCAAGTCTAATTCTATTAAAATAAAAGGAGAAAATGGAAAAAATGCTAGGGATCCCCGGCTTTCAAAGAGAGAAGAATCTATTGCAAAGATTGGGAAAAAAAAATATCAGAAAATTAATTTGGACGAAGCAGAGGGTATGTGAACTTTTTAAAACTTCCACGTTTTTAGTAAATGCACAGTTAGTTTCCAGTATAGTCAGTAGATCTGCTTTGAGCTGTCAGCATCTGGGTGACTGCGGTCCGTCCCTGTGGCCTGGAAGACATGTTTCTCCCGGGGGCAGTCTGTGGGCTGTTGGGATCACTCCACCGAAACCCCAGTTTTGAGACTGAGTGCCAGGCCTCCTAGGGCATCAGGGGCAGCCGATGTGAGCAGCACTGTCTGCCCTGAGATGCCAGAGGCCCCCGCAGGCTCTGCCTCCCTCTCACCCCAGCTCCTCCCTATGGCCCCACCACTGGCTTGTGCCAGGGTCCCCAGCGTGACTGGAGGCACAGTTAGCATTAGAGAGTCCACCCTAGGCAGAGCTGGGCACCCAGGTGAGGGGAGGTGGAGCACACTGGTCTGGAAGGACCGTGGGCTTGCTGAGCTCTCTTGGCTGCGGGGGTCAGTGAGGAAGGTCAGCCTGCACACCCCTGGCCTCCAGGAGAGACAACAGGCACACTGGAAGACTGAGATGGAGAGATGAGTCCTTTCTTGAAGCTCCTTTTTCTCCAGAAGTTTATAACAAGGAGAAGCATTGAAAACAGAGTCAAAACCAGCAGCTGTCACCGTGACCTGAATTTTCATCCAGGGCGTACTTGCCAGTCCACCTGGCGTGTCACGGCTTTGTCACAGCTGGCTGTGGAGTCTGACCTCACGGTAAAACTAAAACACACCTCCAGCCTTTGTTGGCCACCGAGCACAAGTAAATCACACGCCCTCTTTGAAGCTTGTATGTTTCTGAGAACCAGTGAAGTCAGAGATTTGAGGTTCCTTGTAGTTGTTAAAAACTCCGAGTATAATTCCAATGCTAGAGAAAGCCCAGTTTAGACGCCATCTACCTCGAATGGTGGCCTTGGGGCCTGCTACACTAGAAAACCCAGCCCAGGTAAGAAAAGGAGAGTTCTGGAGGAGCCAGCCAAGAAGCTGGAGGCACCTGCAGGCCCCCACAGTGGCTGGGCAGTGGGAGGCCCAGGGGCACCCGTCCTGGCCCCTCGGGGCTGTGGAGCTTCAGTGCGGAGAGGGAGAGCACGTGTTGCCCCCCTCTGCCCTAGGCCTGGGAGGACCACCCTCTGCCCAGAGGCAGTGACCCCGAGAGGCAGGCGTGGATTTGAGGGTGCCCCTTCCCAGACCACCCGTCTCAGGGCCTTCCTCTACCACCCCTCCTCGGGTTCATTCTGCTCCCGACTTTGAGGACTGCAGCTGCAGCTGGGACCCGGGCGGGTGCTTCAGATGCTGACCAACCGGAGGAGGGGGCCAGTCCTCAGAGGGCCCCAAGTGTTAAATTGAAAGCCCAGGCCAGAGAGTCCCACAGTTTCCTACTCAGACGGCATCAGCGCGTAACCGTGTTGAGTCAAGCGTCTCGTTTGTTCAAGTCTGGACCTCACACAGCGTGGTTTTTAGGGAGTACACAGCTTTTTCAGACTCCTGAAGACAGAGTATGCTAGAAGCCCCAGGGCTGTCCCTTCCGCTGTCTGTGGGAAGATAGTGTGGACGGAAAAGGGCTCTTGTTGACCCACAGCTGATAGGGTGTTAGGACAGCCCAGGATGAGAGCTTTCTAGAATGTTCTGCGGTGACAGTCATTAATGTGAAACTCTCTAAAACACGGTCACTCTGGGTTTTCTTCCAATAGAGTTTTTTGAGCTTATTTCCAAAGCTCAGAGCAACAGAGCAGATGACCAACGTGGGCTGCTAAGGAAGGAAGACCTGGTGTTGCCAGAGTTCCTCCGTTTACCTCCTGGTTCCACAGAACTCACCCTCCCCACTCCAGCTGCTGTGGCCAAGGGCTTTAGCAAGAGAAGCGCCACAGGCAACGGCCGGGAGAGCGCCTCCCAGCCTGGCGAGCAGTGGGAGCCAGTCCAGGAGAGCAGCGACAGCCCGTCCACCAGCCCGGGCTCAGCCTCCAGCCCCCCTGGACCTCCTGGGACGACCCCCCCCGGGCAGAAGTCTCCCAGCGGGCCCTTCTGCACTCCCCAGTCCCCCGTCTCCCTCGCGCAGGAGGGCACCGCCCAGATCTGGAAGAGGCAGTCTCAGGAAGTGGAGGCCGGGGGCATCCAGACGGTGGAGGATGAGCACGTGGCCGAGCTGACCCTGATGGGGGAGGGGGACATCAGCAGCCCCAACAGCACCTTGCTGCCGCCGCCCTCCACCCCCCAGGAAGTGCCAGGACCTTCCAGACCAGGTACCTCCAGGTTCTGATCCCTCCACCTTGGCCCCGTAAGCGTGGTCTGCTCAGCTTCCAGTCAGAAAGGACAGTGGGCCCCCGGCTGCCACTGTTTGCTGGTGGTCTCCGTGACCCCCTCCTCACCTGCTGGTTGGGGGCTTCCTTGGCCCTCTTGGAAAGGAGGGGCTCGTGTGGCCCCAGGCCAGTGTCTGTCAGGATGGTCCCCCCGAGGCGCTCTGGGCAGGCATCCTGGTGTCCTGAGAGGCTCTTGCAGGAATGATACGTGGCAGTGCCTGCAGCGAGGTCTGGGAACACCCTGGGTGAGGCCTGGGGGTTTCCGAAAATGGAGGCATTCCTTTCCAAATCTGGACAGCGATCGTTTTTAGTGTTTCTGTCTCAAGACTGGAAAACAATAGCATTTGTCTTGAGTGAGGAAGTGAAGCCCGCTGTGTTCATAGCAGGAGAGGGCTCCCAGACACAGGCCCGTCCTCGGAAGAGCCTTGAGAGTGCAGCTCGGACCCACCGGCGGCCCCCGTAGCAGGTGGTGTGGGTGCTCGGGAGTGGAGGTGACGTCAGCAGCGCTCTCTGACCGCGGGTGTCACGGGCATTTCTCAAAGGAAGCAGGGGATTCAGTGAGTGTGAAGGTGAACAGGATGGCCTGGCAGCAGGGATGTTTCCGTGAGCCACAAATACCAGAAACTGAGGCGAGGCTCCCAGCAGCCGGTAGGGAAAGGTGTTTCCAGGGGTCCGAGGGCCGTGGCCTGCGTGGCCATCCCCTGGAGAGAGGAGCCGCTCAGGGTGCGCGTCATGGAGTGTGCTCAGGGGTGCGTGGACACCTCTGCTGTGGTTTGCTGCTGGGGGCGATGGGAGCGCCTCTCCGTCCTGTGCCCTGGTCCAGGATGCTGACAGCAGTGAGAGGCCTGCCGTGAGGTTTGGTCTTGTCAGACCTGTAGCCTGGACCTCGCCGGGGGACCAGGGAGTGCACGTCTGTAGATCTGTACATATCTGGGCCTTTGGAGGCCACGTGTGGCATGGGAGGGGCTACCTGGTCCCTTTCACAGCCAGGACACGCCTGGATGAGAAAGCCTGAGGTGCCTGGCATGCCCACCGGTGCCACTCTGCAGCCTCCACCCCTGGCCTGAGTCCCCCTCCATCCGTCTTGGTGGACACCTGTGTGGCTCTCACCTGCGTTTTGAGTCTGTTCTTCCAGGAGTAATAAATTCTGGACATCATCACTGGACTGGCTTACAACTTTTCTTTCTCATTTGAAACTTTGTTTCCACTTTAGAAAATAATAAAAGTATTTTAATCTAGGGGAAATATCACACATTTTTAGGAGATTAAGTGGATTTACCGTAATCTACTGGCTTTTAAAAATATACCATCCACTGAACAAAACTCTTGAGCACCTGGTGTGCTCCCAGCAGCACAGCTGTGCGGCGGGACAGCAGAAGAGCTGGTGGCCCGGTGGCGGGTGCTGAGATGAGCTGGCCTGCTGGCCTTCGGGCTGCAGTCCCGCACCCACACCCCGGCCCTGCAGCCCTGGGGCTGTGGCTGGCTCTGCGCACAGGTGTGGCGTGTGTCAGGCTGCCTGGGAGGGCCAGACAGACCCACGTGGGGGGTCAGTTCTCCTGCCTGCCAAGGGCCATTAGCACAGAGGTGGTTTACAGCGCAGGCCCAGCTGAGCGCCCCGGCTGACATCCCTGACTTGTTTGTGGCAGGAGGGTGGGTGGTACCGGCCTTGGGAGGAGCAGGTCCCCCTGCGCTCTGGTGGCTGCCCCGACTGCCACTGGCCAGAACTGGTTCCCCGCCCCGCTGGCTCCTCAGCCCCTGGGCAGGTGGGTACCCTGGATCCTTGGCTCTTGGGCTGTCTCCTAGGAGGAGACCCAGTGAGTGGGAGAAGGAGGTGGGAGTGGCTTTGGCCATAGGTCGTAGGTGTGTGTCCTCCACGTGCCTGTCCGTGGCGACACAGGACAACTGCTGAGGACCTGCCCAGTCTTCCTGTGATGTTGGCTCAAGCCTGCTGGGGGGCGTTGGGACAGAAACTGCTCTGTGCAGCTTGCTTCTGGAACCCCCACTCTAATGGGATTCTCTGTATTGGAGAGTTCACCTGCCCATGGCGGCAAAGGAAACAGGCTGTGAATGCCGTGGTGGCCTGATGGAACCTCTTTCACATCTGTGGGCCGGGGCGAGCCTGGACTGAGTGCTGACCTGTCCGTTTTCAGGGTTTAGGAGCTTGGGGGTCATCCCGGGTCACGCTCTCCGACGTTGACAGTTGCTGTGGGATGCTTCCTCACAATGTGGCAGCCGCCCTGGACCCAGCGTCCGGGGTGAGAAACACAACAGGAGGTGTAGCCAAGCCCACGGGCTCCCGCCCTCCCCATTGCCATGGTGGGCAGCATGCCGGCTACGCGTGGGGGCTGCCAGCAACAGCCTTGAGGTAGGGGGAGTCTCCACAGAGCTGTGCCACACCACTTTGCCCTTCCAGCCTCAGTGCCATGCACTGTGCCACCCTGTCCTAGCCCCAGTGCCACATGCCACACCACCCCATCCTAGCCCCAGCACCACGTGCCATGCCACCCTGTCCTAGCCCCAATGCCACATGCCACACCACCCCATCCTAGCCCCAGCACCACGTGCCATGCCACCCTGTCCTAGCCCCAGTGCCACATGCCACACCACCCCATCCTAGCCCCAGCACCACGTGCCATGCCACCCTGTTCCAGCCCCTGCGCCACGTGGTGCTCCACCACGCCCTTCTAGCCTCAGCGTCATGCACCGCACCGCCCCATGCTTCTAGCCCCAGCGCCACACGCCACGCGGCACTCCACCCCGTCTGTCTAGCCCCAGCACCACGCACCGAGACCGAGACCATGCACCATGCAGGCTGGCCGGTGCCCCCATGCATGTCTGGTCCCGGGAGGCATGTGGGTGGGTCTCCTTTCCCTTTGGCCACTTGCTGCCAGGCCACCCAGTCTAATGGCCCTGAGCCTTAGCTGTCTGACACACACAACAGAGGCCTCAAGCGGGAGAAGTGTCAGGCCCCTCGTGAGGCTCCAGGGCACGCTGGCAGAGGTGTGCATGTGTCCACACAGTGCTGTGTGTATGAGGCCGTTCTCATGTTGCTATGAAGAAATACCCAAGACTAGGTAATTTATAAAGAAAAGAGGTGTAATTGACCCACAGTTCTGCATGGCTGGGGAAGCCTCAGGAAACTTACAGTCATGGCAGAAGGCACCTCTTCACAGGGCAGCAGGAGAGAGTACGAGAACCGGCAGAGGAAATGCCAGACGCTTATAAAACCATCAGCTCTCCTGAGACTCACTATCATGAGAACAGCATGGGGGGACCTGCCCCCATGATCCAGTCACCTCTACCTGGTCCCACCCTTGATACCGGGGGATTATCACAATTCACGGTGAGGTTTGGGTGGGGACACGGAGCCAAACCATATCAGTGTGTCAGGCAGATATACCCATGTGCGTGCATGCCTGGTGTGTGTTCGTGTGGCATGTGTCGGTGTGTGCACCTGCCATGTGTCTGCATGGCACGTTTTGTGCATATCTGTGTCTCGACACAGGGACCCTCCAAAATGCTCACCTTCTGTTCTCGTGGGGAGGGAGCAGCTGTCCCTCCAGCACTGCTGTGTCCCGCCTTTAGCAGTCATCTTCCACCCCTGCACAGAAGCAGACGTCTGCGCTTTGTGTTTTCACAAAGGAGAGAGGCATTCAAAAGGTCGCGTGCACCCACACCCGAGTTTCCAATGCACAGTGCTCCTTCTGTACGCGCCATCTTAAAACGGGTTCTTACGGTTGTGTTGGTAATAATTCCCAATTGCTTTCTTAACCAGATCTGCTTCGTTTCCAACAAAAAGCCCGGGAGCTGGGTGGTCTCACTGCTGCCCTGCTGGCTGCAAGGCGACAGTCAGGGGTCCTGGCTGGGGGCTGGAGGCCAGTGGCTCCTCCCAGCCCCTTTGGTAAGGCTGAGTACCCAGCCCCATGGCCTGACTGAGCTCCTGGTGCAGACATCCCAAGAGGATGGACTCCACCTGCCGGCAGGGAGATGCTAGGCACCACCCCAGGAGGGGTCCCCGCATAGCTCTCCTGGGGCTGGGGTCCCCTGGGGCAGCTCACTGGGCGGGCTCAGGGGTCACTCAACCTGGAGGCCCCAGTGTCACAGCTGCCAGTATCCCCTAGGAACACTTTTGGGCCCAGTGGCTGCCCTCAGGGCCCCCGGAGCTCAGCTACCTGCCAGATGTGCGATGTTTGCCTGCCGGGGCTTCTGCAGCCTGGAAGTGAGGTCACGCCCCTCACCCTGGGGGTGAAAGTACCCCCCATGGCATGGCCATTGTGTTGTACCGGGTGAGGATGCAGCCCCACCTGGCTCCTGCTCTGTCCAAGAGAGGCCTCCTCGGCAGCTCCCGTGCCCCGCCCTCCGCAGGAGCAGATGCAGCTTAGACCCCCTCACTCTGATGTGGATTGAGACCGCTGGTTTTCTTGGGGACACAGCCCCAGGAGCCTGCCACTGGTCTCAGGCCTGCAAAGCTGCTGAGGGCATCTGCTAGGTGCCTCTCCAAAGCCCCCTCTCCCCAGAGCCCCCTCTCCCTAGAGCCCCCTCTCTCCAGAGCCCCGTCTCCCCAGAGCCCTGTCTCCCCCCAGCATCTCCTGGCTCCTGCCCAGCTCCGTGGCTCCCCAGGGGATTCCTGAACTGACCAGCTGGCCTCGGCCCTCCTCCACAGCCCCCAGCCTGGTTGTGACACGTGGTCCTCCCGGATCCCACCAGAAGCCACCCTAGGTTGCTCCCCCTCCTCCCCTGAAGTGTCTGCCTTCCACCTGAAGTTCCAGCCAGGTCTTGCAGAGTGGAAGTCTCAGGCCTGCAAGTGACTGTGACCTGGCCTACCCCCATGTTCCCTCCAGGACTGGCCACCTGTGCCCATCTCAGCCCGCACTGCTGGAGCTCCGGCTTGAAGCCCCTCCCTGGGGTCTGCCACATGCACTCCTGTGCCCTCAGTCACCCCCACTCCCCTATTCCCCACTCCCCTATTCCCCACTCACCACACTGTGCACCCTGCTGGGCGCTGTCCACTCCCTCGCCAATGCCCAGCAAATATTTGAGGAGCTCTATCCCAGCCCCAGCCCATCACACACAGTCATGATCCTGGCTGGGGACCCACACGGACAGGGGGACCTTGGGGGGGTCACACTCTGGAACTAAGGTTCTGGGGGTGCTCTCGTTCCCATGGGGGCCCATCAGCAGGAGTGCACAGGCCTTAGCAGGAGCCCGTGGGGTGCGCTGTGGTGGGAAGGCTGGGAAGGGAAGGGGCCTTGGGAGCCACAGTGGATTGTAGGGTCCCCGCCTCTGGCTCCCCTCGCTCCCCCCTTCCTGCCGTGTTCTCAGTGTGAGCCGGCTCAGCCTTGCCTGGGTGTCCTTGTGCCCTGCGAGCTTCCAAGGGGCGCTGGGGAGGCTTCACAGAGGAGGTGGCTGCGCTTGGCAGCACAGATGATGTGGAGCATGGAGGCAGAGGCTGAGCAAAGTGCCTGGGGGACGGGGTCCCTCGGGGGGCAGGAAGGGCGGGCAGTGGGAGAGGTGCCAGGCCTGGGTCTCGAAGGAGAGCCTGGGAGAGTTCAGGCCATGCCCCTGCCCCGGCCAGGCCAGTGCAGCCCCTGCTCCCGCTGTGCCTGCCAGGGTTCCTGACTCAGCTTTGAGGACCAGGGTGGGGCGGGGTCCTGCCCCAGGCCTAGGCCAGAGCAGCTGGCAGTGGCTGGCACAGAGACATTCATGGACAAGTGTCTGGGAGGCCTGGGGGCGACCGGCAGCCGGTGAGGGGCCTGCGCATGTGGAAAGAGGGGCCTTCCTGCTGCATCTTGTGGGGCCTCCAGCAGGACCCCCTCCTGGGAAGGCTGGACAGCACAGTCGGAGCCGGCAGGACCAGCCAGCCGAGGGCAGGGAGCCGTGGGGCGCCGGGGAGAGGTTCACAGGTGGCCCAAGCGGCAGGGAACAAGATCCCAGTGTGGCCTCAGGTCTGGATGTTTGGAGATGTGGCACCAGGAGTGAGACCAGGAGGCCAGGCCCCTCTGGAGGTGGTGCAGGCTCTGCTGGGTCCTCTGTGTTGCCATCCCTGCCAGGGAAATGCTGGGCAAGAAGGTGCTCCCCGGGCAGGCCCTGGCATGTAGGTGGTGAGGCAGCGTGCTGCTCAGGGCGGGGCCAGGCAGCTGAGTCACAGGCCTGGGGCTGGCTGCCCTGCACAGGAGGGCGAGGCTGGCTCCCGTAGGCAGGAAGGGCCTGGCTGTGGCCCCCTCCTTGTGATGTGGACATCCTTGGTCCATACAGAGCTGTCCTGTCTCCAGAAACAAGTGTTTCTCCATCCTGAGCACACTAGCTTCCTGGGGCCCTCAGGGGCCTGTCCTCCCATCTGTCCATGTGGGGCTGGCGGGGTAGAGCCGGGCTTCTGGACATGTGTGGTGTTGCAGGCCCCTTCAGAGCCCTATGAACACTCCAGGCAAATGCCCAAATGCCCACGGTATTGACCGGCGAGAGGGGGCAAACCCCTGCCTCTCCCCACACGATATCTCCCAGCCCTGCAGCCTGGCATCTGGAGCCATGCGGACCTGGTGACAAGAAGGAGATGGGCAGAACTGTCCCCTTGTCCCCTGGGGGCAGGGCTAGCTCCTAGCCCTGGCAGAACCTAGTAGGACACTTGTTGAATGAGCAGAGGCCTGACTGGGAGAAGTTTCTAGTCTCAGCTGCTCCACATGGACCCCTGGGCCTCCAGATGGCATCTCCACCGGGCCTGGCTGAGTAAGACACACAGGCCCCACACAGCTCCCACATGCTGGCTGGGCTGCTGCGTCGAGGCCAGGATGAGGGCCTCTGGGGCCACTGCTGGGACCTGTTCAAGAGAACGGGCTGGGCACGCTCAAGAGGGGAGTCACACCTTCCGCCCGCAGCCCGGACTTGTTCACAGATGCCTCATGGAGGCTGCTTCCGGAAGCTTGGACTGAGGGTGAGGAGGGGCACGCTGGGATTGGGGACCTTGGTGGCCACGGAGCCGCTGGGGCAGCAAGGACCCTGCGGCCATTTCAGGGACCTCAGAACTGTAGATCGAGGAGGGTCTTCACCTTCCCAGGCCTTCGATTCACCTGTGGAGGGCAGCAGTTGGTAGCAGGGACCCCCTGTCCCTGGTTCTCATGTGCCGGGGGCTGGCTCTTCCTGCCTCCTGTCTGCTGTGGGCCCAGGCCTGGGGCTCCTGCCACCCCATAGGCGCCTCAAGGCCTCCACCCTGGCATGGACATGACTGTCTCAGGGCCTCAGCCCCAGGCTCACTGAGGAAGGGAGCTCCTGGACCCCTGCCTAGGAGACACGCTAGGTACGCAGGAACCTGCCCCCGAAGCCTGCTCCTCTGGGTCGGCAACGTCACCCCCACCGCACAGATGGGGGGGTGGGGTCACTGGGCGGGTCGGCAACGTCACCCCCACCGTACAGATGGGGGGGTGGGGTCAGTGGGCGGGAAGGGCTGGGCTCTCCCAGCACGGGGGCTTCACTGCCCCTTCCCAGGCCCTGGGGTCCTGCCATGGAGCTCCGGGCGGCACATGAACCCAGCCATTCTGCGTGCACCGTTCACTTTCCTTGGCCCCAGCCTTCGTTGGCCCCTGGGGACTCCACCCTGGCATAGACACAACTGTGTCTTCCAGGGGTCCACGTGGAGGTCACCAGATGTGGCAGGGCAGTGACGCCCTGGGTAGGGAGGCCTCCCGGGGGTGCTGGCAAGGAGATGGCCTGCCCATGTTGGGTCTAGAAGCTTCCAAGGCCGGTTCAGGCAGCCGGGATCTCCTGGGGCTGGAGTGGGCATTGGAGCCAGAAGTGGGGCAAGAGTCACTGACCAGCCGGAAAGAGGGGCCTCAGTAGGGGGGCCAGGGATGGAGGGGGAGGGGACACGACCGGGAGGCCCAGAGCAGGGTGTGTACGGTGAAGACGGTGCTGAGGCAGCGAGGCAGGTGGGCGAGCAGGTGGCCAGCCTGGCAGGGTGGGATGGGGCAGCAGACACAGGGCTCAGGGCCCGTTCCACCAGGCCAAGAGGGTCCAGCCTATCTGGAACTGAACCCTAGTGCTCAGCCCCCTGGGGGTGGCCCTTGAGGATGGGCCCTGGGCCTGGGGGGGCCCCTGAGGACGCCCCCAGGAGGAATTAGGGGGGCAGTTGGGGCGGGGGCTCTGCCGGGGGCCCAGCTCTGTTCCTGAGCTGCAGTGGGGAAGCAGGGTGGTAGGGTTTCTGAGTGGGTCGGCTCCCCCACTTGGTGGCAGGTGTTATGTGGAGGGCTCTGGGAACACTGCACCTCCCCTGGGCGTACCTGCCCCAGCCTGGAGGCCCACAGCGGGACGCCAGCTGCCTCTGGGATGTGTTTGGGATATTTCAGGGACCCCTACCATGCTGTCTGTGCAGGGGCCTTCGGGGTAGGGGGTGGGTTCCGGGGGCCCAGGGCCGGGCCAGGCAAGTGACAGCTTCTCTTCTCCTTGTGACAGGAAGTGGGACCCATGGCAGCCGAGACCTCCCAGTCAACAGAATCATCGATGTGGATCTTGTAACTGGCTCGGCGCCCGGGCGGGATGGTGGCATAGCGGGGGCACAGGCTGGCCCTGGGAGGTCGCAGGCCAGTGGTGGGCCTCCTACATCAGACCTCCCTGGCTTGGGCCCCGTCCCGGGTGAGCCTGCTAAGCCCAAGACCAGCGCTCACCACGCCACCTTCGTCTGAGCTGCCCTGGCCTGGCCAACTCTCCTGTGGACATGTCGGGGTGGGGCAGCCCAGGTGGATTCTGTGGGCCTCAGGGGGGCCACCCTGGCCACCACACCCTCAGGAGCCCAGCCAGGAGGGCAGGGGGTGACCTCGCTGGAGGCACTGGCCCCGGACATTCGCCATGCTGGCCATGGGGCTCCCTGGCCCTGGCCTCCTGCTGCCCAATAAAGCATTTCTGAGGACCCAAGCGTCGGCCTGGTGCTGGGTGCTGGGGACACAGACTCCTCGTTCTCGGGGACTCCGAGCACATCCCCAGGAGGTCATGCAGGAAACAGAGGGGCCTGAGGAGGAGAAGTGCCCCAGGGTAAGGTCAAGGGGGCTTTGAGGAGAGGGAAGCTTGGCTCCTGGGGCCTGAGGGCCAGGACCAGATGGCAGAGACTGGCTCTCGCCGTCACGTGGGGACCCTGCCCCAGCCTTGTTTAGCAGGGTGGTCTGAGGGCCTTTCTGGGGAGGGACCATGTAAACTGCAACTGGACGGCAGAGGAAGTCTAGAAAGAGCCCTGGGCCTGTGCCAAGGCCCTGGGGCTAAGGAGGGTCTGATTACAGAAAGGGAACCAGGTGTGGCTGCAGGGGAGGCCGGGGCCTTGGGGGCTGGGTTGAGTCGGAAGAGGCAGGGCCATTCCCCAGGTTGCCTTGATGGAACCCCTAAAGCCAAGTACCCTCGGTACAGGGTGGTTGGTGAGCTCCTCAGACCATCCTAGAGGCCCGAGAGCACAGCCAGTCCCCTGGGGCTGTTCTAGAAGCTTCCAGGGAGTGGATGCACCCCACTTAGTGGTGCTCTAGGAAGGGGGCTGGGGGAGGGGTCGGAATGGAAGATGAAGCCCAGTGCCAGCTGTGTGTACCACCCACCACAAGCCCGCATCCATCCTGCTCCCAGCACCCACCATGCCTCCACATTCACCGTGCCCCCAGGGCCCACCATGACCTCCCCCCCAACCCCCAACCCCCCATTCACCGTGCCCCCAGCACCCACCATGCCTCCACATTCACCGTGCCCCCAGGGCCCACCATGACCTCCCCCCCAACCCCCAACCCCCCATTCACCGTGCCCCAGGGCCCACCATGACCTCCCCCCCAACCCCCAACCCCCCATTCACCGTGCCCCCAGGGCCCACCACGCCTCCATGTGCACTGTGCCCCCTGGGGCCCACGGTGTCAAGCTGGGTGGTCAGTGGGTGTCCATTCTCTCTCCCTCTGCACAGACAGGCAAATGGGGGGCAGAGAGAGGGGTTTTAGGGGATACAGGGAGGCAGCTTCAGCCCTCGCTGGTCTCCAGGCCACAGTGGTTCACTCACCCCTCCTCCCACCTCGGCAGCCCTGGGATGTCGCTGCTGACTCAGGAGGAACCCGAGGTGCCGTAGCGGCTGCTCCAATATTGCAGAAGAGGTTCCTCAGGCAGCTCTGCCCACAGCCCCAAGTCACGAATTCCGTGACTCCAGCTCCATCCCAGGCCCCAGGGTACCTGGCCCAGGGTTGTGCTGCCGCAGACTTGGCCTGTACCATCCAGGCGGCGGTGGGGAGCTGGGGTTGGAAAGGCTTCTTGGAGTGGACTCCTGGGTCTGTCTGGGAGACGGGGAGGAAGGGACACTCTGAACATCACCAGGGGCTGCTGGGGGGCCCTGGCCACCCCCAGAGTCAGAACAGGCAGGTGGGGCAGGATCTCAGGTCATCCTATGCTACACTCAGCCATTGCGTGGCCCCTCTCCTCCCTGTGCCTGGCCTTTTGGCCAGCCCTGGGGCCACCGAGAGGATGCAGCACCGAACCCTCCAGGAGCCCCCAGTGCTGCCGTCTGTGGGACAGGGACAATCCCATCCCCACTGCTACTGTCTGTGCTGTGCTGGGCACAGAGCTGGACACCTCCAAGGCCCAGCGCCCGTAGTGGCTCTCATCATGGACAATTCACAGGCAGATGGTGGCCAGCTCTGTGGCCTGCAGGGACTGGGAGCGGCGCCAGACCATCTAGGCCCCAACCTATCTGCATTATCCTGGAAGACTTCCTGGAGGAGGCTTCTAAGCTGAGGCCCAAGGACCATGTCAGGTCTAGGACTAGGACCAGTGCAGGCCGAGGCCAGAGAGACAGCTGGGCTTCCAGGTAGGGTCAAAGTGAGGTGGGCAGCAGGTGTGGGGGCCAGGGGACTCGGGGACTTCCTCTCCGGCTGGGCCCGCCTGACGTGGGAGGCAGCCAGGGTTAATCATTTCCACGAAGCCTTGACCCCACCTGCCTTGGCCGCTCTGCTCCCGCCTC
Organism: Homo sapiens; assembly: GCF_000001405.40. Lineage (NCBI taxonomy): Eukaryota > Metazoa > Chordata > Mammalia > Primates > Hominidae > Homo > Homo sapiens. Next base: position 3,441,973 of record NC_000004.12, read on the forward strand.
CCACTGCCCCTCAGGCCAGCTCAGGAGCCATGGGGCGCTGGGCCTGGGTCCCCAGCCCCTGGCCCCCACCGGGGCTGGGCCCCTTCCTCCTCCTCCTCCTGCTGCTGCTGCTGCTGCCACGGGGGTTCCAGCCCCAGCCTGGCGGGGTGAGCACTGACCTTGTCGCAGTGCGACCAGAGGTTCCCAGTGGCTACTTGGGGTCCTTGGGAGGAGGCCAGAGGGAGGGTCGCCACAGAGCGTGGGGATTTGAGGGGGCGGGGGTCCGAGCAGGGGGCTTACGTTGAAAGCTGGCCCTCACAGGGCAGGTGGGTGCTGGACTGGCCTTGGAGGCTGGGGCCTGGGCTCACGGAGCCCCACCTGGGGGCTGTCATCCCTGTGCGGCCTGGCCTGGGCCCCTATGGGTCTGGGGGCTGCCCCCTCTCTCTGGACCTCTGTTGGGTCTGGATGCGTGAGGTTGGGGGAACCTCCCAGGGCCTCCTAGCTGCTCCCATCACCAAAAACTGACGTCAGGGTTTAAGCTTGGTGGGTAGCAGTGCCTGGGCCTGGGCAGTGACCCTGAGCAGGTGTTAACTAGGGGCCGAGGGCGGGGAAGGTGTCAGGGCCTGGCTGAGGCCTCAGGAATGTCGTGTGTCCTCCTGGAACCTGCTCCGAGATCTGGGGGCCCCAGTATGGAAACAGGCTCAGGGCTGTGACCTCCTGCCCGGCAGGACCTGAGTGTGAGGGTCTGTCCCACACTGACACCCTTTCTGCTCCTCCTAGAACCGTACGGAGTCCCCAGAACCTAATGCCACAGCGACCCCTGCGATCCCCACTATCCTGGTGACCTCTGTGACCTCTGAGACCCCAGCAACAAGTGCTCCAGAGGCAGAGGGACCCCAAAGTGGGGGGCTCCCGCCCCCGCCCAGGGCAGTTCCCTCGAGCAGTAGCCCCCAGGCCCAAGGTGGGTCAGGTGGGCCTGGGAGGAGGTGTCGTGCTTCACCTTAGGGCTGGGTGGGAGGAGCATGGCTGCGGCTGGAGGTCCTGAGGGGCTCGGGTGCCCCTCGAGGGAGCCCTGACCCTGCCACCCCCTCCCCACAGCACTCACCGAGGACGGGAGGCCCTGCAGGTTCCCCTTCCGCTACGGGGGCCGCATGCTGCATGCCTGCACTTCGGAGGGCAGTGCACACAGGAAGTGGTGGGTCCGGGCAGCCGGGGCACCCGAGCTGGGGTCACCTGCCCCACGCTGCCTGCTTTTCTGGGAGCCGGGCACACAGTAGGCGCTCACCACGCAGCAGGCGGACCCAGTGAACCCAGAGACCCTCCAGGGTGGTGGGGTGGGGTGGGGGGCCTCTGCCTGGGACCCCCATGCACGCAGGTGTCGCCCCCCAGGTGTGCCACAACTCACAACTACGACCGGGACAGGGCCTGGGGCTACTGTGTGGAGGCCACCCCGCCTCCAGGGGGCCCAGGTGGGTGCTGGGTTGGGTAGCCTGGGGCGGGCAGGGGGCACTGGGCCAGGCCAGAAGGGCCAAGGGGAGGATGGGGCGGACCCGGGCAGGGGTCCTGGCTGGAGGGGAGCAGAAGAGGAGCTCTGGGATTAACCCCGGTGGGTGCCACTTAGGGCCAGAGCCTCTCCCAGGTGGGACCTGCGTCTCATGGTGGCTGCGCGGCCATCGCTGGGGCCAAGGCGCCGCCTGGTGGTGAGGCCGGGCCCTGCAGCCACACAGGCGTGCCCCAGGCAGGGGACAGGTGGGCAGGGTCTGTGGGGTGCGGTGCCAGCCGCCCTGCTCACATGGGTCCTGGGACACATGGGAGGGGTCTGCTGCCTGACAGTGTGGGTGTCAGGCTTCCAGGAAGCCACGTGCACAGCTGGGCCAGTGGCCCAGGTGTTGAGTGGGGGACGCTGGGAGGAAGGGGAGGTCTGTGCCCCTCCCAGGGACCTTGCACCCCGAGGGGCGTAGAGAGGGCCCCTTTGCTCTCAGAGCCCCTCACTGGGGCCTGATGGACGCCTTAGCAAGCAGAGAATGTCACAGAGGGACCCTGAGCCTCCCAGTCCGCCCCTCACACCCCCTCCCGCATGTCCCCAGCTGCCCTGGATCCCTGTGCCTCCGGCCCCTGCCTCAATGGAGGCTCCTGCTCCAATACCCAGGACCCCCAGTCCTATCACTGCAGCTGCCCCCGGGCCTTCACCGGCAAGGACTGCGGCACAGGTGAGCTGGGCCTCGGAGGTCCGCAGGGGTCCAGGGGCCGGAGCAAGTCCCCGGAGGATGGGAGAACAGGTGGCTCCCGAGTGCAGGGCAGGGGCCCTGCACGGGGACAGCAGGTGGCAGGGTGTGAGGGCTTACTGTGCACCCCTCAGAGAAATGCTTTGATGAGACCCGCTACGAGTACCTGGAGGGGGGCGACCGCTGGGCCCGCGTGCGCCAGGGCCACGTGGAACAGTGCGAGTGCTTCGGGGGCCGGACCTGGTGCGAAGGCACCCGACATACAGGTGCGCCACGGGGTGTGAGCCGTGCCACTGACCCCTGACGGGTGTCCCTGTCCACACCCGAGTGGGAGGAATGGCCTGAGGTCACCCAGAAACAAGGGACAAGGGGTGGACCCCGGCCCCGACTCCGCTGTCGTGGGGCACTGCGCGGCCCCTGGCCCAGCTCCTCGGCCCTGCCCCCAGCTTGTCTGAGCAGCCCTTGCCTGAACGGGGGCACCTGCCACCTGATCGTGGCCACCGGGACCACCGTGTGTGCCTGCCCACCAGGCTTCGCTGGACGGCTCTGCAACATCGGTGAGTGGGTCAGCCCCCCGGGGTGCCCTGGGGCAGTGCCGGGTGGACCCACCGTGGGCCGGCCTCACTGCCCCTCTGCCCGCAGAGCCTGATGAGCGCTGCTTCTTGGGGAACGGCACTGGGTACCGTGGCGTGGCCAGCACCTCAGCCTCGGGCCTCAGCTGCCTGGCCTGGAACTCCGATCTGCTCTACCAGGAGCTGCACGTGGACTCCGTGGGCGCCGCGGCCCTGCTGGGCCTGGGCCCCCATGCCTACTGCCGGTCAGCACCACGCCGCTCCAGGCCGCCGCATGCGGGGCAGGCAGGATTTGTCCTGGGGAGAGGCCCCCCGGCTCCCTAGGACCCAGGCGGGGCCAGCTCCGTCCAGACAGGCCCCGGAACCTCTGCCTGGGAGGCTGCCCGAGGGAGGGCCACTCTCTTCCCACTGCTCCAGGTGCGGGGAACCGCCCTGCTGGGGGTTCCGATGCCCCCTCCCCATGCCCTCTTCGAGGGGCAGTGTGACTCCCTGCCAGCCCCCACTTATGCACCGCAGGAATCCGGACAATGACGAGAGGCCCTGGTGCTACGTGGTGAAGGACAGCGCGCTCTCCTGGGAGTACTGCCGCCTGGAGGCCTGCGGTGCGCGGCTGGCGGGGGGTGCTGCCTTGGGCCCCACCGAGGTCACAGCAGTTTTCCCCGTGATCCTCCTAGCCCCTCCGCACACCTGGCTACTGCATCTCTGACAAATGGGGAAACTGGAGCTCACGGGATCAGGCTGGTCCAAGGTCACGCAGTGGGTCGGTACTGGGGTCACAGTGGGGAAGCAGCCCGCTGCAGGGGGCTGGTCACCAGGCGACGGCCTCGGGGTGGCACCTGCCCAGCCTGGACCATGCCCAGGATGGCCGCAGAAGCCTTTCAGGGAGGTGCAGGGAGGGCAGCGTGCAGGCCCCCCAGAGGCCACCTGCTTCCTGCCCTGGGGAGAGGCCCCCCGGCTCCCTAGGACCCCGGCGGGGCCAGCCCGGGGCTCTCATGTGGGGGTCTCTGACTGTGCTGGGGCTGGCTGTGGGGTTCCGGGCTGCTGAGGGGGCCACAAAGGCCTCCGTGTGTCCAGCCCCTCTGGCCCTCACAGAGCCTCGGGATCGGGCATCAAACCCCATTCTACAGATTTGGAAACTGAGGGCAGAGGTGAGTGGGCGCCAGGGCCTGAGCAGCGTGGACAGGGGGTCCGGCCATGGCCCTCTGCAGCGCCTCCTGCCGGGTAGGGCCTGTGTGTGGAAGGGGGCTGGCCCTGTGAACCCCAGGGGTGTGACCCGGTGACCTTTGCTCCCAGAATCCCTCACCAGAGTCCAACTGTCACCGGATCTCCTGGCGACCCTGCCTGAGCCAGCCTCCCCGGGGCGCCAGGCCTGCGGCAGGAGGCACAAGAAGAGGACGTTCCTGCGGCCACGTATCATCGGCGGCTCCTCCTCGCTGCCCGGCTCGCACCCCTGGCTGGCCGCCATCTACATCGGGGACAGCTTCTGCGCCGGGAGCCTGGTCCACACCTGCTGGGTGGTGTCGGCCGCCCACTGCTTCTCCCACAGGTGCACCTCCTCTGGGCCCCAGTCACCTGCCCTGAGGCCCCACACACCATCCAGCGTCACTATGCGCCTGTCCCCACCCGCTTGCGGACCCCATCCCGGTGCCTCTGCTGACCCCTTCCCGGGGTCCCCGGTAACCCTCTCTGACCCCTCTGGGTCTTGGGGCTCAGTCCTGAGCTGGGCATGCATGGACACTCCAGAAACCCTGTCCCTATTGAGGGAGGCCAGGGGTCAGTGGCATTTCCACAGAGGACCCAGCGCCTGCGGAGAGTGCAGTGGGCCAGGTCCTGTCCTCCCCGCAGGCCCCGCCCCTCCCAGAGTCCTGGCTCTCAGTAGGGAGCCAGGGAGCGCAGTGACAATGCGTCAGAGCCCTAGGAGCCCAAGCACAGCCAGGGAAACTGAGGCCCAGCCCACTCAGCCGGCTCCCCTCAGTGGGGGCGCACAGCCACCCAGGCCCACACTCTGGGAGGCGGGCCTCGAGTGGGGAGACCCTGAGACGGAGCAGCCTGGGCCAGACGCCCTTCCACCTTCGATGGGCACCCCAGTGATTAGGGGCAGGGGTCCGGCCAGCCGAGGGTCTGGCGGCCTTTCGAGGACCACAGCTCCCAGGGTGGGGTCCTGCGTGGCCCTGCAGAACCTGCAGCCGGCGGCTCCTGGGCCTGCAAATGGGGCCAGAGCCTTCCTCAGTGTGGAGAAATGGGGTTCCCCACATGGAGCCCAGGGCAGGAGGCCGAGGCAGGGTGGAGCGACCTCCACACAGCAGATGGGAGCCAGGCTCAGGGGCCCAGGCTCTGTGCCCAGCAGGAGTGAGGGCTGCATCTGGGGACCCCACAATGTGGATGGAAGCTGGGGCAGGGCCTGAGCAGGCCAGGTCTCCACCCACTCGGGTCGGCCTTGCAGCCGATCCTGCCTGGGCTTGGCCTGAGACTCCCCCCAGGGCTTGTGACCAGTGTTGTCAGGAGGGATGGCACCGCACTTCAGCTCCCATGCCTGGATCTGGGGGTGACTGGCAATAGCCCCTGCTTGGTGGTCCCTGTCTCCCCAGTATCAACAGCCCACACCCAGGCACCTGCTCAGACCCCTCCCCGGGACCAGGGTCCCACACCATTGGCCTCCGTGGGCCTGACAGGGGGTGGGGAGAGGTGAGCCCGGTGGCTGGGGGAGGGCTGGTCCATGCAGCCTCCAGCCCCCCTTGCACAGCCCCCCCAGGGACAGCGTCTCCGTGGTGCTGGGCCAGCACTTCTTCAACCGCACGACGGACGTGACGCAGACCTTCGGCATCGAGAAGTACATCCCGTACACCCTGTACTCGGTGTTCAACCCCAGCGACCACGACCTCGGTGAGCTCCGGCGTGTCGTGGCTGCACTCTGGGCAGGTGGGCCCTGTGCTCCCCAGGCCAGGCCCAGACAGGGGCAGGAGCTGGGCAGACATGTGGTGCGGGGGAAGCTGGGGGCAGGGCAGGGAGGACAGGGCACCGCTCCCTTCTGGATCTCCCAGGCTGCCCTGTGGACCCCACTGGCTACCCTCCCTCCACCACGGGCCCCGACAGCCTCCCGTTCAGCCCGCACACCACAGGCTGACCCTGGCCACTCTTCTGATCAGTCCTGATCCGGCTGAAGAAGAAAGGGGACCGCTGTGCCACACGCTCGCAGTTCGTGCAGCCCATCTGCCTGCCCGAGCCCGGCAGCACCTTCCCCGCAGGACACAAGTGCCAGATTGCGGGCTGGGGCCACTTGGATGAGAGTGAGTTGGGAGGGGGGCGCCCAGCGCCCCGCCAGGGTGGACAGTGGCCAGCCACAGTGTGGGTGTCACGCTGAGGGCATTGTGTCCCACAGACGTGAGCGGCTACTCCAGCTCCCTGCGGGAGGCCCTGGTCCCCCTGGTCGCCGACCACAAGTGCAGCAGCCCTGAGGTCTACGGCGCCGACATCAGCCCCAACATGCTCTGTGCCGGCTACTTCGACTGCAAGTCCGACGCCTGCCAGGTGAGCTGGTGCCCGCCCCACCAGGACCCGACTGGTGGGGGCTCAGCTGGTCCTGAGTCTCCGAGATGCTTGCCCCTGGGGAGCCCAGAGCCTGGCGGCACCCCAACCTGGCAGGGCCAGCCAGGGACCCCTGGGCAGGGAGCACACTTACTGTCGGTGGCCAGCACCCCAGGGCCACCCAGAGCCCTGCCGGAAGGGCATCCTCCTCACACAGAAGGGGAGACCCAGGCTCTGAGAGGGGCCTGGGGTCCCACAGAGCCCGGACAGTTCCTGGCTGTCCAGCCCAAGGCAGTGCTTTCCGTGTGACACTAGGCACCAAAGGCCCCTTTGCCCCGAGTTCTCTCAAGCCAGCTCTTCAACCTTCAATAAGTTCTTCAACCTTCAATAAGCCCAACAGCCCAACCACGTCCTGGGCTCTGCAGGCCTGTGTGCTCAGGCGGCACGGCAACCCTGGCATGCGACGGCTCTCTTATGCCCCATTTTATAGCTGGGGAGACTGAGCCCCAGGCAGTCAATTCACTCTTCCAAGGCCACAAAGCCCAGGAGTGGTAGAGTGGGTAGGGCTTGTCACTGGACCTCGATAAGGGAAGTCAGGATGGTTTCCTGGAGGAGGGAGTGTTTGCACTGGTCCTGAGTGATGCGTAGGAGTTTTCCAGGGAGTGAAGAAGTCATTTCAGGAGGTGCTGGGACACAGGGTGGCTGTGTGGTCCACACAGGGTTCATGCTGGTGGGGAGAGGGGGACCGTGGCTTCAGGAAGGGGAATAACGTGGTTGGATGCCCTGGCCCAGCCAGTGCTGCCCCCAGGGAATGAGACACCTTTTCATGAGGTTCAGGAGAGTGGATCAGCTCCCTTGCTCAGAAATGCCTTTGTCCTCTGTCCCCAAGCTGCCACTTGGGGGAGAGGGGGGTCCCTGAACCAGGCCCCTGGGAGGGTGGCTCTGACCAACGTCTCTGCCCAGGGGGACTCAGGGGGGCCCCTGGCCTGCGAGAAGAACGGCGTGGCTTACCTCTACGGCATCATCAGCTGGGGTGACGGCTGCGGGCGGCTCCACAAGCCGGGGGTCTACACCCGCGTGGCCAACTATGTGGACTGGATCAACGACCGGATACGGCCTCCCAGGCGGCTTGTGGCTCCCTCCTGACCCTCCAGCGGGACACCCTGGTTCCCACCATTCCCTGCCTTGCTGACAATAAAGATATTTCCAAGAACCCGGCCCACGCTGCCTGGCCCCTGCCTGCGGCCCCGCCTTCCCCTCCAGGCCATGACTGGGGCCCAGGTCTATGCGCAGCAGGCCTCAGGCTGCCGTTCTGGAGCGCACACAGTCCTCAGTGGAGACGGAGCCTGTGGCCCCACAGCGGGGTCTGGCCCCACGGCCCAGAGAGTTGTCAGGGGATGAGGTCTGGGCCTCTCCAGGCCCCAGCAGAGTCCAGCCCCCTCCCAGGCCAGCCCCAGGCCGGGGCTCAGCACCTGGGTTGTCCCAGGGCAGGAAGTGGAAACCAAGTCCAGGCCCCCAGGCGTGGAGGGGTCCGATCCGCGTGGTGCACGGAGTATTGAACCTGAAGAAGAAAGAGCGGCCCCACGGGAACACCCGCAGGCCGTCGTTGGTCTTCCAGATGGCAGCCCGCCTGCCTGAGCCTGGGCTGCACTTCCCGGGAGGGAGGAGGCCACAGGCTGCCTCTGTGGGGGCTGAGGGAGGGAGGGGCCCATGTGCTAGATGGGGCCCAGTTAGAGGGTCACTGCTGGGCAGGCAGAGGCCGTACCCTCCCTCCAGCCAGGGAGGACAGGAGACAGGGGGAGGTGGGGCCAGAGGGCAGAGAGGGCGGGAGTGTGGCTGGTGGGGGTCAGGCCTCCTCCCTGCTTCGAGGCACCCAGGACCTTCTCTCCTGCGCCCCACCTCCTTCCTGGCGTCCTGGTCTCGGGGAGGCAGTGGTTTGCAGTTACAGCTGTTCCCTTTCGTCGGGAGCCCCTTCCCCAGCAGATTGGCGCCGCCCCAGGCTGTACGGAGGCTGGGAGGGCAGGAAATGGGGCATTGGGGCCACACAGTTACCGCCCCAAGCAAAGCCGGGTTCTGAGCAAAGAGGGAAGAGAGACATGGCCAGGCCCTTCTCCCCACGGCCCCTGCTGCTGTGCATGGGCCTCAGAGCCTTCGAGCTCACGGAACGAACTTGCCACTGAAGACCCCTGCCCCTGCCACAGTGTTGGTGCAGCCTGGGCAGTGGCTGGGGGACTGAGTCTGGCACCTGTGCCCCAGGATCCTGAGAGTGGAGCCGCTCTTCCTCCTGAGTGTGGGGGCCTCCAGCAGCTGGTTCTGGGGCTCTGAACCTCATGGCTTCAGCCCCGCTTCACCCACATCCGATGTGAGCCGTCCCTGACCCTTCCGCCATGAGCGGTGAGCATTTTCACATGCTTCCTCAGCCTCTGTTGAGATAAATGTACACATTTTCCCTTTGGCTTCACTAACATGATGACTTCCATGATAGGTTTCCTTCCTCCCTCCCTCCCTCCCTCCCTTCTTCCTTCCTTCCTCCCTCCCTTCTTCCTTCTTTCCTTCCTTTTCTTCCTTCCTTTCTTCTTCTTTCTCTCTCTCTTTTTCTCTCTTTTTTCTTTTTTCTTCTTCTTTCTTTCTTCTTTCTCTCTCTCTCTCTCTTTCTTTCTTTTCTTCATTTTTTTTCTTTCTTTCTGAGACAGGGTCTCACTCTGCCACCCAGCCTGGAGTGCAGTGGCGCGATCTTGGCTTACCACAACCTCTGCCTCCCAGGCTCAAGTGATTCTTCTGCCTCATCCTCCCGAGTAGCTGGGATTACAGGTGCCTGCCACCACGCCCGGCTAATTTTTGTATTTTTAGTAGAGATGGGGTTTCACCACGTTGCCCAGGCTGGTCTTGAACTCCTGACTTCAAATGATCCGCCCAACTCGGCCACCCAAAGTGCTGGGATTACAGGCGTGAGTCACTGCGCCCGGCACATGATAGGTTTTCTAACTCAGGTTGGCCTTGTATTCCTCGAGTGGACGGTATTGAGCTGAAGTGTGAGCTGGGGTCTTCCCTTTGCCCCTCCCACTTGTGCCCTGCTTGTTCCCGTCGTGCTCTGCCGCGGGAGGCTGGCCTCTCTGGTCTGCAATGGGCTGTGCACTCTCTTGTTTCTTGTTGGGCTATTGGGAGATCAGAGGCAGGGGAGAGAGACTGGGCATGTATTTTCCTGGCTCCCTTTCTTTGGGGTCAGTCACCTCAGTGTTTCAGGTGGAATTATGTCCTTCTAGAATTCATATGATGACTGGGCGCAGTGGCTCACACCTGTCATCCCAGCACTTTGGGAGGCCCAGGTGGGAATTCAAGACCAGCCTGGGCAACAGGATGAAACCCAGTCTCTACAAAAAAATTAGCCGGGCATGGTGGCATGCACCTGTAGTCTCAGCTACTCAGGAGGCTGAAGGGGAAGGATCACCTCCACCAGGAGGTGGAGGTTGCAGTGAGCCATGATCACGCCACTGCACTCCAGCCTGGGTACAGAGCAGGATCCTGTTTTAATAAATTAATTAATTCATATGTTGAAGTCCTAACCCCTAATAGCCCAGCATGTGACTGTATTTGGAGATAGAATGTTTAAAAAGGCAATCAAGTTCAAATTAGGTTATTAGGATGGGCACTAACTCAATATGACTGGTGTCCTAATGAGAAGAGAAAATTTGGACTATCCACCTGAAATAATCAAAAGGATCAGAATCCAGTTTAAAAGAGCATATGCAGGCACGAAGCTGAAAATAGCCACTCAGGACACACAGACTCCAGAGGATTAGAGCCAGTACCCCAAAGCCAAAAAGTGAAGGTCTTGCTTATACAGGCAGAAAATAAACAAATTGAACAGGGTTACAGTGCTTCCCATGCAAGGCTGGTTTATGAGTCACAGCAATTTGATTAATCACAGCTTGTTTTCTTTTCCTTTTCCAATTTGAAAGAGCCTATTGAACGTTCTGTCTTAGACAACGTGGTGGCCAGTGAGGTCTCTGTGTAAGAGAAGTCAGAGGGGAGCAAATCTACAGTGAAGATCAACATGAAGAGGGAAGGGGTCTTCCCTGGTGTCCTGTAGTCTTTTATAACATTTTACAGAACAATGTAGGTAAAGAAAAAGCTAATCTATAATCAGAGGAACAAAGGTTACAGCTGCCTAAGCTACAGCTGACCGTCATACGCAACTCAGGTCCTATAATCATGTTCCTTGAAGATGCAAAATAATTTAAAGTTCCAACAACTTTGGTTTTGAATGGCTTCTTTTTACAGGACGCAGACATGTACAGTAGGAGGGCGATGGGAGACACCTGGAGAGAAGATGGCCGTCCACAAACCAGGGCCAGAGGCCTAGAGCAGGTGCCCCCTGCTGGACTCCAAGGGAGCCAAGCCTGCTGCCCCCTGGGTTTTGGACTTCTGGCTTCCAGAACTGCAAGGTGATAAGCTTCTCTTGTCGAAGGCACCCAATCTGTGGCAGTTTATTATGGTCCCCGTAGCAAACAAATACCCTCAGGTTGGCTGCATCCTGGGACTGAAGGTCAGCGCTGCTCTCAAGATGTAAAAGACTTTCTCCTTCTGAGGCTCCGGGGTCCACTCCTGCCATTGCCAGCATTCTAGAACTGGTGTGGCCCCTCCACCTTAACCAGCCCTGGGCTCTGGAGTTTCTGACTGTGATTGTCCACATTTTGACCACAACTTTGTATATAAAAACCCTCCTTGAACTGTTCCACTGTGTGTGCCCGCCTATTGGGACCCTGACTGATACATGCTGTATTGGTTTTTAAAAACTTTTTAAAATTTATATTTTATTTAGGATTTTGCATGTATGTTTATGAGATTGGCCTATAATTTTCCTTTCCTATATTCTCTGAATGACTGTTATCAAGGCTATCCCAGCCTCATAAAATAAGTTCTTCTTTTATCAAAATTCACTGGAAAATTCTGTATATAGTTGGAAGGATCTATCCTTTGAAAGTTAAATGGAATTCACCCATAAAATTACCTGTCTTGGTGTTTTCTTTACAGGATTGTATTTAACTACTGATTCAATGTCTTTAATAGTTATGGGACTAGTTTTATTTCTTCTTGAGTCAGTTACAGGAAGTTATGCTTTTATAAATTTATCTGTCACCCAGGTGTGGTGGCTTATGCCTGTAATGCCAGCACTTTGGGAGGCCGAGGCGGGTGGATCACAAGGTTAGGAGTTTGAGACCAGCCTGGCCAACATGGTGAAACCCCATCTCTACTAAAAATACAAAAATTAGCTGGGTGTGGTGGCAGGTGTCTGTAATCCCAGCTACTCAGGAGGCTGAGGCAAGAGAATTGCTTGAACCTGGGAGGTGGAGATTGCAGTGGGCTGAGATCCTGTCACTGCATTCCAGGCTGGGTGACAAAGCAAGACTCTGTCTCACAGAAAAAAAAAATTCATCTGTCTAATTTTTTATATTCATTGACACAAAGTTGTTCCTGGTTGTGATGGTTAATATGAAGTGTCAACTTGACTGGGTCGAAGGATATAAATTATTGTTTCTGAGTGTATCTGGGTGTTTCTGGGTGTTGCCAGAAGAGATTAACAATTGAGTCAGTGGACTGGGGAGAGGAAGACCCACTCTCGGGAAGTTCCACTGTGATGTTTAATACTGAGTGTCAACTTGATTGGATTGAAGCATACAAAGTATTGATCCTTGGTATGTCTGTTAGAGTGTGGCCAGAAGAGATTAACATTTGAGTCATTTGGCTGGGGAAGGCATATCCACCCTTTATCTGGGTGGGTACCATCTAATCAGCTGCCAGTGTGGCTAGAATATAAGCAGACACAAAAACGAAAAGACTAGACTGGCCTAGCCTCCCAGCCTACATCTTTCTCCTGTGCTGGCTGCTTTCTGCCCTTGTACATTGGACTTCAAGTTCTTCAGTTTTTGGACTCAGACTGGCTTTCTTTGCTCCTCAGCTTGCAGATAGCCTATTGCGGGACCTTGCAATCACGTGAGTTAATACTTCATAAACTCCCCTTTATATATGTCTATCTATCTTATTAGTTCTGTCCCTCTAGAGAGCCCTAATACAGATTTTGGTACCAGGAGTGGTTCTAGAAGAATAGAATATTAAGGATGGACTTCTTTTGTTGGTTTTGGGATTTCTGGAGTTGCCTGCTTAATATGATTAGACCCAAAAATTCTAAGGACTCTACTTCTAATGGCATGGAGAACACCGATAGTCCTTGGCATGAACTATTTAGAGAGCTATGCAAATTAAATGCATTTGACACTCTTGATTCACTGCTCATGAGAGGCAGGGAGTTTAGTGACTCTATACATAATACCTTTGACCACATGTGGAGAACCAAAGAGCTAATGAAGCTGGTTGGTTGCTCCTAAAGTTCGGTGGACAAAGTGATGAAAGAAAATGATGAACTCAGGGATTCTAACTCTCAGCTTCAGAAGCAGATACTGAGCCTCAAATCTTCTAAGATTGCCCTCATTGAGAGTCTTATCTCCTTTAGAGAAAGAGCTGAAATCGTGGAAAAACAGACACAAGCTCTTACCATGCGAGTGACTGACCTGCAATGAAAGGTACGTGCACAGCCTCGCCAGGTGTCTACTGTTAAAGTGAGGGCACTGATTGGAAAAGAATAGGACCCTGCAACTTGGAATGGGGATGTGTGGGAGGACCCTGATGAAGCTGGGGACACTGAGTTTGTAAACTCTGATGAACATTTTTCACCAGAAGGAAGAGCTTCCCCATCCCCAGTAGTGGCAACATTCCCTCCCTAACCCATGCTGCCATCAGCCTTTCCACCTTTGTCTGAGGAGATAAATCCTGCACTGCCTGAGGCAACAGTGATGGCCTCCCATGAGGCAGTTGCCAGACAAGATAATGTTGATTCTCCTGAGGAGCCAACCCTAACACCCCTGTTTGTTTCTCAACCTATAACTAGACTAAAGTCCCAGTGGGCGCCTAGAGGTGAGGTTGAGAGTGTGACCCATAAGGAGGTGTGCTACACTTGAAAATAAGCATTTGAATTCTCTAATTGATATAAACAGAAATCTGGAGAACAGGCATGGGAATGGATATTAAGGGTGTGGGATAATGGTGGAAGGAACATAGAGTTGGATCGGGCTGGATTTATTGATTTGGGCCCACTAAGCAGGGACTCTGCATTTAATGTCACAGCTCAGGAGTTCAAAAAGGTTCTAATAGTTTATTTGCTTGGTTGGCTGAAATATGGATTAAAAGATGGCCCACTGTGAGCAAGTTGGAAATGCCTGATCTCCCTTGGCTTAATGTAGAGGAAGGGATCCAAAGGCTTAGGGAGATTGAGGTGGTGGAGTGGATTAGTCACTTTAGACCTACTCATCCCAGCTGGGAGGGTCCAGAAGATATACCCTTGACCAATGCCTTGCGAAATAGATTTTTGAGGGCAGCACCTGCGTCTTTGAAGGGCCCTGTAATTGCTCTTCTCTGTATGTCAGATCTAACAGTGGGAACCACAGTCACTCAACTACAAAATTTAAATATGATTTAATGGGATGATGGGAATAACTGGATCCTGAGGTGGCAGGGGCCAAGTGGCGGCACTCAACCATCAAAGGCAAGGTGGGCACAGCTACCATAATGGACAGCAGAGGCAAAGTGGCAATCAGAATAGTCTGACTTGTGTAGAGCTCTGGCATTGGCTAATTAATCACAGTGTTCCTAAAAAGTGAAATTGACAGGAAGCCTACTGCAATCCTGCTTAATTTATATAAGCAGAAAACTTCTAGGGCGAATGGACAAAAGACTAATATGAATTATAAAAACAGAGAATCACAGCCCCTCAATCAATTTCCAGACTTGAGACAGTTTACAGACCCAGAACCCCTTGAATGAAGGGGAGGCTGGGTCCCCTTGAGGAAGGACTCCACTACACTACTGACAATTTATGCTGTTAATCTTTCTTTCTTTCTTTTTTTTTTTTTTTGAGACAGAGTCTTGCTCTGTCACCTAGGCTGGAGTGCAGTGGTGCAATCTCGGCTCACTGCAAGCTCCGCCTCCCGGGTTCACGCCATTCTCCTGCCTCAACCTCCCAAGTAGCTGGGATTACAGGCGCCTGCCACCACACCCAGCTAATTTTTTCTATTTTTAGTAGAGATGGGGTTTCACCTTGTTAGTCTGGATGGTCTCGATCTCCTGACCTCATGATCCACCCACCTCGGCCTCCCAAAGTGCTGGGATTACAGGCGTGAGCCACCGCACCCGGCCTATGCTGTTAATCTTTCTCCCATCCTTCCCCAAGGAGACCTCCAGCCTTATACCAGGGTAACTATGTTGGGGAAAGGGAAATGATCAGACATTTTGGGGACTACTGGACACTGGCTCTAAGATGACATTGATTCCAGGAGACCCAAAACGTCATTGTGGTCCTCCAGTTAAAGTAGGCGCTTATGGAGGTCAGGTAATTAATGGAGTTTTAGCTCAGGTCTGACTTTCAGTGGGTCCAGTGGGTCCCCGGGCTCATCCTGTGGTCATTTCCCCAGTGCCAGAATGCGTAATTGGTATAGACATACTTAGCAGCAGGCAGAACCCCCACATTAGCTCCCTGACAGGTAGAGTGAGGGTTATTATGGTGGGGAAGGCCAAATGGAAGCCATTAGAGCTGCCTCTACCTACAAAAAGAGTAAATCAAAAACAATATCACATCCCTGGAGGGTCTGCAGAGATTAGTGCCACCATCAAGGACTTGAAAGACGCAGGGGTGGTGATTCCCACCACATCCCCACTCAACTCTCCCATTTGGCCTGTGCAGAAGACAGATGGATCTTGGGGAATGACAGTGGATTACCGTAAGCTTAAGCAAGTGGTCACTCCAGTTGCAGCTGCTGTACCAGATGTGGTTTCATTGCTTGAGCAAATTAACACATCTCCTGGTACCTGGTATGCAGCCATTGTCTTGGCAAATGCCTTTTTCTCCATTCCTGTCCATAAGGCCCACCAGAAGCAATTTGCCTTCAGCTGGCAAAGGCAGCAATATACCTTTACTGTCCTCCCTCAGGGGTATATCAACTCTCCGGCTTTGTGTCATAATCTTATTCGGAGAGACCTTGATCGCTTTTCGCTTCTGCAAGATATCACACTGGTTCATTACATTGATGACATTACAGTGACTGGATTCAGTGAGCAAGAAGTAGCAAACACACTGGACTTATTGGTGAGACGTTTGTGTGCCAGAGGATGGGAAATAAATCCGACTAAAATTCAGGGACCTTCTACATCAACAACATTTCTAGGGGTCCAGTGGTTTGGGGCCTGTCGAGATATTCCTAAGGTGAAGGATAAGTTGCTGCATTTGGACCCTCTTACAACCAAGAAAGAGGCACAATGCTTAGTGGGCCTATATGGATTTTGGAGGTAACACAGTCCTCATTTGGGTGTGTTACTCTGGTACATTTACCGAGTGACCTGAAAGGCTGCCAGCTTTGGGTGGGGTCCAGAACAGGAGAAGGCTCTGCAACAGGTCCAGGCTGCTGTGCAAGCTGCTCTGCCACTTGGGCCATATGACCCAAGAGATCCAATGGTGCTTGAGGTGTCAGTGGCACATAGGGATGCTGTTTGGAGTCTCTGGCAGGCCCCCATAGGTGAATCACAGCACAGACCTCTCAGATTTTGGGGCAAGGCCCTGCCATCTTCCGCAGATAACTACTCTCCTTTTGAAAGACAGCTCTTGGCCTGTTACTGGGCTTTGGTGGAAACTGAACATTTGACTATGGGTCATCAAGTCACCATGCAACCTGAACTGCCCGTCATGAACGGGTGCTTTCCAACCCGTCTAGCCATAAAGTGGGTCATGCACAGCAGCATTCCGTCATCAAAGAGAAGTGGTATATATGTGACTGGGCTCAAGCAGATCCTGAAGGCACAAGTAAGTTTTACATGAGGAAGTGGCTCAAATGCCCATGGTCTCCACTCCTGCCACCCTGCCTCCTCTCCCCCAGCCTGCACCAATGGCCTCATGGGGAGTTCCCTGTGATCATTTGCCGCGGTTTGCCATGGTTACTACGGGACTGAACGAAGGAGGATGAATGTAGAAATGAAAACAAAAAACAAGAAACTATTTTAAAGGAAGAGCACGGGGAAGAAGAGGGCTCCCAGTTTCTAGTGAGCAAGGGCAGCCACCCTGAGCTTCTATAGCCCTTCATGTTGGGTAGAAAGATCAGGGAGCAGGAGGTAATGATTGGTCAGCTCCTTAATTGATCTCAGGTTCACATTATTGCTAACAGGCTTCATAGTTACCTAATCACAAGAAACACTTGTGCGTGGGTCGTGACTGCTCTCAGCAGTCCTTCTGGGCAGCATATGTGGTTTGTCAGTTCACCAACAACCTGCTTTTATGAGAACAGTTTGCTGTTTACTCGTATAGCCTCTGGTGGTATACTGAGTTGATCGTGACCCTCACTCTTTCGGCCTGCAACAATCATTTGACAGAGGAAGAGAAGACTAGGACCTGGCTCACAGATGCTTCTGCACGATATGCAGGCACCACCCGAAAGTGGTCAGCTGCGGCACTACAGCCCCTTTTTAGGACATGCCTGAAGGACAGCAGTGAAGGGAAGTCTTCCCAGTGGGCAGAACTTGGAGCGGTGCACCTGGTTGTGCACTTTGCATGGGAGGAGAAATGGCCAGGTGTGTGATTATGTACTGATTCATGGGCTGTAGACAATGGTTTGGCTGGATGGTCAGGGACTTGGAAGAAGCATGATTGGAAAATTGGTGACAAAGACATTTGGGGAAGAGGTATGTGGATGGACCTCTCCGAGTGGTCAAAAACGGAAGATATTTGTGTCCCCTGTGAGTGCTCACCAATGGGTGAACTCAGCAGAGGAGGATTTTAATAATCAAGTGGGTAGGATGACCTGTTCTGTGGACACCACTCAGCTTCTTTCCCCAGCCACCCCTGTCATCGCCCAGTGGGCCCATGAACAAAGTGGCCATGGTGGCAGGGATGGAGATTACACATGGAGATTCAGCAACGTAGCCCTCCACTAGCCAAGGCTGGCCTGTCTACAGCCACTGCTGAGTGCCCAATTTGGCAGCAGCAGAGACTAACACTGAGCCTCAATATGGCACCATTCCTCAGGGTGATCAGCCAGCTCCCCGGTGGCAGGTTGATTATATTGGACCTCTTCCATCCTGGAAAGGGCAGAGGTTTGTCCTCACCGGAATAGACACTTACTCCTGATGTGGGTTTGCCTATCTTGCACGCAGTGCTTCTGCCAAGACTGCCATCCATGGACTCACGGAATGCCTCATCCACCATCAGGGTGTTCCACACAGCATTGCCTCTGAGCAAGGCACTCACTTTACAGCTAAAGAAGTGTGGCAGTGGGCTCATGCTCATGGAATTCACTGATCTTACCACGTTCCCCATCATCCTGAAGCAGCTGGATTGGTAGAACGGTGGAATGGCCTTCTGAAGTCACAATTACAACACCAACTAGGTGACAATACTTTGCAGGGCTGGGACCAAGTTCTCCAGAAGGCCATGTATGCTCTGAATCAGCATCCAAGATATGATATTGTTTCTCCCTTAGCCAGGATGCACGGGTCCAGGAATCAAGGCACTCAAGTGGAAGTGGCACCACTCGCCATCACCCCTAGTGATCCACTAGCAAAATGTTTGCTTCCTGTTCCCACGACATTATGTTCTGCTGGCCTAGAGGTCTTAGTTCCAGAGGGAGGAACGCTGCCACCAGGAGACACAACTGTTCCATTAAGCTAGAAGTTAAGATTGCCACCTGGACACTCTGGGCTCCTCCTACCTTTAAGTCAACAGGCTAAGAAGGAGTTACAGTGTTGGCTGGAGTGATTGACCCAGACTCTCGAGATGAAATCAGTCTACAGCTCCACAAAGGAGGTAAGTAAGAGTATGCATAGAATTACAAAAGATCCATTAGGGCGTCTATTAATATTACCATGCCCTGTGATTAAGGTCAATGGGAAACTACAACAGCCCAATCCAGGCAGGACTACAAATCCCCCAGACACTTCAGGAATGAAGGTTTGGGTCACTCCACCAGGAAAAAAAAAAACATGAACTGCTGAGGTGCTTGCTGAAGGCAAAGGGAAATGGTGAAGGTGAAGGAGGAGCAAAGGCACCTCTTACATGGCGGCAGGCAAAGAGCATGTGCAGGGAACTGCCCTTCATAAAACCATGAGATCTCATGAGACTTATTCACTCTCATGAGAACAGCACAGGAAAACCCCACCCCCATGATTAAATTTCCTCCCACTTGGTCCCTCCCACAACACATGAGGATTACGGGAGCTAATATTATTAATACAATTCAAGATGAGATTTGGGTGGGGACACAGTCGAACTGTATCAGGCATCCTATGGGCAGGCCAGAAGTGTTGGTTACCCCTTCCACCCATGCCTTACTGGCCAGAACTCACTCATACAGCCTTACCTGATGGGGGCGGGGTGGTGGTACTGGGAAATGTGGATGCACAAACGGGTGTGACCACAGGGTACAGTGCTTGCCACACTCAGCTGACGTGTTTCTCTCCCACACACCAGGCCACTTGGAGATGCAAGACAAAGCAGCCCACCCCTGGTCCCCATCATCCCCTTGGAATCACCTTGGAAAACCCTGGATCATTTTGAAAGATGCTCATGGACGCCATCTCATTGGGGCTCATCACAGTATCAAGGTAGAAGAGGAAGCTGAGACCAGTAAGATCACATGGTGGCTGAAGGTGGTGTGGCTAGTCAGGGACAGGTCCCTTGGCCACAGAGCCACTGGCGGGTGGCAATGTGCCACGACCATGGGGTCTGGCAGAGATGGCAGTGTCCCTGGCCACAGTGTCCAGCAGCAGCATGGCAGCCGCAGCAGGGCTCTGTGGTCAGACAGGGGTGCTGCTGTGACCTGAGACTGTGGGCTCCTTTGAAGGTGGTGACCCTGCCCCTCGTGTGGAGCCCAGCTGTGCTGTGGGGCTGAGCTGTGGTGTCCTCCTCTTTCAGGATGTGGCTCTGTTTTCACTGCCTACCAGCTCTCCAGCCTTCCCCTTGGTTCTTGGAGACCTGATTTGCTTCCAATCAACCCCTTCCTACTCAGTGGCCAGCCTATTTCTCCATTTGCAACCAGCAACCCTGGCTATAACTTCTGGGGAAACTTCTGGCTATAACTTCTGAGGCACGGAGCGGGGCAGGAGCTTGCCCAGGGTCACAGCGCTCTCGGCCAGTCTGGGAGTGGCAGCCAGGCCACCTCCTCCTCCTGCAGGAAGCTTCCTCCACCTTTCAGCAGCCCTGGAGCCGCATGGAGCAGGGAAGGGAGTTGTCTACCCTCCGGCATCCTGTGTGTTCCAGGCTGTGTGGGAGCAGGTGCAGCTGCCAGGCATGGCAGGAGCCTGGGCCCGGGCCAGCACTCAGGAATGCAGCAGGGCCCTGCCTCTCCCTGTAGGGATAAGCAAGTGCCAGGCGCCCAGGGCAGCGGATGTGTCTGTGGCTACAGCCCCAACGGCCCCCGCCTCCGCACCGGCTGTCCTGGGCCAGCCCCTTGGGGGCCTGGGATGTGTGGGGAGCATGAATGGGGCTCTGTGACCCAGCAACTGTTCTGCGGAAGGCGGCTGGTGGCTGCACAGGTGACTGCGGGGGTGGGTGGGGGATGCAAAATTCTGCTTCCTGGGCCTGGTGTCCCCCGCCTTGCATGAGGCCCTGACAAGACATCACCGAAGCACCAAAGCCAACCCTTGTGGCCCACCGGAGACCTGTCTCTTGGATCACAGGGGCAGTGGGGAGGGGCGCCCAGGGCTCCCGATGCCTCTGAGCCCTGCTCTGAGGTCAGCCGATGTGGCTCAGTCCTGGCTGTGAGGCCTCACGCTGCCCTGATTCCATTTGCTCCTCAGTGCGAGGCAGACAGAGCCCAGCCTAGGGTCTGGATGGGATGAAATGAAGACGTCTCCTCCCTAACGGGACACTGTCTACCCCTTCCTTCTTCTCCCCCGAGAACCGTCAGCCCCGTGAGGATGGGGTCTAGGGTAGGGCATGTGGACGGAGCTTTGCTGTTTGTCCAGGTGCTTATCTTCTAGGGTGCCATCGCCCCTCCCCACTGCTGTTCCCGTATCTGCTGGGTGTCCCCAACCCCAGGGTGGTGGAGGCCGTCTCTCGGATGGGGCTGACACCCAAGGCACGGACCTGCCAGGTCCCCCAAAGCACATGGCCTCTCTGCAGAAGAACCTGGATGTGACATCTAATGCCCAGGCCAGAGCTTGGGGACAGCTGGACTGGAGCCACAGGGTCAAGGAGGGGGAGTCCAGAAGCGCAAAGTCCACCCAGCTGGGAGGGCTGCTGGCAGGTCCTTTACAAAGCAGGCAGCTCCTCTGCCCATCGGAGCCGGCTGGCCTAACCAGGGCCTGCTCTTGCCTGGGATGGGGGCAGAAGAGGTGGAGACCTGGGGCCCTGAGGCGGCACTGTGGGTCCTGGACCCGCCCACCTGCACTGGGGTCCCTGCAGGCTTTTAATGGGAACAGAAATGGAGGAAGAGACAGAGGCTGCCAGGGGCTCCCCGACCCCTACTGCCTGCCTGGGGAGGGGTCACCTCAGTGTGGGGGAAGCCTGGGGATGTGAGAGCATCCTAGGCCTGGGCTGCCTGTGGCCAGTCTGTTGTCCGGGTGTCTAGTGACCCCTGGGGTAGGGGCAGATGCCAGTCTGGGAAGCCGGATTGTTTGAAGACCAACTTTAAAGTTGGGAGCAGTGCCCAGAGCGGGGCCGATGTCTGCTAGGTGGTTGTCTCTGCTTTTTGAAAAAGAAGTCCCCGCCCGACCCCCGCCCCGCCAGGCGCTGGTCTGAGCGTCTGAGCCCAGATGGTGCGCTTGCTCCAGAGGGCGGGCGGCTCCAGTGGCCGCCGCGGGACGGTGGGGCCAGAGGGGCCCGTGGGGGTGGGGGAGCCGCCCGCAGGAGAAGGAGCCCCGCCCGCGCCGGCCCTGGAGTCGCCGGTGTCGCCGCCCTGCCCGCGGGCCCGCCCTCCTGGCCCAGCCCAGGGCCCTGCGAGCTATTTTGAAAGTGACCCTGGGCTGGGGCGCCGGGGCGAGCGCGGCGGCGCGGAACCATGACAGAAGATGACCGAGGCGGCGCTGGTGGAGGGCCAGGTCAAGCTGCGGGACGGCAAGAAGGTCGGGGCGCGTCGGGGGCGCGGGGGGGGGGGGCGCGGGCGCGGGCGGCGGCTCACGCTCCCCCCTGTCCCCGCAGTGGAAGAGTAGGTGGCTGGTGCTGCGGAAGCCGTCGCCCGTGGCAGGTGAGCGGGGCGGGCGGGGGACGGGGGGCGCGGGGGTAGCGACACGGGTTACCGAGGCCCGGGGCAGTAATGCCAGCTTGCCCAAAATCGCCGCCGCTGTCACCCCGCCGGGAAACCCGAGAGCCCCGTGCGGACCCGGACCCCCCGGCGCCCCTGGGAGCGCAGGTGGGGGCCCTGGACGGAAGAACCCTCTTTCCAGCAGGGCAGACTGAGGCCCGAGGGGCTGCCTGGTGGCCCTGTAGGCGGAGGGGACGCAGGCCCTGAGCCCCCCAGCAGAGCAGCAAGGGGCCCCCCAGAAGCAAAGCCCCACATACCTGAGGGTTGAGCTGTGCTTGTGGAAACGCTCAGAGCAGGGCCCCCGAACCCAGCCTCCAGGGGTGCTGCGTGGGTTAGCGCTGACCCTGGACCCCTCCCAGGCAGACGAGAGGCTGGGCTGCGGTAGGGCAGGGCAGAGTGACTGCCACATTGCTGGGGGAACAGTCCTCTGGGAGGAGGCAGGGGTCCCCCCCCAGTCCCCGCCCTGAGCCAGCACCCCAGCTTGGGGAGGGTCAGCATGGAGCCCCCAGGTCTGGCAGCCCAGGCCGCCTGCAGCGCTGGGCCTGTAGGGAGGGCTGAGCCGGGCCTGCAGCTGCTCCAGAGGACAGGTGCGGCAGAGCCGGCCAGGCCCGGGTCTGGGTGGGATGCTCGGCCTGTGTGCATGGGGGGCTGTACGCCAGGGGGCTGCCAGAGCACCCTCCAGGACGGGTGTCTGTGACTCCCAGGGAGGGTGTGGGGCAGGGATCCCTCCTGCGTCCCCTCTGCAGGGCCTCAGGTGGTCCTGGAGGAAAGCACTTCCTGCCTGCCTCCGCCTCCCCTTGCAGGGCCTGGACTGCACGCTGGTCACTTCTCCACTCAGCCCTCCGTGCCCAGACCTCCTGCCTGGAGCTGTGGGGGCACCGACAGAGCCTGGGAGGGCGTCTTTGTCCTCCGGGGCTGCAGGGGACCTGGTATAGGAAGGGATGGGGTCTGGGCAGAGTGAGAGGCCCTGCCAGGCTGGGGCGGATGACAGGCTTTAGTCAGCTGTGGCTGGGTCGGGGCCGTGGTGGGGCAGGTGATGCTTGGTGGATGGTGCTGGGCTGGAGCCGGTGCAGACCCTCCAGAGAGGCCGCATCCCAGGAAGGCACCCGGGACAGCAGCCCCCAAAGAGGAGTGTCGGGGGAGAAGTCTTTGTCCCTGTTGGAGGGATTTTCTTTCTGCATCAGACAGTCCCAGGAGGCAGGGCCTGCCAGCCTCAAGAGGGTGTGCTCCCCCGGCCGGTGAGTGCCTGAGTGGAGTGACAGGAGTTTGCAATGGGTCCCCCAGGTGGGACAATCTGTGAGTCTGTAGGTGAACATGGTGGCTCCCGAGCGTCTGCTGGGTTATCCCGTATCCTGCGCAGTTGAGATCTGCAGCCTTCTGGGGCTGGCGTGGGAGGTGATGTGGGGTAGTAGAAGGTGCCATGCCCCCTCTGGGTGGATGTTCATTCCAAGCCTTGAGGCCAGGTGTCCCTAGCACCCACTGACTCACTGGCCTGGGACCCATTGCTTTGGACACCTGCTTTCTGTGTTGGTCACTCCAGCAGCCCAGGGTTGAAACTGACACCCTGTGGGGTTGCCCAGAGGTCGGTCAGATGAGGGGATGGGACAGAGCGGAGTTCTCACGCCCACCTCCCCACCCTGACCAGGCCAGCCTGGCACCTCCTCTCCGCTCAGAGGCCCTGATGCCTCTTCCCCTGGCCCCTCATAAGCCTCCCTAGATGCTGCCCCCTTTGCCTTCACCCAGCTGCCTTCCCGCTCAGCGCTGGAGACCACCTCCCTTGTGGATGGGCCCGGCGTGGAGGGAGCAGGCCCCAGCCCTGGAGGAGCAGACAGCACAGACCCTGCGCTCCTGGTGTGAGGGAGAGAGGAAGGGTCCCGTCTGCTTCCTTGTAAGACAGGCAGGGTTCTTTTTGTTACCAGTGGTGATTTCCTTCTGGGAAGGGCCCCGATGTGCACCTTTTCCACTGGCACCTTTCTCCTCCTTGCGTTTTTCTCAATCGTGAGCACGTCTTTCTGTTATGACAAGGTTTAGCGAATGAAAGGGAAACCCTTTTATCAAAGGGCTGCTCAGCCACAGCGCCTGGCATGGCCAGTGGACGTCGGGCCGTCTGCCTCGGTGTGGGACTGCAGGGT
This sequence comes from Homo sapiens, assembly GCF_000001405.40. Taxonomy (NCBI): domain Eukaryota; kingdom Metazoa; phylum Chordata; class Mammalia; order Primates; family Hominidae; genus Homo; species Homo sapiens. Next base: position 3,465,741 of record NC_000004.12, read on the forward strand.
GCCCTGCAGTGGGACCACGTTCCTCAATGTCTCCACCGCGTCCTCACTGCGGAATGCGTGTCTGCGTCCCCTCTCTGGGCAGGGCCCCGGGGGAGGAGGGTGGTCTGTGTCCAGTTGTGGCCCAGGACTCACTGCTGGTGGCCCTGCATGCCAGCGGCGCCTGGCCCAGCCCCTCTCTTCTTCCTCCCAGGTGCGGGGGCTGGGGGTGGTGAGGAAAGTGTTCTTGACATCCTGTGGAGAGTGTGGCCCCAGGCCAGACACTTGAGGGGGCCTGCTTCCCACAGGGGCTGCCCCTGGGGGCTTCATCCAGCTCAGAAAAGCCACCGGGAGGGCCCGAGTCCTGGAGCTGGCAGGGTCTTGGAGTCACCATGGTGGGGGGAAGCTGAAACTCAGAAACCCGAGGGATCTGGCCCAAGACATGGACTGCTGGGCAGAGCCCAGTTCCCCCCAGCCAGCCCAAACCTTGCCCCCCACAGCTGGCTGGAAGTTCCGCGCCTGCCCCCGGGCTGATGGCTGGGCCCTTGCTTAGTCTCCCCTATCCTTGCTCTCGGTGGGACTGAGCCCGGCCTGCAGGAGGGACCCCACGGAGACGGCGCAGGAGCCGGGAGCCCCCTGGCAGGTGCCCCGTGAGCCCCGGAGCTGCCCCACGGCTAGTGCTGTCCTGGGGCCCTGCCCTCCACAGCGCCTCCGCTAACGAGGGGCTGGGGGTGGACACTGGGTCGGCCCTTCCTGAGCAGAGCCTCCTGGTGGTGGATTTCCTGTGCGTCTGGCTCCTGCCCCAACGGACTGGGGCTGACATCCCAGCTCCGGGCTGAAGACCGGGCGTGGGTGGTGGCCAGTTATCCTCTCCCCATAGAAACATCAAGAACAGGGCGACCTTCCCTCAGCCCCCGCGTCAGGACAGGGAATCAGAGAGCTGGGGTTCAGCTCTCAGCTCCACATGTGGGAGCAGTGACCTGGGACGGCTCATTCCCCGCCTGCGTCCTCGTCTACTCACAGGGCTCTTGAGGGCAATGGAGAGGTGGGCGCGAGGGCCTGGCCCTGGCATCTGGAGCCTCGTCCTGGGCTGCCCTTGGTGATGTCTGTGGTCTGGGGGGCCCACCTGCACCACACCTCCAACACCTGTGCCGGGCAGGGGCACCCTCACGCGTTTCCTTCCCGAACCAGATTGTGAATGGGTCCGGGGCTAGGCACTGGATCTTGGTCTCGTGTGTCCTGGCTGTGGCCTGGCCCGAGGAGGCATCAGCAGGCCGGCCTGGTCGATGGCCGCCCCCCTTGCTCCTGCCCAGCTTCTGGGGGCGGCTCCAGGCTGCTGCACCCCAGCAGGGTCCCCTCAGGCGGCTACCACCTGCGTTGCTAAGGGCACAGCCTCAAGGTCACTGTGACCTCCAAAGGCTGTCCCGCAGCCACTTCTGCGGACTCCCATCGTGTTCAGTGTGGGCGGGGACCCCCCCCACTGCGTCCCCGGCCCACACATGCCCCTGCCTTCCCTGGGCCACCATGCCTGCTTGCTCCATCTTCCCTGCGGCTTCTCCCCCTCCTCCTTCTTCCCTCCCGCCCTCCCCGGCTCTCCGCCCTGGCTGTAAGGCCTTCCGTGTGCTCATGACTCCACAGTTATTTTTACATCTCCAGAAGCCTGCGTCCAACTGCCTGTGTGCATCGCCGCCCGGTGTCTGGTGGGCTTCTCAGCCTCACGTGTCCAGGGAAGACCCCCCCCCCCCACCCCAGACATCCCTCCCCAACCCAAGTCCCAGGGCTCATCCTGGATTCCTCGTTTCCCTGTGGCTGTGGAGGTGAATGCAGGGGGAGCGTGTGTGCACGTGCGTGTGTGTGTGTGAGGATGTACATGTGCACCTGTACACACCGTGGGAGCGTGTGCACGTGTGAGCAAGTGTGAGCATTTGGGTGAGTGTGTAAGAGTGAATGTGTGAGTGTGGGCTTGTGTGGCTGTCTTAGCTCAGGCGGCTCTTAGCGAATGCCACAGCCTGGGCGGCTCAGACGACAGCCAGTCACTGCTCACGGTTCTGGGGGCTGGAGGTCCAAGATCAAGGCAGCCTGGGTGTCTGGTGAGGATCCGCGTCCTGGGTGTCTCGTGAGGACCATGTCCTGCTGCATAGGTGGCGCTTTCTCTGTCCTTATATGGTGTAGGGGGAGGAAGCGCCCTGGGGCCCCCTCATCAGGTACTGGTCCCATTCTTGAGGCTCCACCCTGATGACCTCATCGCATCCCAAAGGCCCCACCACTAACCCATCGCCTTGGGGGTGAAGATTTCAACACTGGAATTTCAGATTCAGACCCCAGCACTGAGTGCATGAGTGCACGCTTCTGTGTGTGCACAAGCATGAGTGCAAGTGCATGACTGTGTCCACGTGTGTGTGCATGTGAATACCTGTGTGTGCAGGTGTGTATGCAAGTGTGTGTGTGCATGTGAATACCTGTGTGTGGGGGTGTGTGTGCACAAGTGTGTGTGTGTGCATGTGAATACCTGTGTGGGGGTGTATGTGTGCAAGTGTGTGTCCGCGTGCATGTGAATACCTGTGGGAGTGTGTGTGCACGTGTGCACATGCGTGTGAATACCTGTGTGTGCGAGTGTGTGTGAGCTCAAATGCTTGTCTGTGTGCGTGTGTCTGTGTGTGCAAGTGTGTGCCGGTGTCTGCATGGGCATGCAGCAGTGTGTGTGCCTGTGTGAATGTACATGTACGAGTGTGTGCCTGTGTGTGCATGTATGTGTGCCTCTGTGTACATGTATGAGTGTGCATGTGCGTGTGTGCGTGTATGAGTGTGTGTGACTGTGAGTGTATGTGTGTGTGCCTGTGTGAGCATGTATGAATGTGTGTGCTTGTCTGAGTGTGCGTGTATTGGTGTGTGCGTGCCTTTGTGTGTGCGTGTGTATATGCCTGTGTGTGTGCATGTATGAGTGTGTGTGCCTGTGTGCATGCCTGTGTGTGCATGTATGTCTGTGTATGTGTGTGTATGTGTGCGTGCCTGTATGTCTGCCTGTGTATGTGTCTGTGTGCGTGTGTGTGTGCATGTATGTGTGCCTGTGATCATGTATGTCTGTGTGTGCCTGTGTGTGTATGCATGGAGTGTGTGTGTGCGTGTATGTGTGTGCGCGTATGAGTGTGCATGCCTGTGTACGAGTGTGCCTGTGTATGTGTGCATGTCTGTGTGTGTATGTGTGTATGAGTGTGCGTGCTTTTGTGCACGTGTGAGTGTGGTGCCTGTATGAGTGTACGTGTGCCTGTGTATGCATGTGTGAGTGTGCGTGTATGAGTGTGTGTGCCTGTGTATGTGTATGAGTGTGCATGTCTGTGTGTGCATTAGTGTGTGTGCCTGAGTGTACATGTGTGTGCCTGTGTGTGCGTGCATGTATGTGTGCACACATTGTGTGTGTGCGTGTATGTGTCTGTGTATGAGTGTGCATGTGTGTGTGTGCGTCTGTGTGAGTGTGCATGTATGAGTGTGTGTGCCTCTGTGTGAGTGTGCGTGTGTGCCTGCTTGTTCCACATGGTCTCTGTGCCTTGGCCTCTCCTGGTGCCTCTTCCTCGTTTGTCTCCTTTCAGCATCACGACCCGGTGCCCTCCACCCAGCCCAGTGCTGCCTGCCAGAGCCCCGGGAACCCTCCAAGTTCTGCAAAAGCCTTCCCTGGCCAGGTTGCAGCCAATGCCCGCAGCCAGAGGGTGGGTGGGCAGGGCTGATGGTGGTTCCTCAGCCGCCAGGCAAGAGACCCCCAGCCGGAGGGTGGGTGAGCAGGGCCGATGGTGCTTCCTCAGCCGCTGGGTGAGAGACTCCCAGGTGCCCAGGCCTCCTGGGAGGGTGTGGCTGGGGCCCTCTGGGCCTGGCGCCCGGGGAGCTGGCCAGTGGCCATCCACTCCTGAGTCCCCCAGACCTGTGTCTACCCGGCACACGTGCTGTGTCCCAGGGAGAGCCGCTGCGTCCTGGGGCTCTGGTGTCCCGGCCTTGACCTGGCTTGGTCTCAGCCCTGGGCCTGGAGCTTCCATCTCTCTGGTACCAGTTCCTGCAGCGCTTTGCCCCCTGGCACTCCCCGAGAGATGCACTTTAAAAACAGGATCGATTTATTGTTGGTGATGAGGAGAGGGCGGCCTGAGCGTGAGGGGGTGGGCGTCAGCTGCCGGAGAAGCTTCTGCCAGGCAGGAGGGACGAGCGGGCCCCCAGCTCTGACCTCTCGGCTTCTGTTCATGTTTGAAAATGAAATCGGTGGTTTGGGTGGTCGTCAGTTTCCTGTGGCCGACAGAAGAAAGCACCACAGCTGGGCCTTCAAACAATGAGAATTCACCCACTGAGTCCTGGGAGTTAGAGCTCTGCAGTCGAGGGGCCCGTAGGGCCACGCTCCCTCCAGGCTTCCCAGAGGGGCTCCTTCCTGCCTCTCCCAGCTCCTGTTAGACACAGGTGTCCCTTGGCTGTGGCCTCAGCGCTCCAGTCCCTGCCTCCGTCCCCATTCAGGTGACCTTCCCTGTGTCTGCGCCTCCTGTTCTCCCCCTTACAAGGACACTTGCTGCTGCGTTCAGACAATCCAGGATCCTGAACTCGATTACATATGCAGAAACCCTGTTCCCAAATAAGGACATACAGGTTCCGGGGTCGGGAGTGGACACGTCTTGCTGGGGGCCACGCTCAGCCCCTGCCTGTAAGTGCTCCTGGATTTTCAGGCGTTCCCAAGGTGCAGGATGTGAGTCTGCATTTGTAGACAGAGTCCAGAAAAGTCAGACAGGCCGAGGGGTGGCGTCCGTGAATCAGAAAGAGGTCTGAGGGTCGAGCGTGGGTTCAGCATGCGCCCCACCACCAGCCTTGCAGGGGTAGAGGTCTAGGGTGGGGCCGGCTGGCTTGTGGAAGGTGTGAGAAGCCGTCGTGGCAAATTCAACTCTTGGCCAGGAGTCGGCTCACTGTGGTCTCTGGGCCAAATCCTGCCGGAACCTGTTTTTGTAAATAAAGTTTTATTGGCTCGCAGCCATTCCCACACGTGTCATCTGTGGCTGCTTTCCAGCTAAGTATGGTAAAGGAGACTTTAAGCTCAATCAAGCCAAAAGGGTGACGTCGGGCTCTTTACAGGCAAGCTCCTGACCCCAGTCCTGACTGTATTATTGGGAATGTAACTTGTTGAACAAAGGAGGTGCTGGTTGGGGGCAATGGAAGGAACTGGTTGTTATCAGGTGCCGGAGCTGTCTGCCAGGGTGTGGCCAAGGTGCCACCACCACAGAGCAGAGCCACAGGGGAGGAAAGGTCCCTGCCTGACTTCTGGGTGATCAGCCCACCAAGGCTCCGAGGAAGCTGAGGCCCTCGAGGTGGAAGGTGGTGGATGGTTGGCCAGTGTGTGCCCCTTGCTGAGCACTGAGGGTGAGCCATGGGTCACCTGGTCCCTCTGTGCATGGGCAGCCAGATTGCAGGGAAGACGCTCTGGCCTTATAGCTGGTAACGCAGACAGATGTGTACCTGAATATGCAAGCATGTATTGAGTGCTTACTGCACACAGGGCCTCCACACCTTCCTGCAGATGGTCCTTACGGCATTGCTGCAGGTGGGGGTGCCACTGTCCCCAGGTCACAGATGAGGAAACTGAGGCCAAGATCCCAAGGCCATACAGCTGGGAGGTCAGAGCAGGGATTCCCAGGGGCCTTGCCCCTTAGGGGAAGGGAGTGAAGGGGTGGTCTGTATGGTGCGTGATTATCCTCAGTGGAAGTTTCAACATGGGTGTGGCTCAGCTTTTTAGGGTCCCCCAAGGCAGAGGTGGCCCGGGCCCCTGCAGCGATCTCACAACACACTTCAACTGCAGACGGTGGAGACTGCGGGCTGTCCTCCGGCTCAAGCGGCCCTGGGGCCCCCGTCCTGCGCGGAGCCACCCGTGTTCATGCTGTTCCCACACACCGTCATTTCTTGGGTGCTCTGGTGACGCATTTGAGGGACATTGCTGTTACGGCGAATTCCGATTACGCCGCTGTGTTTGATTTCTCTCTTGGGGCCGGGCGTCCTGCTTCCTGCCTTGGAGTTTCCAGAGGGGGCCAGGAGATTGTCTGGAAAGCCTCAGCTGGGCAGGCGGAGTTCTGTAGGTGCGGGAATGAGGGGGCTTCTTTCTCAAATTGGGAATGCCTAGCTTTTTTCTAGCTGTAAACGTTTCAGACGCTGCGGACAGATCCTCCAATGGGAAGTGAACGCACTGTCGCCGCGCCCACACCACGCCTTGCTTTTGTGAATCAAGCTTCCTGGCATGCAGCTGCGCCCAAGGGTCTACACAGGGTCTGAGGCTGCTTTCACGCAGCAAGGGTGGCGGTGCTGAGTAGTGGCCGCAGAGCCTGTGTGGCCCTGAAAGCTGCATGCTTGCCCTCTGGCCCCTTGCAGAGGAAGCTTGCTGACCGCTGGCCCCTGTGGTCACACAGACCCCCTGGCTCTGCGGGCTGTGGCCATGTGGCCCGGGGAGGTGGGCACGGCTGGGGAGGGAAGCTGAGCACCATGTCTGCTCTGGACTCCATTGCAAAAATGAGTGTCTGCGTCAAATTCATTTGGGATTTTGGTTCTCACGTGGCTTTGCAGGGCCTGTGTGAAGAGTGAGCACCTGCTTTTCAGAGCTTCAGATGACACGTCATTCTGCAATCCTCTTCGGGGACATTCTCCCCAATCCCCTCCTGCATGCTCACAGGGATTTGGGGTGTTTGTATGAGGTCCCAAAACCTACACCCTCGCCGAAGCCGGGTATCCTGGAGCCCAGCTGCCGGGGCCTAGGTGGGAGGAGGCCTGGTCATCAAGCCTGGAGCCATGCCGGGAGGGCCGGGAGTCTTCCTGCGCCGTCCTCTCTGCTCTCTCAGGCAGACCTGCTGCCCCCGCCATTCACAGGAGTGTCCCCGGGCCAGGTGGTTTGCCCAAGGCCACACAGGGACTGTGCTGTGCCAGGTTTGAGCTGCACCTGGTGGAGTAGACAGCACCAGCCGGTTGCCTGTGGTGACAGTGACGTTGGAAAATGGGAAGGTGGGGGTGGAGACGGGGACCCGAGTTGCCCTGGAGGGTCCGGGAGGCAGAACGCAGGCAGGTCCCCAGCAGCCGAGGAAGAGACTAGGGCCTGCTGTGCTGGGCAGTGGCCGGGTGGATGGGGATGGGACCCAAGGCCCATCGACCTCCCCTACCCCCTGGGGCTGAAGCTCAGCCACAACCTGGGAACTAAAGGAACCAGGAGGGGCGGTGGGTCTCGAGGCAGCAGGGAGTGGGCACAGGTGTGGCTGGCAGGGCGGCAGGATAGGAGCGGACTGGCAGAACCAGGGCAGGAGGCCACAGCCACCGGGCAGGCCCCACGCTGGGCCCCCAAGCCCGTGACCACAGATCCTGCAGCCCTCAGTGTGGCCCAGGGGGCTCCAGGGCCTGGGACAGGGCAAATCCGCCAGTGAAGGTCCAGAACCCAGTCATGGGAGCCAGCGTCGGGGGCTGGGCACAGACATGAATATTCTGAGTTCATTTCCGCTCTTGCAGCCTGTGGGTCTTGCAAGGGGAGGGGATCGCCCCATTTTGTATGCCGGGAGTCGAAGCCTTGGCATGGCTGAGTGGCTGGCTTGAGGTCATGACCCCAGCCCGGGTCTCTGCACTGTCACGGCCTCCCCGGGGACGCCAAGGGTGCGGGCAGGCGGTGTTGGCTGGCGTCCCTGACGGCCACGCTCCTTGCAGACTGCCTGCTGATGCTGGTCTACAAGGACAAGTCGGAGCGTATCAAGGGCCTGCGGGAGCGCAGCAGCCTGACGCTAGAGGACATCTGCGGGCTGGAGCCCGGCCTGCCCTACGAGGGCCTGGTCCACACGCTGGCCATTGTCTGCCTGTCCCAGGCCATCATGCTGGGCTTTGACAGCCACGAGGCCATGTGTGCGTGGGATGCCCGGATCCGCTATGCGCTCGGCGAGGGTGAGTGACGGGGGCCGGGGCCGGGCGGGGGCTCCCCGTTCAGGTGTGCCGGGGCCCCTCACCAACGTGGGCTGCAGAGGTGGGAGCGGCTCCAGGGAACCGTGCAGGAAGATGGGACATTCATGGGTGCCTTAGGGTGGACTGAGCTCCAGCCTGGGGGTGCCCACGAGGGTTTGGGAGGGGGAGTCTGCTGGGCTATGGTGTCTTTAGAGCTCCCTAGCCTGACCGTTAGTTACAACTGGAGCCTTTAACCCAAGCTGGTGGCCTTTGGAGGGACGTGGCTTCCCAAAGCCCTGCCCTTTGCTTCCTACACTGGACAGTGGAGCCCAGAGCCTGGCTAGGAAGGAGAGCCCCAGGCTGGGCGGTCCCACCCCAGCTTCCCCCCAAAACAGGATGGGAGGGAGGGAGGGAATAGAGGGAGGGGAGAGGGAGGGGAAGGGAGTGCTCCCCTGTGGAACTGGCCCTGGAAGAGGTGGAACGTCAGTCCCAGCCCTGCAGGGGCTTCGAATGGGTGCCTGGGGGCCTCTGGGGGCTGAGCTGCCCTGGGGCTGTGAGCAGAGGTGGGTGGTGATGGGGCCCTGGGCACTCAGCGGCAGAGCAAGCATAATCCTGCATCTCCTAAGAAACCAAAATCAGTGCCAAAACCCCATAATGAGCAAAACAGTAGAATGTCCACTGAGTTGAGTCCTGGTCCTACCCTGGCACCCACCCAATAATCCCAGCAGCCACAGCTGCCCTCCCTTTAAAAACTTGCTATTTTAGGCTGGGCACGGTGGCTCATACCTGTAATTCCAGTACTTCGGGAGGCTGAGGTGGGTGGATCACCTGAGCCCAGGAGATAGAGACCAGACCACCCTGGGCAACGTGGCGAAACCTCGTCTCTACTAAAAATACAAAAATGATGGCCAGGTGCAGTGGCTCATGCCTGTAAACCTTGTGCTTTGGGAGGCCAAGGCGGGCAGATCACCTGAGGTCAGGACTTCGAGACCAGCCTGGCCAACATAGCGAAGCCCCATCTCTACTAAAAATGGAAAAATTAGCCTGGTGTGGTGGTGGGCACATGTAATCCCAGCTACTCAGGAGGCTGAGACAGGAGAATCGCTTGAACCTGGGAGGCAGAGGTTGCAATGAGCTGAGATCGCGCCATTGCACTCCAGCCTGGGCAACAGAGTAGGACTCCATCTCAAAAAAAAAAGAGCTGGGAGGTGGAGGTTGCGGTGACCTGAGGTTGTGCCACTGCCCTCTAGCCTGGGCGACAGAGTGAGACCCTGTCTCAAAAAAACAAACACAAAAAAACTTGCTATTTTGATCAGCATGGACTCTGCATAACTTTACTTTTTAAAATATTGATTAAAATATCCTGGCCCTTGATGGCTGAGTTCTTTGGCCTTGGAGGTGAGTGTCCCGCTCCCCCAGTCTTGTCCCCAAGGCAGCAGCCCCTCCTGCTCCATTGAGTGGGGAGAGAGAAGCTGGGGGCTTAGTGGGAGGAGGTGCGGTTGGCTCTGCAGGAGGGCGCAGGGGAAGGAGACATTAGGAGGGAAGAACTGCATCTTTCCAGAAAGTTCTCCCGTTGGGGGTTCCCTCCAGCCTGGCTCAGCGGCATGGGTCTGCTTCCTTCATCCGCTGGCGCAGGGCCATGGCACAGAGGCCGCTGGGCACCGCCCAGGCAGCTTCATCTTGATAGAACGTGGCCTGACAAGGATGCGCCTGAGGCCACAGCTTGGAGCAGGTAGAGGAGGCAGAGAAGGGGGAGGTGGGATGGGAACAGGGGTCCCTTTGGCTCTGGGGGTTGGAGATGGAGCAGGTGGGGCCCCTGGTGGGGAGGCTGCTGTCTGCCTGGTGTGCTGACCTGGGAAGACAGGGGAGGTGGGGACAGCATTCAGGACCACTGTCCTCTCTGAGGCTTTCAGGGGCAGGGGCCTGGGCAGAGCCAGTGCACAGGACCATGGGGGTGCTCAGGGTTTGGGTGAATGGCCACCTGGATGGAGAGAGGGCCGGTGGTGCCCTGAGGTTCCCGTGGCCAGGCTGGGGCCTCGATACAGACTCCAGACTCTCCACACCCGAACTGGAGGCTGGGGGATCCCTGAGCCTCGGTTTCCCCTTCTGTGATGGAGCCACACAGCTGTGGAGAGAGAGCCTTCCTGGAGAGGTGCCGGGGGTGGGAGCCCAGCCAGGGCACTCAGCTGCCCTGTCCTCCCTAGCACCTCCGTGGTGGGAGGGGAGGGAGGTGGAGGTCCGAGGTCAGGCCCCTCTGGGACTTCCTTGCCCCTGAACAAAGATAGTTCCTGGGAGGATGGCAAGGAGAGAAGTGCAGCCCCCAGGCCCCCTCGTGGCTGTGAGGAGTGCCATTTGCTCATCCTGCCGTCGCTGCCTCCCCGGCTGACACCTGGGCGGCTGCCCCCACCTGCCCCAGCCTGGCCCCTGCCCCTGCTGCCTCCTCCCGAGATGCCCTCTCACCCCACCTGTCCACAGTGGCCCCTGTTGCCTCCTCTCATGATGCCCTCTCGCCCCGCCTGACCGTGATGCCCTCTCGCCCCGCCCACCCTCGATGCCCTCTCACCTCACCCGCCCATGATGCCCTCTCGCCCCGCCTGCCCGTGATGCCCTCTCACCCCACCCGCCCGTGATGCCCTCTCACCCCACCCGCCCGTGATGTCCTCTCACCCTGCCCGCCCGTGATGCCCTCTTGCCCCGCCTGCCCGCAGTGCATAGGTTCCATGTGACAGTGGCTCCAGGCACCAAGTTGGAGAGCGGCCCGGCTACCCTGCACCTCTGCAATGATGTCCTCGTCTTGGCCAGGGACATCCCCCCGGCTGTCACGGGGCAGTGGAAGCTGTCTGACCTCCGGCGCTACGGGGCCGTGCCAAGCGGATTCATCTTTGAAGGCGGGACCAGGTGTGGGTACTGTAAGTACGGATGTGTGGGGTCACTGGGCAGCAGCAGCACCCCCCACTTCCCCTGAGAACTGCTGGCTTCGGGCCGGCCGACCCCACTTGCAGGCTGGCCTGCTGGCATTTCCAGAATGCGCCGGCAGGTGGACGGAGTCTCCCCACGCTCGATGTCCAAGGTCCTCTGCCCGCAGGAACCTCAGTGTGGAGTGTCGAGGAGGGGCCTCGGCTACCTCTGCTCTTCCTCACTGGAGGGAGAGAGTTCAGGGATGCGAGGAGGGGCCTGAGGCCACAGAGCCTCAGAGCCGCTCATATCCAGATTTCATGGAAAGGAAAAAACAAAGAACAAACGCATTTAGCAGTGGGGAGTGTGAGCTCCCGCATAAGCACCGCAGAAACATATTCTTGGACCAAGAATTCCTGGTGGACATGCCAGCCACCCCGCCTGTGGGCCGCCCAGAGCTGCCCTAATGTCCCCAGTGAGGTGGCCAGGCCGTGGGTGGGGATGGCCTGAGTCCTCTGGGCCTGTGAAGGCCTGAGAGCTGTCCTCACTCAGCCAGGGGAGTGAGGGAAATCGGAGCAGGAAGGCACCCAGCCCTGCCCAGAGAGTCTGAGGTGCCCGCCGGGGCTGTGCAGGAGCAGGTTGTTCCAGCAACCCCCTCCACTTTCTCCCATGTTGGGTGCAGATGCGCCAGGTTGCCCTGTGGACCTGCAGTCCCCGCGGAGGGTGTGACGCCTCCTCTCTTCTCTCTGGAGGGGCAGCTGCTCATTGGCCGGGCTGAAGGCGGGCAGAGGGACCTCCTGTGGGCCTGGTTTGGGGCTGAGAGGACTGAGGGACTGCACTTGGCTCACACTGGTGGGGGCTCTGGTGGAGCCTGGATGTGTCTGGGTGGAGGAAACGCAGGCAAGGACACGGGCCACACTGGCCGCCTGGGACCTCATCCTGCAAAGGCCAGCTGGGGCACGGGCGCAAGCCCATCTGGGTGCCACGTTCTGCCACCTTCTGCGCTGGGCGCTGGGAGCAAACCCAGTAGGTCTTGTGGCAGGAGCCAGCCCTGTTGGGGCCTTTGAGGAGACGACATCTGACCCTTGAAAGGGGAACAGGGCAGTGAGGCTCAGGCTCCACGGACTGGGGGCGTACACAGCCAGCTGCAGGAGGCACGTGCGGCAGAGCTGGCCCGGAGTCTCGGCCCCTGGGGCTGGCAGGGGCCATAGCCAGAGTCCAAAGGGCCTTGGCCCCTCTGGGATTGGAGAGCCAGTATGGATGGGCAGGGCCGCTGCCTATGCCAGCTGTGAGCTGGTGCGGGGGGTGGGGTGGGGGGTGGTTCCCGGGAGAGCTAGGACACCTGTCGGGGTCCCATCTGCCCCCAGGCCCTCCCTGCGGCAGGCCAGAGGTTCAGTACTGGGGCTTCGGGAGCCACTGGGGAGTGGGTTGGCGGTGGCTGGGCACAGTGGGTGGGCCCAGCGTCCCTGTCCTTTGTCGTGTGGGAAGCCAGAGCTGCAGGCTGTAGTTGTCCTGACACAGGCAGCCTGTCCTGTCTGTTGTGTGCTAGGTTTGGGGGTGCCTGGAGGAGGGGGACCCATACCTTCCTTTCTGTCTGTGGAATTCCTTGGCACGGGCAGGCAGCCGGCCGGGGTGGCGCCGCGTGCTCACCCTCTAAGCCGGGGCACAGCAGGAGGACCCGTTTCCTTGGAGACCTGCTTATTTTGTCTGGGCCATAATGGAATGGGGACACTGGATGTTTTTCCTCTGAGGCCGTGGAGGTTCACATCCCTGCCGAGGTGTGGGTGGCCCCTTTTCCGCTGGTAAACAATCCCACACCTGGGGCTGTGCTTCTCCCCAGGGCGAGGCTACTGTGCCGTTTTCCTGGGCTGCTCAAAAGCTGGGGGCACTCTTGTGGGGCCGTCTGTCTTGCTGCTGCCTCTCCGGGGCAAGCTGTTAGAGCAGCCCCACCCGCAAACCTGCAAACCAGGCTGGCCCCACAGAACCTGAAAACCTGCAAACCGGGCTGGCCCCACAGAACCCACAAACCTGCAGACTGGGCTGGCCCCACAGAACCCGCAAACGGGGGCTGGCCCCACAGAACCCGCCTTTGCAGCTCAGTGCTGAATGTTCTCGTCCCCGGTGGTACCCTGGCCTGAGAGAGGAAGGGCTCTGGGAATTCGGTCACCGACGGCTGCACACCCCGTAGGGTAGGTGGGTTCTGGAGGCCAGGCTGGAAGGCTTGGCCGAGCCACCCATCCCTGTCCCCAGCAGGCCCTGCTGGGCTGTATCCTCCTGGAGACAGGCGTGGCCACCACCCTGGGTGGTTTAGGCTGGGTCTTAGACTCGGCCAAGCGGTGGTGTTCTCAACGCAGCACTGAGTGCAGGCCGTCTGGCTGGAGGGACGGGGAGTCTGCGGCACGTGTGGGCAGCCTGGGGCCTCCTGCGGGAGGGAGCCGGCAACTCGGGTGGTCCAGGGGCAGCGGCATCAGCTTCCTGGGGCTTCTGTAGCAGATGACCCCCAAGAGAGGGCCAAGTGTCCAGAACGGGTTCCTTCTGCAGCCTGGAGGCCAGAAACCCCAAATCAAGGGGTCCTCAGGGTTGGCTTTTTCCAAAAGCTCTTGGGGAGGACCCATGGGAAGGTCCTTCCTGCCCCTTCCAGCCGCTGGTGGCCCCGGCGGCCTCGGCTCGTGGCTGTGCCACTCCAGTCCCTGCGCCTGCTGGCTCCTGCGTGAGCCTCCTCTTCAGTCTCTTGCAGTCTGTGGACTTAGGGCCCACCTGGATGACCCAGGGTGACCCCATCCCGAGACCATCAATTCCATCCGCAGAGGCTCCTGTTCACAGGCCCTGGTATGTGAACACATTTTGTGGGCCACCATTTGGCCGACAACTGGGGCCACTGGGACGGAGAAATATCCAGAATCTGAATCCCAATAAGTCTGTGGGTGTCGTCACATTCAGTCTGGAGGTCACAGCTGGGCTGGAGTCGTGGGAAGGCCCTGGAAGTTCTTGGGTGTAGGAAATCCACATTCCCTCCTTCCCCAGGGACAGGTCCTAGCCTGGCCCCCGATCCCCAGAACCGCCTCACTTGGCCCCGCCACAGCCAGCTCTGCAGAGAGCAGAGAGGGTGACCCTGGCCCAAGGCGATGGCTGCGCCTCACTCATCCTGAGACACTGGGCGTGGCTGTGCATCACGGGGGCCCTGGTGGGGGTCGGGTGGAGACAGGCCTGGCTGGTCTTGGTGCCTGGGGGGCAGAGGTCTCTCTGTGGACAGCTGCCTGTTCAGAATGGGACAGGAGGTGGCTTGGTGACAGCAACCCCCGGGTCCCCAGTGTGGCCCAATTCCCCGTCTCTGTTGGTCACGGGCCTGTAGTGTGGACTCCTGGAGCTTGGCCCGAGCGCACTTGGCACATGGCAGGCGACGGTCTGTGGACAGCTCAGGTCTGCAGGCTCCAGCCTCACACACGGGCAAGTGACTGGGCCCCGCCTTCGGGGATGGACTGTGCGTGGTGGAGAGTGATGCAGAGAGGGCCACTCGCCCTGGGACAGGCTCAGCTTGCAGCACAGACGGTGGTGGGCCCCAGAGAGGGTGAGCCCACCCAGAGCCTAGGAAGGGAGGGCTTTGGAGGCGCAGGGGGACGTTTGAGCTGGGCCTTGAGGGTGAATGGAAGCTTTTGGAGGTGCCCCCTTTTTCCCCCCTTACCTGCTCTCTCCAGCTGGGTCCAGTCCAAGGACCATATCTGCCTCTTTGCCCAGCCTCTGGGGGCCGCCCGGAGCATTTGAAACTCATTTTGACTTTTAAAAATGATTAAGAATGTGGCCAGGCACAGTGGCTCATGTCTGTAATCCCAGCACTTTGGGAGGCGGAGGTGGGAGGATCACCTGAGGTCAGGAGTTCGAGATCAGCCTGGTCAACATGGTGAAACCCCATCTCTACTAAAAATACAAAAATTAGGCAGGTGTGGTAGCAGGTGCCTGTAATCCCAGCTACTCCAGAGGCTGAGGTGGGAAAATCACTTGAACCTGGGAGTTGGAGGTTGCAGTGAGCTGAGATCCCGCCATTGCAGTCCAGCCAAGGCAACAGAGCCAGGCTCTGTCTCAAAAAAAGAAGAGTAAAGAATGAAAACCTGAACTAGGAGGCTCTTGCTACATGAACGCGGCATCTGCCCAGCTCTGGAGAGCCCCCTGCCGGCCACCTTTGGCCACTGCAGCCTGCGGGGGCAGCCTGGACAGAGCTGGCTGGAACCCTGGCCTCTGTCAGGCAGCAGGGAGCGCCTTCAGCAGTTTCTCATTGCCGGGCGCTGGGCCTAGGGATCAGACGGTCCGGCCTCAGAGGCTGCGTGAGACTGAGTGAGGCATTTTCAGTCCTCAGAGGGTGCGAGGGGAGCCAGGAGGGGCACAGACCCCAGGCTGGGGGCACTGCGGGGAAGCTCTCTGGAGGGGCGAGCCTCAGGGGACTTCTGCAGGGTGAATAGGAGTTAGCTCAGCTGTCAGAGGGTAAGGGGTGGAGGGGGGTGAAAAGGGCACTTCAGACATCTTTGAGCACGAATGGGTGTCCCGAAGGGCTGTGTAGGAGCCCTGTTGGGGGGGATAGGAGGCGTGAGGGTGGAGGAGGAGGAGGAGACAGGGCTGGGTTGTAGAGAGCTGGCTAATTGGACCAGTGTTTGTTTGCACCATTGTCTCGGAGCAGCAGGGAGCCATTGAAGGTGCTTGAGCATGGGGAGTGTTTTATATGCTAATGTTGACCCCGGGGTGCAGATGAGCTTGGAGGAAGAGGCTGGCAGGGGCCAGAGAAGGTTCTGATTGAGGTCCAGAAGATGGAGGGCGAGGCTGCCCCAGGCAGCAGCTGCCTGGTTGGGGGATGGGAACCCTGTGGATTGCAGGAATGTTAACAAGGTGGTGATGGACAAGGGGAGGAGGGCCGGCCCGGGAAGGGGGGGCCTTCTAGAGTGGTGCCCCTGGACTGGGGCTGCTTCAGGAGGGCAGAGGAGGGGTGGGAGCCAACACCCACTGCCAGGCTCCAGGCCTTCCTCCACCCGAGACCCACTAGGTGGGGCCACTCCCAAGTGTACAAGAAGCTGCCACCTTGGGGGATGGAGAGGGCTGAGGGTCATGTTATCAAGACTTCTCAGTCCTGCCCATGCCTACCTGGCATGAGCCATCCAGGACACCCTGGTCACCCCGATGTTTGTTCTCTGAGGAGCTGGGATTATGAGCACTTAAGATTCTGACATCAAGGGGCAGCCACGAGGGCACTCAAGAATATTCAGATGGAAACCATCTTAGATCTAATTGGCTCATTAAATGTCTGCGTGGAGGAGCATTTTCTTTCTCAAGCCGGTGAGTCCTGGAGTTAGTGCAACAGCTTTTTCACTGGAGACGTGTTTCTCAGGAAGCAGGTGCGTCTGTAACGTGGGTGAGGTTTGCCTGCCGCTCAGCAACCCCAGCCTCTGTCCAGAGTTGGCGCCGCCCTGAGCCCCGCAGCTCCTGGCCTTCTGCTTGTGTTCTGCTGACTCTGTCCTGCTTCTCTGCGTCTTCCATGCTCTTTCCTCTTACCCTCACGCCTCCTATCCCCCACAACAGGGCTCCTATACAGCCCTTTGGGACACCCGTTTGTGCTCAAAGATGTCTGACGTGCCCTTTTCACCCCCCTCCACCGCTTACCCTCTAACAGCTGAGCTAACTCCTATTTACCCTGCCACACCTAGCGGCTGGCGGCTGTTCCCTGGCTGGCAATTCTGTGGGCCAGGGATCTGGACGGGGCTCAGTGAGGACAGCTCATCTCTGCCCCATGAGGTGCTGCCTGGGGTCCCTCGGGCAGTGGCATTTGGCTATGGTGGGGCCCAAAGGCCCAGGAAAGCACTGTGCCGGCTGTTGGCTGGGTTGCCTCAGTTTCCCTCCAGGAACCTCACCCTCCGATAGGACACCTTGGGCTTCTCAATAGGTTCCAAGAGAGCAGAAGCTGCCAGGCCTCTGACGGTCTTGGGGCAGGGCTGGGAGAGCATCCCTCATGCCACTTTATGCCAGAGCCATCACTGGCTGGCTTCGATTCCAGGGAGGGAGTGGACCAGCCTCTGGAGAAGGAGCGGCCTCTGAGGGCAGGGATAGGGGAAACAGAGTGGCCGGCTTTGCTGCAGTCACACCTGTGTGATATAGCAAAATGGGGCAGGCCCTGTTCTCCCCCCTTTCCCCAAACACACAGGCAAACAGGAAACATGCGCACCCTGTCTTGGGGAAGGGGCAGGGGGGCGGTCAGCAGCCTCTCACCTATGTCTTTCCACCCAAGGCCGAGCACTGGGGGTCTCCTGGTTATGGGCGCTTGGGTGGACACTGAGACCACAGACGGCTTGTGCTCCCTGCCGGCAAGGTGCTCAGCCTGGCAGCCGGGACGGCAGCAGGTGGGGCTGAACCCCAGAGGAGGCGTCCGTGAGAGCACCACAGAGGGGCTGTCGGGGTCAGGGGACTGAAGGGGGCCAGAGGCCAAGAAAAGCATCATGAAAGGTGTCGTTATGTGGCCTGAGTCTGGAAAGGTCTGGGGTGTTCTAGGTGGCCAGGGGTGTGGAGGGTGGGGGTGGCAGCCTCCTGAGTGGAGATGTAGGGGTGTGGAGGGTGGGGACGGCAGCCTCCTGAGTGGAGATGTAGGGGTGTGGAGGGTGGGGACGGCAGCCTCCTGAGTGGAGATGTAGGGGTGTGGAGGGTGGGGACGGCAGCCTCCTGAGTGGAGATGTAGGGGTGTGGAGGGTGGGGACGGCAGCCTCCTGAGTGGAGATGGCAGGCAGACCTGGTGTGCAGAGGGAGCTTTGAGCATTCCCAAGACCGGGGGGGGCTGGGTGGGAGCGGGGGTGGAGCATGAACCCAGGGAGGCCCAGCGAGAGCCTAGTCGTGCGGTGTCCTGGGAGGCCATGGCCCAAGACCTTGGCAGACCAGCATTGGAGATGGGCATCTTCCTCCAGGGCCACTGATGTCAGCTCTGCTGGCATGGATGATGGGGGTGGCTGGCGAGGGTGTCGCGTGGGCACGTGGGAGCCCGAGGCTGGCGGTGGGCTGTGCTCCAGGCCTTGCCCGGTTGACCGTGTCTTCGGGGTGAGTGACGCTCCGCAGACGCCGCATGGAATGCGGGGCCGGCTCCACTCCTTCCGTAATGTGGTTTTTTATAGTCGGGGGACTCATTGTCCCGTGGCCACTGCCAGCTGTCTGTAAGCTCAGGATTAGAGAGCCTGGCCTTTCGTGAGAGCTGGGGCTGTGCCGGCTGAGCCCTTCACAGGGAGGGGTGGACCACGGGGACAGGGAGCGACTGCCTGGCACTGAGTGAGCCAGCCAGCAGACAGCATGACGGCCTTCTCCTTGCCTGCCCCCAGGGCCTGGTGCAGGCTCTCTTCTGCCCACCCTACCCAGCTTGGGGGCCCCACCCCATCACGGCCCTCATGAGCCTCTCGGGGCATCCTCCTGGATGGCATCGCAGCGGGCATTGGCCTCCCCTCCATGCCCACCTCCAATTCTGATCAGGAGCACCCCTCACCCACAGTAGGACTGGAAGCTCTATCGGGCCAGAAGGTGCACAGGGGGCCAGGGGACTTGGACTTGAGTCCACCTCGTGGCTGTGTGATGGTGGACAGGTGGCGTGCCTTCTCTGGGCCTCAGTGTCCTTTTTGCTAAAGTAGGAATGGCGCTGTCCCATGACCCGGTTTGGGGACACTACGTGGAAGGAAGCATCCACAGCACAAGGTGCCGCTCGCCCTCGTGTGCCCGGGGTGGCTGCCAAGGGGCCGGCAGCGTCGCCACGTGTCGGGGCTGGCCTGAGTTCCGTGTCCCTGGAATCTACAGCCTGTGTTCCGTGAAGGCAGAGCATGACTGGGCAGCAGGCAGCGGGGGTTCTAATGCCGAGATTTCCCTTCCCCCCAACTCCTGCCCACCCCGGCGCCTTCCCTCCTGCGTACCTTTCTTTGGGCAATGGGCAGAGGCCCCGGAGCGGGCGGGATTCCTGTGAGGTGACGCCAGCCGGAGTGTCCAGCCGGGTGCAGCCAGCCCAGTGGCCCATTCACGCGGCCGCCAGGGCTTCATTCACCCCTGGCCGGGAGGGCAGCGCCCCCGTGACTCGCAGCTGGGGCTTCTCCACGGGTGGCGGCTGCATCGCTCTGCCAGTGACGCTGGGCTGGTCCCTGGGGGCCCTCCTGCTGCTGTGGGGGTGCAGGGGTGGATGCTGGCCCCAGGATGCTGCACACGGCCTCAGGGCAGCACCCACACACTGGCAGCTCCAGCTTCCCCTGAAAGATGACCGAGGAGGTGGGGAGGACGCGGTGCTGGCCAGCAGTGACGGCTGCAGCATGTGTGGGCAGGTGCCGTGCCACACCTTTTACAAACATCTGAATGCAGCCCTCCCAACAGCCCGGGGGAAGGAAGTGTGGTCACATGGCAGCCTTCCTGGGATGTGACCCCAGCTCCAGGTGGCACAGCTCCCTTCTCCTGTGGCCTTGGAGCCCTGAGGGGACCCTACTTGATGTCTCTGGGGTCTCCTGGCTGCTTCATTTGCCCTCAAGACGGCTGTGGGGGCAGGGTCGCTGGGACCTTGGGGCAGAGGAGGGACTGATCAAGTGCCTGCTGGGTGGCAGAGCAGCCACATCCCCCCATCCCCCCAAGCAAGCCCGGAAGGCAGGTATGTGGGCGGGGGCACCCATCTGTCCAGGGCAGGGCACCCCCTCCCTCCTCCCCATGCCCTGTCGGCTGCAGGACCTAGGATGGGCGGGGCAGCACTCACCCCAGCGCCCAAGTTTGAAGGGTGCGGCGGGGTCCCTGGGGAGTCCAGAGGCTCTGGGGACCCAGCTTCACAGAGCCAGGTGGGGTGTCGGCTCTGGGCACCCGGATTCACGGGGCCAGGCGGGGTGTCGGCTCTGGGCATCTGACTTCGTGGGGCCAGGCAGGGTGTCATTGTCGGCTCTTGGTGGAGTTTGCTGCGGTTTCCTGTGTTCCTCCTCTTCAGGGTCCCCAGCCCGCCCTCGGGCCAGACTGACCTGTCTCTGTCCTTCCTCTGCAGGGGCTGGCGTCTTCTTCCTGTCCTCGGCCGAGGGGGAGCAGATCAGCTTCCTGTTCGACTGCATCGTCCGAGGCATCTCCCCCACCAAGGGCCCCTTTGGGCTGCGGCCGGTTCTACCAGGTGCGTGTGGGAGCCTGGCCGGCCGGGGAGGGTGCGCTCGGCAGGCTGTGCGACGTCCCGGGGCGGGGGGCCACAGTGATTTGTCAGCCCCAGTTAGATGGCCAGCCTCCCCACCCCCAGCTAAGGAACCAGAACCTTTCCAGGCCAGGATTGCAGCCTGGGCTTCTGCAAGCCCTGCTGAGGGATTCAGAGCAGCGGGGGCTGGGCTCGTACCTGCAGGTGCTCTCCCTCGGGGGTCCGAGCTGTTGGAACGCTTGGCCCTAGAGCTTTCTGGCTGGGACAGTCAGCCACAGCTGCCACTGTGCAGTAAGAGACCCTCTGACCCACCACCACCATCTTCCACGCCCAGGAGCAGGGAAGGCCTTGCCCGAGCTCGGTGGCCCGGGGGCAGCTGGTCTGACTCTGCAGCTGGGGTCGGGACTGGCTCTGCCTGAGCCCGGTGTTTAGGCCCAAGGCCACCTCGGGAGGTCCCCTGGCTGTGGGGTCTCAGGACACGTTGGGCTGAGGGGGTCTCGTCTTGTCTCACCCACACTTCCTTGGCTGTGGCTGCGGCACTCTCTGCAGGAGTCCTTGGCCAGGGATGTTGCTGGACCCCAGAGGGGCTCTGGTGCCTGGGCACGGTGGGGCTCCCCAGGTCGGGGCGGGTGCTGGGCCAGGTGCCTCCATGGGCTCTCTCAAATGCTCCTCTTGCTCCACGAGGGCAGCGCTTGACCCAACGTCCAAGTGAGGCCAAGGCCTAGGCCATGTGGCGGGTGAGCAGCAAGCTCACATGTGGCGCCTCCTGGCACTGGCACCCCCGCCGTGGTGTGGCGGGGAAGGGTGACTGGGAGGGCAGAGGCGAGCAGCATGTGGGGTGGGACCTGGGCCTCCCTTCTCCTGGCCACAGCCCCCAATGCCCCCTGCCCACACCAGCAAAGTCCCGTTGGGGGCAGCCCTGGGAGTGGGGAGGTGGCACCTATGGCCAGCGCCCTCCCCGCTGCCCTGCCATGCTGGATGGTGCAGCTGCACCCCTGTAGGTGTCTTCCTGCCTAGTGGATGCACCCCTGCAGGTGTCTTCCTGCCTAGTGGATGCACCCCTGCAGGTGTCTTCCTGCCTAGCGGCTGCAGGCAGGTGTGGATGGTGTGGTCAGCGTGGATGATGTGGTCGGTGTGTTTGGCTGTGCAAGGCGAGGGTGTGCAGAGTGCAGGGCGGGGACAGGGCCGGGCAGGGGCAGCAGGAGGCTGAGCAGGGCTCCCTGCTCTCTCCTGCTCCCCTCAGGCAGTTCCCGGGGAGCAGAGGGAAGCAGGGAAGCAGTACTGGGCAGAGGATGCCAGGGAGGGTTTGCCTGGGACAGCCACTAGATGGGACAGGCTCCACCGCAGGCAGCACGTGGGCCAGCCCCAGGCGGGGCCATTGCTGACAGCTGGAGGGGGTTGGGCTGACCAGAAGTCCCAGACCCCACTCCACAGGACATCTTTGTCAGAGTCAGCTGGGAGCTCTCAGAAAGCTCTGTTGTCAGGGCCTCGGCCTGCAGCTGTGCCCCCAAGCTGTGCCTCTGCAGGTGTGTGGGGGCCTCAGGCCACCCGGAGGTGGGTTGAGCTGGGACACTATGCTGGGCAGCACCCCACCAGAGAAGCCGTGGGCCCAGCCCCCGCAGGCTGGACTTACTGGAGGGTCTGGGCTGATGGGTTCGTCTGCCTGTGCTGGCAGCACACTGGAGCCCCGTGATCACAGGACTCCCACAATAGAGCCCTGCGGGCGGCATCCTCAAGCTCTGGGCTTTCTGCCGTCCTCCTGTGCTGAGCCCGCTGTGACCCACTGGAGGGGCCAAGAGATGCAGGAAGTCCAGCCCCTTGGTCTTCCGCATGTGGACACCGAGTCCCAGAGGCAGCCAGACCCACCAGGAGCAGGAGGGAAGGGCTCAGAGGTCTGGGGTCCACCATGCTCCGAGTATGGCGTGCATGTTACCTTCTTGGCCTGGCCTCCACGGGGGTGCACCGTTGCTGCACCCCATTTTGCAGACGAGGGTGAGAGGCTCAGGGGGCGTGTGGTGGAGCTGGGAGTCGATCCGTGTCTTGCTGGCCCACCAGTTACTGGACGGGAAATGGTGGGAGGTTGTGTCCTGCATCCTGACCCTGGTGTCACCGAGGGGCCACTCTCCGTCCCACCTGTGGGGCATTGGCTTTGAGGGTGGCCCTGGTCGGAATGTCCCAGGGCTGAGGGGCAGTTGTGCTGTCCTGTCACTGTGCTTGTCTTCAGCCTGGACCCTCAGTGCACCAAGGAGCCAGGACTGGTGCCTGCTGTCCTGCCCACGTGGCTGAATGTGTCTGTGAAAGTGCCAGGAGCTGCTAAGCCGTGTGGCCTGTGGGCTCCATGGCCACCAGCAGGCCGTGTCGGGAGGGACTGATGCCTGAGCTGGCACAGCCTTGGCTGCCATCGCCTTCCACCCTCCCAGGCACAGGCAGGGAGGGGACAGGAGAGAGGCTTGTGCCACCCCCATCCCTGTCCCCGGCAATGCTACAGACAGGGCCACAGGGTCTTGGGCTGGCAGGGCCCCAGGCTGACCGGGGCAGTGCCTTGGGGTGGCCATACCCAGAGGTGGGGGAGGCTCCTCCAGGCCCTTCTTGTGTTCCTGGGCCCGGTGCTGTGAGCTCTCACCTGCCCGTGGGGAGGGCCCTGTTCTGAGGTCCTGATGGGGTCTCCTGTAGTGAGCAAGGGCCCCAGCTGGGCACCTGTGTGGGCTGAAGGCATCAGCAGAGGACAGTGTCCTATCAGGGACAGGGCCTCTTCAGCCTAGATGTGAACCTGGACAGGGACACCATTGCTTTCTCTGTTTGTTTCTCCGGAGCGCTGACCATGGGGTCGGGACGTCTGGCTCCAGCCTCCGCCAGGCTGGGTTCTGTCCGCTGAGGCTCTGATCTAGGTGTCCCAGGCTGGGGACTGTACCTTCTGGTCCTCTGTGCGCTGCAGAATTTGGTGTAAACTTTTCATGCTGCCACTGCTCCTGGACTTTGGGGAGAGCAGGTCCTTGGACCTGTTTCGGCTCAGTCCTGCAGGTGCCCCCAAGGTGGGTGTCAGGAGGTGTGTTCTGGAGGCCCAGAGGAGGCCACTTGGAGCAGGACGGGGTCGGTTTGCTCTTGCGGGTGTGGCTGTGGCTTCCCTGCCAGGGAAACTCTTTGGGATGGCTGTGGCCGTGGGTGCTGTGGATGTGGAAGGGGCAGGGTCTTGAGCCCTGCTGTTTGGAGCAAGGTAGCCACTTGGCCCAGTGTTCACATCACTTAGTGCCTGGGACATCCCAGCATGGGCGGGGGCTTGGGGACCAGGGCAGTGATGCTGAGGCTCGCAGCAGCGGTGCTGAGGGGCCAGTGAGAGGTCCCACCCTGCCTGGGCAGGAAGGGGAGGTTTCCTGCCACTCAGTCGCAGAGGACACATGGACGATGAATAGAGAAGGCGAGGCTGGTGCTCCCTGGATGCAGCCCTGAGGGGAGGGGCTAGGTGGGGCCGAGGGTCCGCAGACCACCATGCTCTGAGCCTTGGGCACAGTATGAGTCTCCATCCGAGACCCCAGGGAACGGTGGGGACACTGCAAGGTGGGCGGGCATTTCCCCAGGTGGAGGGGAGCCTGTGAGAAATGGGCACCGTGAATGAGGGGCAGGCAGCCCCTCTTGCAGCGAGGCCGGCCCTGGGGATGGGGGAGGGGCTGGTCATTTTTTGGAACAGAAAATTGAAAAACTCGGTGGTGAGGAAGATGAGGAAGGAGGGGTCTGGCCGGCGTGGGGTCCTGGTGAGTGGGCAGGTGGCAGGGCCATCCACGGGCACAGGGACCCAGCTGGGCGCATGGTGGCCTGGATAGGGGTGGTGTGGGTGTCTGCGTTTGAGGGCCAGCCTCTGGGATGAGGCATCGGGAGGAGCGGGGACTCCCAGGGGACTGCCACTCCACAGAGGGGGATAACCACTGAGTCAGGCTGGGCCTGGTGCCTGCGGGCGAGGGTGGGCGGTGGTGGCCACCTCCTCCACCGAGTCTTCTCTCTGCCACAGACCCAAGTCCCCCGGGACCCTCGACTGTGGAGGAGCGTGTGGCCCAGGAAGCCCTGGAAACCCTACAGCTGGAGAAGCGGCTGAGCCTCCTCTCACATGCGGGCAGGCCGGGCAGTGGAGGTAGGGCCGGGGGCTGACCTGGGCTGTGGGACCTCGGCTAAGCCTCCAGCAGGAGAGCTCAGGAGGCATCCATGCATGTGTGGGGGCTGCAGGCTCCCTCTGCTCATTCATTCATTCCTTCTGTCTCCTGCTCATTCATTCTTCCCCCAACTCCCCGCCCCGCCCGCTACTCATTCATCCTTCCTTCCCCACCACCCTGCTCATTCCTTCCTTCTCCTCCTGCTCATTCATTCCTTCCTTCTTCCTCCTACTCATTAATTCCTTCCTCCCCCCATTCCTTTCTTCACCCCCTCATTCATTCCTTTCTTCACCCCCATTCATTCCTTTTCTCCCTGCTCATTCATTCCTTCCTTCCCCACCCTGCTCATTCATTTCTTCCTCCGCCCCCCCCACTCATTCCTTCCCCCCTCATTCATTCCTGTCTTCACCCCCTCATTCATTCCTTCCTTTTCTCCCTGCTCATTCATTCCTTCCTTCCCCACCTTGCTCATTCATTTCTTCCTCCGCCCCCCCGGCTCATTCTTGCCTTACCTCCATTCATTCCTTCCTTTTCCCCACACTCATTCATTCCTTCCTTCCCCCCACCCCCTGCTCATTCAGTCCTTCTTTCACCCCCCCCACCGCCCCGCTCATTCATTCCTTCATTTCTCTCCTGCTCATTCATTCCTTTCTTCTCCCTCTGCTCATTCATTCCTTCCTTTTCCCCCTGCTCATTCTTTCCTTCACCCCCCCGCTCATTCGTTCCTTCCTTCTCCCCCTGCTCATTCGTTTTTTCCTTCTCTCTCTGCTCATTCCTTCATTTCTTCTCTCCCTGCTCGTTCATTCCTTCCCTCTCCGCCTGCTCGTTCATTTCCCTCCTGCTCATTCATTCCTCCCTTCCCCGCATTCCTTCCTTCCTTCCCCCCTCATGCATTCCTTCATTTCCCCCCACTCATTCCTTCCTTCCTTCTTCCTCCTGCTCATTCCTTCTTTCCTTCTCCCCCGGCTCATTCATTCCTTCCTCTGCCCCCCCGCTCATTCATTCCTGCCTTCCCCCCATTCATTCCTTCCTTCCCCCCCACTCATTTCATTCCTTCATTACCCTCCTGCTCATTAATTTCTTCCTTCTCTCCTCTGCTCATTCATTCCTTCCTTCTTCCCCTGCTCATTCATTCCTTCTCCCCCTGCTCATTTCTTCATTTCCCTCCTGCTCATTCATTCCTTCCTTCTTCTTCCTGCTCATTCATTCCTTCCTTCCCCCCCATTCCTTCCTTTCTTTTCCCCCGGCTCATTCCTTCCTTCTCCCCACTCCTGCTCATTAATTCCTTCCCTCTCCCCCTGCTCGTTCATTCGTTTCTCCCTTCCCCCCATTCCTTCCTTCCTTCTTCCTCCTGCTCATTCATTCCTTCCCCCCTGCTCATTCCTTCCCCCCTGCTCATTCCTTCCTTCTCCCGCTGCTCTTTCATTCCTTCTCCCCTTGCTCATTCATTCCTTCATTCATTCCTTCCTCCGCCCCCCCGCTCATTCATTCCTGCCTTCTCCCCCTGCTCATTCATTCCTTCCTTCTTCGCCTGCTTGTTCCTTCCTTCCTCTGCTCCCCCTGCTCGTTCATTCCTTCCTGCTCACCCCAGCTTCCTTCTTTCCTTCTTCCCCTGCTCATTCATTTCTTTCTTCTCTCCCTACTCAATTTCTCTCTCACTCATTCATTCTTTCCTTGTCCCTCCGCTTATTCCTTCCTTCTGTCTGTTCATTCATTTCTTCCTTCTCCCACCTATTCATTCATTCCTTCCTTCACTTATGGTTCCACATTTACTAAACTCTGGTCTGAGGTGCTGACGGGAAAGGTGGTTCTGCCCTGAGAGCCTTTGAATCCTTTCCTGCCCACCAGCTTGTGGCTGGGGGAGACCAAGGCCCTGCATGTTGGTTTTACCTTCTGTGCCCAGACAAAAGGCTCTAAGGCAGGTGAGCTGGCTGCCCAGGAGCAGAGGCACCTCCTCAGCTGCCGGTGGCTCTGGCTCTGTTGCCATTGTGGGGAGAGGTGGTGGTGGAAGGGGCTGGCAGAGCAGGAGGGGCCGCTGTGCTCCCCGAAGGGTGGCTGCATGGGTGACCTGTGTTCCCACGGCCAAGTGCAGGAGCCGTGCTGGTCCGGCCAGTGCCCTCTGATCACTGCTTGTCCCCCAGAGGGCACCAAGCAGACAGTGGTCATCTCCCCTCCTGCCCTGCCCCAGGAGGAGGGGACTCAGGTTTGCAATAAGCTTTTGCCTTCCTGGGGGTGACTCACAGCTGCTTTCCATTTGGGAGCCCTGGAAGGCAGAGCAGGCAGCTTAGAGACGCAGCAGAGATGAAAGTGGCTTTCCCAAGAGCACGGGAGGGGCCTGGCCTGGCAGGCGGGAGGCAGCCTGGGATCTGCATTGGGTGTGCTTCTCATCCCCCGCAGGGAGGGAGACTGGGAGTGAGGCAAGGACGCCAGCATGGTGAGGGCAGGGGGCGAGTCGAGGTGTGTGGGCACAGCTGGTGCCTCGTGTCCAGGCTGGCAGGGCCTGGGAAGTTCTTGGGGAAGGGACGTCCAGACCAGCCTGGGGCCGTGATGGTGCGGAGGGCAAGCTGCCCCAGGTGGCCCTGGAAGGTAGTCGGGATGGCTGGGTATGGAGCGTGGGGTGTTAGGCAGGGAGGGTGGGGAGCTCTAGGGAAGGGGAGGAGGCGGGGACCAAGGTAGTGGCAGGGGTGCTGAGAGGGAGGGGCGCAGGCCGTAGGAGAACAGGTGGCAGAAGGACAGGAACGGACAAAGAACAGGAGTGGATGAGGGGTAGAGGGGTTGTTGTTGGTGAAGCCAGGTTTCTGCTGTAGGCCCCGGGGCTTGGGGGCTGGAAGGGGTGGGGCGAGACCAGAGAGTGCTGGCCTGTGGGGGTCCACCAGGCATCAGCCACGTCCTGCCCAGACCCCTGTACCCCCACAACTGCCTTGGCTTCCTGCTCTGTCTCAGGGGATGACCGCAGCCTGTCCAGCTCATCCTCAGAGGCCAGTCACTTGGACGTCAGCGCCAGCAGCCGGCTCACCGCATGGCCAGAGCAATCCTCGTCGTCAGCCAGCACGTCACAGGAGGGGCCTAGACCAGCAGCTGCCCAGGCCGCCGGGGAAGCCATGGTGGGTGCCTCAAGGCCACCCCCCAAGCCGCTGCGTCCGCGGCAGCTGCAGGAGGTTGGCCGCCAGAGCTCCTCGGACAGCGGCATCGCCACTGGCAGCCACTCCTCTTACTCCAGCAGCCTCTCGTCCTACGCGGGCAGCAGCCTGGACGTGTGGCGGGCCACAGATGAACTGGGCTCACTGCTCAGCCTGCCAGCAGCGGGGGCCCCCGAGCCCAGCCTGTGCACCTGCCTGCCCGGGACAGTCGAGTACCAGGTGCCCACCTCCCTGCGGGCCCACTATGACACACCACGCAGCCTTTGCCTGGCTCCTAGAGACCACAGCCCCCCCTCACAGGGCAGCCCCGGCAACAGTGCGGCCAGGGACTCAGGCGGCCAGACGTCCGCCGGGTGTCCCTCTGGCTGGCTGGGCACGAGACGGCGGGGCCTGGTGATGGAGGCCCCCCAGGGCAGCGAGGCCACACTGCCTGGCCCTGCCCCTGGCGAGCCCTGGGAAGCAGGCGGCCCCCACGCGGGGCCACCCCCGGCTTTCTTTTCGGCATGTCCAGTCTGTGGAGGACTCAAGGTAAACCCCCCTCCTTGAGAGCCGCAGATCCCGCCCCGCGGCTGCAAAGGGGCTGAATTTGCCCCCAGATGGCAGAGGAAGTGGCGCCAGCCTCCTTGCAGACTGGTGCTCTGTGTTCTGTGGGAGGGACCGGGGGTCTCCCGGAGAGGGGAGCTGGAGGGCGCGCCCTGTGGCTGCCACCGGAGGAAGGGGCTGACTTGGGGAGGTGAGTTCTGGAAGGCAGGGGCTCTGGGTCCGGCAGGTCGGGGTCACCAGAGCCCCAATGCTCAGCTGCTTCACTCCGTGTCCCCCACCCCTGAGGATCAGGTGAGTGCTGCACCTCTGTTGGCTCGTGCCTTGCACTGGGGTGCCAAGGGCTGGAGGCCCTGCCGCTGGCCTTGTCCTCCTTGGGCCTCACGCCCCCTTCGGGGGTGGCCGGTTCTCCCCATCACCTCTCTGGGGCAGTCACACCACCTGTTAAGCATCAAGCTACCACAGAGGCTCCGGCCACCTGGGCTCCACCAGCCCAGCCCCCCTGGGCTCCGTGTGCGCTGGGCCTCATCCCCATCTATGGGAGGAAACTGAAGCTCAGGAGGCTGTGTGGCTTGCGGGGTCTCTGGGTTCTGGGCCCCACTGTTCCCCAGTGAAGCCCTTGTGGGAAGGTTCCGGGAGCAGGTGGTGTCCTCAGAGCAGCCTCGCCTGCTGACCCCACTGGGAGAGGCGCCGTGCCTCGGGCCCCTGGTGGGAGCTCTGCTGGCTCCTGTCTGAACCTCCTCGCAGGGCCAAAGGCTGGCTTGGCCTGTGTTTCCCCTGGCCCAGGCCTCAGCCCCTGCGTCGGAGGTGGGGCTGTGTTGGGCCCATTGTCCCCCGCCCTGGGTGGCTTCCTCTTGCACAGCCTGGAGCCTGCCCTGACCACAGCCCAGCAGCTCCCTGTGAACACCTCTTTGTCCCTTCACTGTCAGCTGTTTCTAAACCCAGACACTGTTTGTAATAGACTGGAAATAAAATGTTCTTTCCTTACCACCTTGTCCTAGTCCGTTGCCCAGCCCTCTCCGCCTCCTCGCCCACCCTCCACGTGGGGCCTCTGCCTGGATGCGAAGTCCCCGGGCCCGGCTTCCCTGGCCTTTATCTCAGAGAGTGCGAGAGGCCTCATCTGTCTTGTGAGCCTTGGGCCTGAATGCTGTGGTGTGCGGAGAGGCAGCTCCGGGCAGCCCCCGGGCTGGGATGTGCATGTGTGGTGTGTGCACGTGTGGCACATTCCTGGGTGTGTCCTGGAGACCACAGTGGGGTCTGCAGTAGTCCCTCAGGCATGGGGCTCCTCAGGTCCCGGTGAGGGCGGACCTCAGGAGGGGGCTGGCTCTGAGCCCAGGGCCCCTGCCCTGCCTGTCTCCCCTACATGGGGCCGAGTTCCAGGCTTGTCTCAGTCACCCCTGCACATCTGTGTGGGTGCCTGCCTGCCCCCTCACCCGCCACCCTGTTGTGGGTGCCTGCCTGTCCCTTTGCCTGCCACCCTGTCAGGGACTGACTCTGAGCGGGGAGTTCTGGAGGGCTTCTGCAGCAGTGCCTGGTGAGCAAGCGTGGGCTTTGGGGACTGAGTTTGGGCCACATCCACTACCTGCTGGCTGGGTGACCCTACAAGCCCCGCCCCTCTCTGAGCCTCAGTTTCCTCTTGCAAACGGGATGACAGACCCCGCCTCACTGGGCTGCACTGAGGGTCTGATGAGGTCACTCTTCAGGCGCTCAATAGCTGCCCGTCACCATTACCCCTGCTGCTGTCACCTCCGGAGGTGGCCGCGCCAGTCTTGTTGCAGGACGAGTGAGGCTGTGGCTCCTTTGCTGGGGAGCCAGGCCCTTCCCGCTAGTCTTCATCATCCACGCTCAGCCCTCTGTGTTCCCACGGGTCGCCTGCCCAAGGCTAGTGGGGGCAAGGTCCCTCTGATGGGACCAGACTGAAGCACCCCACAGCGGTGGCCTGGAGTCATGGGGCCTCTTGCCTGGCGGGGCTGGGCCCCTGGACAGCCTTTCCCTGTGGGGATGCGGCCGGGACATCTGCCTCTCCTCACGATGCTCGTGAGTGGGCCTCGCTCCGGGCGTCTGAAGGTTCCGGCCACCGCCTGCTACGGCAGCCCAGGGTCTCCAGCCTCAGTACCCAGTTCCCAGGTGGGTGGCCAACAGGCTGGGGGCTCCTCCTCAGGCCAGGGGCAACCAGATGGGACAGACACTGGTTCTGTTTTCTTGACGGCCCTGGAGCACCTGGGCCTGGCCAGGCAGGGGACAGGGTGGACCTTCGCTGGTTCGGGCTCTGCACCATCCACACCTACCCGCCTGCCCCCACCGGGAGCAGCTGGGGAGGGGCCCTCTCAGGAGCCTGTGTATGTGATGAGCTCAGGGGGTGTCGGCCTGTTGTCAAAGGTTCTCAAAGTCTAGACCAGCTCAGTTTGCTCAGGGGGCCTCGTGTGAGGGTCCCAGCCCTGTGACTGTCTGCCCTTGAGTCTGGCCTGCACCAGTGCTAGGTGCTGAGCCCCCATTTCCGGCCTCCCAGCCCCCACCCACGAGGCCCCTCAGAACAGGAGGGTGCTGCGCCTTCTTTCTAGCTGCCGGCTGCCGGAACCCATGTGGGACATTGTCTTGGGCTGGCCCCGCTTCTGCTCATCTGGGCTGGAGGTGGGCAGGAAGCCTCTGCTCAGCCGTGGGCCGCTGTCCCTCCCGCAAGCGCCCTTCAGACCCCACCATAGGCTCCTCCAGGGACTTGGGGCACCCCGTTAGGCACGGCCCACTTCAGAGGCCCAGGAGAAGGTCGCCTGCAGTGTCAGGGAACTTTGCTCATCTCATCTGGGGCCTCCCAGTGGGGCATTTTCCAGGGGCACCCCCCTGCGGAGCCTTCCCCACCAGCTGCAGAGAGCAGGGCCCACACCCTCAAGGACGGGAAAGGAAATCACAGGCACCCTCGGAGCAGCCGCTCAGCTCTGAGGTCGGAGCCCAGACACTACCTTGCATGGGCGTGGTACTCCTCCGATAAAGCTCTAATAGCAAAATAGTGGGGCTGGACTGGGCCTCAGGGCTGGGAACCGCCCCCTCCCCAGATGCCGAGGCCTCCAGCTCCCCCATGGGTGGTTATGGGGGCTACCACCAGGCTGGGTGGTCAAGGCAGTGGGTGGCCCGGAGATCTGGGGGCTGTGGGGCAAAGGGCCCTGGAGAGAAGGCATCAGGTATGGCGGGCTGGACTCCCTGCAGGTGACCCAGGTCCCCCAGCCTGTGTCACTCTTGGGGGGTAGTGTCCTTGTTCTCGGTGGCCCCCCGGGCACAGGATGAGGGGAAGACTGAAGGATGCACTGACCCAGGTTCTCTTTGGTCTAGGGAGCGGCAGCCTCAGCCCCAGGACCTGCGACAGCACATTCAGGTAGGCACCTGGAGCCAGTCCCCCAGAGCTCGGGGACAGGAAGGCGGGAGTCTGGGTGGGCGCAGATGGCAGCCAGAGTTTGACTAGATGGGGAGGGGGGAGGGTGGGGGGCCCACTGCCAGCAGGGAATGTGGGCAATGTGGTGAAAGTGGTTGTTGGCTGACAGTGGATGTTGGGTGGCAGTGGGTGTTGGGTGACAGTTGACAGTGGTTGCTGGGTGGCAGTGGGCAGTGGGGGTGAGTCCCAGCCCAGGTGTGGACAGCAGGGCAGTGGGT
This sequence comes from Homo sapiens, assembly GCF_000001405.40. Classification (NCBI taxonomy): domain Eukaryota; kingdom Metazoa; phylum Chordata; class Mammalia; order Primates; family Hominidae; genus Homo; species Homo sapiens. The sequence goes on from NC_000004.12 coordinate 3,497,138, forward strand.
AGAGGGCAGGCTGCTGGAGGATGGACTGAAGGTTGGGAGACACAGACTGGGGTCCACGGGTCCCCAAGCCCTGAGTGTGGACCTGTTCCTGGGAGGGGGCATGGCAGGAAGGCAGTCAGGGTTGGGGTCCAGGAGCCCCAGCTCAGGGAGGAGGGGCTGTGTCCTCAGACAGCGGTGGGGGCCTGTGGAGGCTGGGCTGGTGGTGAGCGACTCGGCGAAGGGCAGGGCATTGGTGCCCTGGCAGGTGCAGTTTTGGGGCCAGGTTGGGAGGGAGGGCCAGGCAGGGAGGCAGTGGGAAGGTACGGATCCCCAGGGTCTCCCTAGAGAAGCCTGGCAGTCACTGGGGACAGAGCCCTGCTGAAGGTTGGGCAGGGCTGAGAGGCTGGAGATGAGGACGGCTGGCCTGGGGTAGATGGGTGGCATCAGGGCCAGTTCTGTGCCTGTTTCCTTGTGGAGTAGGAGCCACTGCGGGCTAAACCTTGGATTCCTCAATCCCTTCTTCCCAGGCAGGTGGCACCTACAGGGGGGCGGGGTCCAGGCAGGCCTGGAGAGGACACCCAGGGTGGGGGAGGCGCCCAGGCAGGCCTGGAGGGGACAGTCAGGGATGGGGGCGGAGCCACAGGCAGGCAGGGGCAGCTTGGGAAAGCCCCCACCAGTCTGCCTTGGCCCTGGGCTGGACACCGATCCCTGCAGTCCAGTGTGCTGAGGCAGCCACCAGACCAGAGGTGGTGGGGCCAGCCCTGCCCCAAGGGTCCTCCTGGGCAGCCTGCTGTTGCCTCCCCGAGGCCACCCGTACCCTTCAGATGTCTTTTACCCAGACAGGGGTGCCCTGGGACACAGGTGTGGGGATCAAGGGGACAGGCCCAGTATCTGCTGGAGGATGTGAATCTTTTCCACAGAGGCCGGGGGCTCAGGAGGGGCGCCTGGGGTCTGTCATGGGACAGAGATGAGCCAGGCCCAAGTGGTAGCGTCGGGCTGCCAGCCCAGGGCGGGGTCTGGGAGGAGAGTGCAGAAGGGCCAGCCGATTCCCGGTTGCTGCTTCACTGAAAGAGTATCCGAGGTACTGGAAGCGATGCTCACAGAAGCCGAAGCAAAATCCAAGTCCCAAGGAGGGGACGGGAGGAGGAGCACTGAGGGCCCTGGAGCCAGTGGCCTTGGGGGAGATACAGATACGGACACACTGCTGGCCCAGCGCTGCTTACAGCCCCCGTGTGACTCCGGGTGGTGTTGGGAACATTCGTCCCCTTTCCCTGCAGTCAGGCCTCATGCTCCTTCCTGCTTCCACCCTCACCCCTCACCGCCCAACCTTGGGAGCAAACTTGGAAGAACGGATGCAATCCTAAAACGAGGTACCAGGCTGCAGGGGGGTGTCCAGCCCCACCGTGGGCAAGCCCCGGCCCTGCCCCTTGGCTTCAAGGCCCCCTTTCCAGACGCCAGGCCCCGGCGCTCCCTCAGCTCTCCCCAGGCCCTCACCCCACCTGCCTCTCCCACCACCCCCTCTTGGCCTAGCCCCTCAGCCATGCCCCCTCCTCTAGGCAGCTGGCCCTGCTGGCCCTGTCCCTGCTGGCCCAGGTGCCTGCCTGGGCACCAGAACTTGGCCGCTATGTTCTGTGGCTCATCTCGATGAAGGGGTCCTGGCATTCCGAGGGGACCAGCCCTCTAGGACCACACATTTGCAGGAGGGGGGTCTCCCCAGGGCCTCAGGGCCAGGCAGGGTTGGGGCAGAATTGTGTTGGTTGCTTTAGTTCATGGAATCAGGTGAGCGAACCCTCGTCGACCTGGGCTCCATCTCGCTCTGTCCCAGCTGCTGCCTGCAGAATCAGCGAGTCAGGTCTCCCTGGCCTCAGTTTCCCCACTGGGAGCAAGCAAGTGAAAGTTCCTCACCCCTAGCCCTGCTGCAGGGAGTGACGGGGACAAGGGTGAGAGGAGCCAGGCAGAGTGGATGTCTGCGGCAGGTGCCGGGCAGCGGGTGGCCACAGGAGAACCTGGTCTGCTGAGGATGCATCCCTGGGGCAGGGAGGCCCAGCCTTGAGTCAGGCCCCTCCCCTGGACAGGCAGGTGTTTCAGGGAGGCCGACCCTGCAGGGCTGTCACCCGCTGGATCCCAGCCCCCACCTGAATTCTGAGGGCTCGGAGTGTGCTGGGGGTGGGGAGGTCACTGTGGGTGGGGCTTGGCTGTGTCTCCCAGCCACTGGCTCAGGGAATGGGGGGGGACTTGCTGTCACCTCCCCTGCCTCACGTGGCTGTGCGTTCCCTCACGAGGTCCTGATGACAAGAATGGGAGGAGGCACTGGAGAACGGGGTCCTTCCTGTAGAACCTGGGTGCCCACGGTGCGGAGCCCTCAGGCCTGCAGAGGAGGGGCCGGTGTGCGTCCAACCCCCTAAGGTGGGAGCCTGCCTCAAGTCCCACCCAGCCGGGCCTGTGGGGTCCCCTCCTATCCTGCTCCTGCTCTGCCCTCCCCAGCACCAATGGGGTGTGCAGACAGAACCATCAGCTATTAGGAAGGGGGTCGGGGGAAGGGAGTAGCTCCTATGAGGGGGGAGAGGGTGTGGGGCACCTGGGTGTCCTGGAGGGGATGCAGAGGGAGCGTGGGCCTGTGTGCAGGAGAGGAGGGGGTCCCTGGAGCCTGCAGCAGGTGGGGGTGACCCCGGAGGACAGTGAGGGGGAGGTGCTGGGGGCCAGGACAAAGCAGGGCTGTGCTGGCCCGGGAGGGTTAGGTAGAGAAGGTGCTGGGACAGCCAAGGAGGGGCGGTTGGTGGAGAGAGTTGGGAAGGTGCGGGGCGAGGGGCGCAGGGACAGAAGAGTGGGCCTTGGGGGGCCCATGGGGGGGTCGGCAATTCCTGCAGGGGAGGCGGCACAGTGGAGGGGACAGCGCTTCCTTCTGCTCTGTGGGTACTTGGACCAGGAGTGGACAGTGTGGGGGGGGCCTCAGGATGGGGCAGCGCTGGGCCAAAGATGGACGGTCAGGAACATGGAGCGGGAACTTCCAAGGTGCAGGAGAGGCGGAGTGGGGAGGAGGGGCTAGGCAGGGTGGGCAGCTCTTTACTGCACAATCTTTGAGATCTGTGCCCCTCTCGGTCCCCACCGGGGCTTCACAGCCGCTCCCCCCACAGGATCCCCAGGACCCGTGGCTGTGGACAGCCCAGGACCAGAGAGGCCGCGCGGCGAGTCGCCCACTTACGTGAACATCCCCGTCAGCCCATCCTCCAGAAAGCAGCTGCACTACATGGGCCTGGAGCTCCAGGAGGCCAGCGAGGGTGTCCGAGGTGGGTCCCCGCCCTGCGTGGAGGCACTGACAATTGGGGGCTGGGACCACAGCCTCAGGGCCCTGAGCCCCCAGCCCCACCCAGCAGCCCTTGGCCAGGGAGCTTTTCCTACAGCCTCCCCCCAGGAGGCAAATGTCCCCAACTCCATCCCTGGCCAGGCCACATCCCCTGAGGGTGTCCCCACTCAGATGCTTCCGAGGGCCTGGCTGGGGGACTGGTGTGGAGGGCAGGGTCACAGGGCTGGGTGGCTCGGGGCGCAGGCTGCCGCTCACTACAGAATTCTTTCAGGGGCTGGCGCCTCCCTCTACGCCCAGATCGACATCATGGCCACCGAGACGGCGCACAGAGTGGGGGTGCGGCACGCACGGGCCCGGGAGGAGCAGCTGTCGGAGCTGGAGCAGAGGAAGGCAGCCCCGCAGTGAGGTCACAGCGCCAGGAGCTGACCGCAAACCCGGTGCGCTGTGCGGCCCCGTGGCCCCCGGCAGGCCAGCCCCTTCTGTTGGGCGTGGTCTGGTCCCCAGGGAGCTCCCAGTCGCAGGAGCAGGCATGGCCGGTCTCCGGGCCATGGTGCAAACAGGAAGTTTTCAGGGCCCACGGCCAGGCCTCCTGCCTCACAGGTGTCCGGGGCTGACCCTTCGGCCTGAAAGAGTTGCTCTGGACCCCAGGCTGACTGAGGCCCTGCTTCCAGGCATCAGGCAGCTCTGGTAGCTGCTGTGGCATCTCAGGCAGAGGCTGCTGCCCAGGAGTTTGGGAGCATGGTTTGTGGTGCCTGGGATGCAAACCGCCCTCTCACCCTGGGGGTGACTGCATGGATGACAGCCGTGTCCTGGCAAAATGCTCATCCCTTCACCTGGGTGTTGTGGCCCTGCAGAGCCAGGACCCAGTGCCCGCTCCCACTGTCGGCACCATGCCCGCTCCTGAGACTGGCGGCTCAGACACTCCCGGAATCCCCTCCCCGCCTCCCGGCTGTCCTGCCTGGGCCACCGCCACCCTGCACCTGGGGACGGAGCCTGGACTCTCCCAGCCACCTGACCGCTCCACTTCTTGGGACCTATTACAGCCAGTCATGTAAAGAGCCATTGTGACTGTTCTGTTTCTGACAATGCCTATTTTCTCTCTCCTGGTTTCTGCTCCTGGACATGGGTCTGATGTCTTCACCTGGGGGTGCTCGGGGTTGGGGCGAGCAGAGCTGCCTTCCTTGGTGGCACGGGGTTGGGGCTTCCTCCTGCGTCGGTGCGGTGCTGTGGCTTGGGGGTGGGTGAGGTGACGGGGCTATGTGCATAGGTGGTGGGCGTCCTGCATGCCCTCAACCCCTGTGGCAGGAGGAAGCACCGGGCGGGCCCCCTGCCTTGCTCCTGGAGATGGGGCTCTCTGCTCTGCATGGCTCCATCCGTATTCGTCCCTTTCTTTCATCTTCCTGCCCGTCCTTCCCCCGCCCCTCCCCCAGGAGCCCACCAAGGACCCAGAGAGTCTGTGGTTGGCCTGCCCCGGGTATGGCAGGCAGCTGCCACTGCTGCTCAGCGGGGCCCTCAGTGGGCAGGCTCAGAGCACTGGCCCTCCTGGCGCCCCCGCTCTGCATGTGACTGCTGAGGACGCTTGGCGTCAAGGTGGCAGGATGCAGGGTCAACCGGAGCCAGCTGGGGCCAGGACAGAGATCTCCCGCTTCGACGCAAAGGCCCTGGGGAGCATTCTGACAGACAGGGCAGGGCTGGGCTGGGCTCTCAGCCTGGAGGGTCCATGGACAAGACTTTCAGCTGCAAGTTGGGGCAAGGCATGGCCTGCACCCTGATCCAGGGCTGCAGCCGTGTCGGGCCCTTAGGGTGGCAGAGTTGAGATGTCCACCTCCGGGGCTGGCCACATGCACCAGCTCAGACACGCAACCTGGGTGGCACAGCCCCACCCCTCCCCGTGACCCTAGCTTGCTGGAGCTCAGGCTTCCTGTTCACAAAGTGGGAGAAAGGGTCAGCCCCTCTGCTGCTGATGGGATCGTGGGGCTGTGGGGGCGGGTTTGGAGCCTAGACCCAGTGTGTCTGGGTGTGCCTTGGGCCACATCCTCTCGGCACAATGGAGTGGCCAGGCCATGTCCTGAGGAAATGGCCACACGAAGTGTGGATGTGGGGCTGGGGCTGGTCCCACGGCTGTGGAAAGCCAGGAAGCAGGGGTCAGAGTAAGACCTAGCCAGGGCACCACGGGTGGGCGTGGTATGGGGCTCAGGTACACCCAGGCCTCCAGCAGAGTGCCCGGGGAGGCTGTGATGGCCCACGCTGTATCTGGCACCCATGGGTCCCAGTTGTGTGGTGGAGGAGCCGTGGGAAGGGACGATGCTGGCCAAGGCGGGGTTGCTCTGATCTCAGGGCAGCTGCCCTTGGCCCAGGACAGCCACTCAAGGCCAGAGCTGTGACTGGACAAACTGAACAGGAAGCCTGACCTTCCCCTGGAGTTGTGACCAGCAGCCAAAGCCTGACAGGGTCATCTCTGCAAAGCTGTTGAAGATGTGAGGAGGTGGAGCACACGGGCCATCGTGTCTCGGGCACCCTGGACTCCAACCTGTGCCCGCATGGGGCTTCCATCCCTGGGCCTGAGACTGCCCCGGCCTTGGCCCACTGCCCTCGAGCCACACCACCCATTCGGCTGCCACCCCACGCCCTGTCCTCGTGCTGCCCCTCCTGGTGCTCCTGCCTTTCACCTTCCCTTTTGTCAGAGCAGGAGCCTCTGCCCTAGACCACCCCCTCGGTTCAGCAGGCCCAGGCTGGTCCCTCTCGGCACCCGTGCCACAGGAAGCCTGGAGCGTCCGGGACGAGGCGAGGCCCGTGCAGACCCGATGGCACCGCACACTCACGCCCCACACACGGATGGGACCTGGGCTCAGCCCAGCTACCAGCAGCTCACATGTGGGGTGTGGGGACCTCGCCGTCCCCATGTCCCAAGCAGCCAACGCTGGCACGGGTGAGCATCTGTGACTCTGGGAATACCCGTGCCAGGCAGGCCACGTTATCCCGAACCAACTTAACTGCCTATCAACAGGAAGCTCGTACATCACCGCGGCCCGTCTCTCCCTGTGACGTGCAGCCTCAGCCTCCTGCGTTCAAGTGATCCTTCCCCCCCGCAGTTTCCTAAAGTGTTGGGATTACATGCGTAAGCCACCATGCCCGGCCAAAGTAAGTACACTTAGCAACTTAAAAATACACATGGATCAAAGAAGACATCATACTTGAAATGAGAAAATATTTTGAACTGAATGGCAGTGAAAACACTACACATCAAAACTTAGGGAAATGTGGTTAGTGTGGTACGTTGAGGGAAACTTATAACCTCACGCGCTTGTTTCACAAAACAACAGCAGACAACAGAGATTTCCAACTCCAGCAATGACAGGCTAGGGTACCTAGATGAACCATCACACTGAAAACACATGCTGCAGTAAATACTGAATTTCTCCTTAAGAGCTGTGGGAATCTGACAAGCCAGGAAGGTAGAAACAAGGGAGAAGTGAGGGACCCAGGGGCCCAGGAAGGTCGTGAGCGCCAAGCACCCAGTGCTGCTGCCCCAGGGCGTGGCCAGTCCAGGCTTACGGGGCTCAGGTCCTAGGGGGCTGACCAGCAGGGTGGGGCAGACACCAGGCTCCAGCCCAGCCTCAGGTGAGAGTGAAGGGAGCACCTATCTGCAGCAAGCTGAAGCCCCCAAATCTAGGCCCTGAGGGTGAATCGGTACCAACCCCCTCGCCCTATCCTGAATGTGAGCGGGGAAAGTGCTCACCTGGCAAGATCTGGCCTGCGGCCCTTCAGGGGTCAGCATGACTTGTGTGGGTCAGAAAGCCTCAGCCCCAAACCCGGTCTCAGAGGCTTAAGAACCCTCTCCAGGAGGATGATCCATATAACAGCTCTCAAATAGGCCCCCAAATAATTCTTCACAAACACTTAACAGTTCAGGCCGGGCACAGAAGCTCATGCCTGTAATCCCAGCACTTTGGGCAGCCGAGGTGGGCACATCACTTGAGGTCAGGAATTTGAGACCAGCCTGGCCAACATGGTGAAGTCCTGTCTCTACTAAAAACAGAAAAATTAGGCCAGGCATGGTGGCTCATGCCTACAATCCCAGCACTTTGGGAGGCCGAGGTGGGCGGATTGCCTGAGGTCAGGAGTTCGAGACCAGCCTGGCCAACATGGTGAAACCCTGTCTCTACTAAAAATACAAACATTAGCCCACTGTGGTGGTAGGGGCCTGTAATCCCAGCTACTTGCGAGGCTGAGGCAGGAGAATTTCTTGAACCCAGGAGGTGGAGGTTGCAGTGAGCCAAGATTGCGCCATTGCACTGCAGCCTGAGCAATTGAGATTCCATCTCAAAAAAAAAAAAAAAAAAACCAAAAAACAAAACACACACACACACAGAAAAATTAGCTGGGTATGGTGGCAGGTGCCCATAATCCCAGCTACTTGGGAGGCTGAGGCAGGGGAATCGCATGAACCTGGGAGGCAGAGGTTGCAGTGAGCCGAGATCGCACCAACGCACTCCAGCCTGGGCGACAGAGCAAGACTCCGTCTCAAGAAAAAAATAAATAACAAAGAACAGAAGACAACATGACCCCACAAGTGAACCAGAGGGAAAGACAGGAACAGACCATTGGAGACTTTAGGGATGGTTAGTGATACCAGAGGCTAAAATAATCATGTGCCCTACCATGCACGCAGCCATGGTGGCCCGGGTCCTGCCACGCACGCAGCCATAGTGGGCTGGCTAAGCTGCAGGTTGTGCCTGAGCTCACGGACACGAGGAAGAAGGGCGACCGTGTCCTGGACAGCCCAGCTCGAGGCTGCTCTTCAGCCCCAGCCCCTGGTGTCCCGCAGCGGCTGCGGTGGCAGTGGTGGGGGAGCAGGCATGGCACCCGGAGCACTGGAGCCCAATGCAGGGTGACCCCTTCCCCCCAGCTCCAAATCCAGCATCCCTCCCCGGTGCCTAGCCCTCGCCAGGCTGCTGGCCCCATCGCTGGGAAGGAGTGGTTTGACCCCTCACCACTGAGAGGAGTAAGGTGTACTTCCTTGTCAAGCATGACTCCGAGCGGCACTTCTTCCACACCGCGCAGCTGCCTGTGCCTGGCAGGGGCCTCCTGCGGCCGGAACGTCCCCTGCATCCCCAACCACACCTGGCACAACACCATGGCTGAGGTGCGCTTCCAGCTGCACCAGCAGCCCACACGCCTCCTGAGCACCACTACCAGCTACCCCAAGCCCGTCTATACCAGCTACCCCAAGACCGTCTATACCAGCTACCCCAAGACCGTCTATACCAGCTACCCCAAGACCGTCTATACCAGCTACGCCAAGACCGTCTATACCAGCTACCCCAAGACCGTCTATACCACCACCCTGGATTACAACTCGGCAAGATGCTGGGGAGGTTTCTGTTAGGGTGGAGCTGGAAGCCATCAAGTTCCTGGGTAGAGATGACCTTTCAGATGGATGCTGACCCAGCAGGCTGGGCTGAGCTGGGACCAGCTCTTCCACTGCCCTGCTCCGAGCCTGCTCTGGTCAAGGTGGGCAATGCTGCCCTTCATGTACTTCCAGCCCCGGAGGAGCTGAACCTAGAGATACCTGGAAACCCAGCTTAGGGAAGTAAAAAAAAAATCACTGCATCTCATAATTATTGAGATATTTTTAAATTTTCAAGCTTTTTTTTTTTGAGACAGAGTCTTGCTCTGTTATCCATGCTGGAGAGCAATGGCACGATTTTGGCTCACTGCAAACTCTGTCTCCCAGCTTCAAGTGATTCTCGTGCCTTAGGCTCCCGAGTAGCTGGGATTATAGGCAGATGCTGCCACCACTCCTGGTTAATTTTTGTATTTTTAGTAGAGATGGGATTTTGTGATGTTGGCCAGGCTGGTCTCAAACTCCTGGCCTCAAGTGATCTGCCCGCCTCAGCCTCCCAAAGTGCTGGGATTCCAGGCGGGAGCCACCCACACTTGGCTCAAGCTGGGTTTTTTTTTTTTTTTGAGGCGAAGTCTTGCTCTTGTCCCCAGGCCGGAGTGCAATGGCGCGATCTCGGCTCACTGCAACCTCTGCCTCCCAGGTTCAAGCCATTCTCCTGCCTCAGCCTCCCAAGTAGCTGGGATTACAGGTGCCTGCCACCATGCCTGGCTAATTTTTTATTTTTAGTAGAGATGGGGTTTCACCATGTTGGCCAGGCTGGTCTCAAACTCCTGACCTCACGTGATCCGCCCACCTCCACCTCCCAAAGTGCTGGGATTCCAGGCATGAGCCACCGCACCCGGCCGGCTCGAGCTGTTTTTAAGAGGATATATCCTGGTTTGCTGCTGTGTAGTTTCCCCAAAGTCTCAATTTGATGAGAAAATAGAAAGACCACTAGAACGGAAAAATAAAAAATAAAAATTAGATTTCATCAAACTGGAAACCTTTGCTTTCCAAAAGATAACCATTAAGAAAGTAAAATAGCAAGCCAGAGGATCGGAAATTATTCACAACACATATCTGAGGAAGGACTCACACCTAGACCTGGGAATAACGCTAAGACCAGGCTGGGTGTGGCGGCTCCCGCCACCTGTAATCCTGGCACTCCGCGAGGTGGAGGCAGGTGAATCACTTGAGACCAGGACTCCGAGACCAGCCTGGGCAACACAGCGAGACCCAGTCTCTATAAAAAAAACCTTTTCTTTAAATTAGCAGAGCATAGTGATGCATGCCTGTAGTCCCAGCTACTCAGAAGACCGAGGTGGGAGGCTCGCTTGAGCCCAGGAGTTTGAGGTTGCAGTGAGCTATGATCGCACCACTGCACTCCAAGCCTGTGCGAGAAAGATCCTGACTCAAAAAAAAAGACAAGATTTCCAAGACCCAGTTTTTTAAATAGGCAAAAGAATTAAGTAGGCCCTTCCCAAAGACGCCACCCAAATGGCCAAGAGCAGACAAAAAGGTGTCATGCCTCTGGCACCAGGGAAGTGCAAGTTACTACAAAACGAAAACAAAAGAATCAAATGGATTTAATTGTCTTTTTGTTACTGATTTCCTCCTCAATTGCACTCTGGCCAAAGAATGTGATTTGTATTATTTACCTACATATCATATATTTATACATTATCATCTGCGAATTACTGACATTTGCTTTGGGTCCTAGTACCTCGTCCATTTTTAAAAGATTCCATGCGTGCTTAAGAATGTTTTCTCTAATGGGCATAAGTAGACCAAGTTTTTAACTGTATTATCCCATTCTTTCATATTCTTCATCAATGATCTAAGCCTCTATCAAAAGAACCTAAAACAAGGACAGCAAATTGAACACAAAATAGGTAGAAGAAAGGAAATTCATAAGAAAAGAGCAAAAGTCAATGAAAAAGAAAACAATAGAAAAAAAAAATCAATGGACCCAAAAGTAGGTTTCTTTGGGGAAAATATCTGTAAAAATGATAAACTCTTAGCTAGTCTGATCAGGGGGAAAAGAAAACACAAATGGCCCAGAGCAGGAATGAGAATGGACATCACTGCACAGAGGATACTGTGAATGATTTATGTAAATTGTTTTGATAACTTAGATGAAATTCTGCGACAAACCTATCTTTAAAAAAATGACAAAGGAAGAAACAGAAAATCCAAAAGCCTCATGTCTTTTTTTTTGAGACAGAGCCTCGCTCTGTTGCCCAGGCTGGAGTGCAGTGGTGTGATCTCAGCTCACTGCAACCTCCACCTCCTGAGTTCAAGTGATTCTCCTGCCTCAGCCTCCAGAGTAGCTGGGATTACAGGCATGCACCACCACACCCTGCTAATTTTTATATTTTTAATGGAGACGGGGTTTCACCATGTTGACTAGGTTGGTCTCAAACTCCTGACCTCAGGTGATCCATCCACGTTGGCCTCCCAAAGTGCTGGGATTACAAGCGTGAGCCACCATGCCAGGCCTCATGTCTATTTTTAAAAATCAAGTTCTTAATGAAAAACCTAAGCAAAAAGAAAATGGCAGGCATAGATGGCCTCACCCATCACATCTCTATGAAACAAATAATGCCAATCCTATACAAACTATGGCAGAACTTGTTTCAGGAGGCCCACTTAATGCAATATCAAACCATGACAGACACATCACATGACAAGACAATGAACATCCAAGCCCAGTGTCCCTCAAGAGCATTCCTACACAGGAGGTCCTTAGCCCGGTATGAGCAAATCTCATCTGGCCATGCAGAGAAAAGGCCAATGCACCATGGCCACAGGGACTTACCTGGAAATGCCAGGTCATCTTGGCATATGAAAGTCAGCGTAATTCACTACAGTAATGCGGTAAGGAAGTGACCTCATGAGCATCTCACTAGGTGCAGGAAAGGCAGCTGACCACATTCAACACGGATTCAGGAAAAGCCCTCAGCAAATGAGGAAGCTCTTCTGCCTGTAAGTGCACCAGTGCAAACCCAACACTGAGCCGGGAGAGACTGAGCCCATGTTCACCGAGACTGGGAATAAGATTAGCGAGCGCCGGCTCACCTCACCAGTGCAGTGAGAAGCCGAGGCACAGACTGACAAGGGGAAGCAAAGCCACTGTCAGACAGAGGACACGCGTGTGCACACGGAAACCCCACGAGTCCACAGAAACACCGCCATGGCCAAGGCGGGAGTTTAGGGCACAGGATTAAAGCACCACGCACAGGTGACAAATGAAATAAAAATACACAGTCCTCAATAGCATATCGAACACCTAGGACTAGATCTAAAGGAAAACATGCCAGACACATGCACAGAAAACTCCAGTTCATTGTTGGGAGAAGTTGAAGATGAACTCAATACCTGGAGTCATACATGGCAGTCAACGCATGGACACCGGAGACTGTTGAGACGCCGACTGGAGTCACACACGGCAGTCAACGCGTGGACACCGGAGACTGTTGAGACGCCGACTGGAGTCACACACGGCAGTCAACGCGTGGACACCGGAGACTGTTGAGACGCCGACTGGAGTCACACACGGCAGTCAACGCGTGGACACCGGAGACTGTTGAGACGCCGACTGGAGTCACACACGGCAGTCAACGCGTGGACACCGGAGACTGTTGAGACGCCGACTGGAGTCACACACGGCAGTCAACGCGTGGACACCGGAGACTGTTGAGACGCCGACTGGAGTCACACACGGCAGTCAACGCGTGGACACCGGAGACTGTTGAGACGCCGACTGGAGTCACACACGGCAGTCAACGCGTGGACACCGGAGACTGTTGAGACGCCGACTGGAGTCACACACGGCAGTCAACGCGTGGACACCGGAGACTGCTGAGACGCCGACTGGAGTCACACACGGCAGTCAACGCGTGGACACTGGAGACTGCTGAGACGCCGACTGGAGTCACACACGGCAGTCAACGCGTGGACACTGGAGACTGCTGAGACGCCGACTGGAGTCACACACGGCAGTCAACGCGTGGACACTGGAGACTGTTGAGACGCCGACTGGAGTCACACACGGCAGTCAACGCGTGGACACTGGAGACTGTTAAGACACCGATTCTTCCCAACATGTATTCAAGACATTCAGAAAAGGTATTCAAAAATGCGTTCAAGGGAATTGCTATTGAAATTCCAGAAGGCATGTTTTTTTGGTAGAAATTGAGACACTGATTGTAAAACATATATGGAAACACCAAGGACATAAACAGCCACAAGAATCTTTAAAAAGAAGAGTTGGAAAATGCACATCACCTCGATTCAGGGTTTATTATAAACCCAACTGTAGCCAAGACAGTGTGGCGGCCGGGCACCATGGCTCACACCTACAACCTGTAATCCCAGTAGTTTGGGAGGCTGAGACAGGAGCATCACTTGAGCCCAGATCAAGACCTGCCTGGGCAACATAGTAAAACCCCGTCTCTACAAAAAAAATAAAAATAAAAAAAATAAAATCAGCCGGGTGTGGTGACACACGCCTGTGGTCGCAGCTACTACTCAGGAGACTGAGGCGAGGGGATTGCTGGAGTATGGGAGGTCAAGGGTGCAGTGAGCTGAGATCACGCTACTGCACTCCAGCCTGAGGGACAGAGCAAGACCTTGTCTAAAGTGTGGCAATGGCAAGAGCGTAAGGACAAACAGAAACAGACCCACACAGGTAGGTCAGTTGATTTCTGACAAAGGCGCCAAATTAGGAGAAAAAAGCCTATGCAGCAAATAATCTGAAAGTTAAGGGAGAAATGGATCCTGACTGCAACCCACACTGGAAACGTACACTCCTGAGTAGGGACTGGATACACACGCGGCACACACCCACACAACAGGCCGCCACGCGGCAATCAGGAGTCTGCCGCTGATCCACGCAAAAGCCTGGGTGAATCTCAGATGCTGAGCGAATGTAAGCAGATACACGCAGACATACACAGACGCACGCAAAGACACAGACTGCCCAGAGCCATGCACGTGGAACCCATGGCAGGCGGGAGGTAGGGAGCTGCGGTGGTAGGAGTCAGAATGGGTACCCCTGTGGGACTGGCTCTGCGGAGTGGAGGGCATCACCTACATCCTTCGTGAGTGCGCACCATGACCAGCCACACCCATGGAACTAACACTCGGTATCTGGGTTTTTTGTGTAACTGCCTCCCCTCAACACCATGGTCTCCCACATACAAAAGAGGCCATTATACAGTAAGACACGCTACTCCGCAATTAGACACCACAAAACGCCAGCCAGGCTGTCCATAATTAAAAATACCGAGCACCAAGTCTCAGCAATCCACTAGTGTTCTCCTTCCACCCAGCTGGGAGAAAGAAACACAGTCCAACCACTTTGGAATCATCTCTATACTTGGACAACACGCTTCGTAAGATCCATTAGGTGCTCCTAGAGTTGGCCCCCACCCCCACCCCCACACGAGTGTTCACCACAGCTATTTCCAAGTGAGTGTTATTACCCCAGAAAGGAAGCAACTCAAATATCCACCCACAATAAAGTGCATTAAAATCAGAGCACAGGACAGTCATGCAATGGAATACTATACAGCAATGAAAAGGAACACACTTCTGCTAGATGACAGGGCTGAGTCTCACCAACACACTGAGTACCTTAAGGCTCTCAGGATAATGGGAAAAAAAAGAACCAGAATCCACCCCCCGCCCCACCAGCCACACACACACAAGTCCACAAAGGAACAGGCACCCACATGCTGTACCCTGGGGCCCTTCCAACCCTGATGCGCCAACTCCCGACATGCTGCCTCTAGCCTTGACCTTTCTCAGAAATGATAGCTTAGCGGATGTTTGGCAGATCTCAACAGTCAAGCCAAGATCCAGCTGCAGTCAAAACACAATACGCCTGGTGGAGCCTCTTCCAGGTTCAAACACGGGAACCACGCTCGGAGCTGGACCCGGACCCGAGCCTCTTCCAGGCTCAGACACGGGAACCACGCCCAGAGCCGGACCCGAGCCTCTTCCAGGCTCAGACACGGGAAGGGAACCACGCCCAGAGCCGGACCCGAGCCTCTTCCAGGCTCAGACACGGGAAGGGAACCACGCTCGGAGCCGGACCCGAGCCTCTTCCAGGCTCAGACACGGGAAGGGAACCACGCTCGGAGCCGGACCCGAGCCTCTTCCAGGCTCAGACACGGGAAGGGAACCACGCTCGGAGCCGGACCCGAGCCTCTTCCAGGCTCAGACACGGGAAGGGAACCACGCTCGGAGCCGGACCCGAGCCTCTTCCAGGCTCAGACACGGGAAGGGAACCACGCCTGGAGCCAGACCCGAGCCTCTTCCAGGCTCAGACACAGGAACATTCTCGGAGCCGGACCTGAGCAACCGCCAGTCCATCAGCTATGGTCAGAGGAAGGCCTCCGTGGCTGTCTCTCCCCCATGAGATGGGGCATTTACACAGCACACTTAGGGACACGGAGGCCCTGCAGGTTTGGTGAGGTCTCCCGAGGTCCCTGAGCTGCAGAGGTGAGAGTTGAAAGACGCTGCCCCCAGGCCACAGTCTCTGACTGTCCACAGAACCACACGCTCCACATCTTCCCCTCAAACTCAACTCAAGCGCTCTTGGCTTTAAATCAGGCCGGGCCGTCTCACGGGAAAAGGAGGTTGGCTGCAAAGACCCACAGGGCCCAGAGGGGAAGCTGGCTATGACGCGATCCCTTCAAGAGCACTGGCTCCGGCCCCAGCCACCAGGACACTTAGTGACCAGCCAACAAGCGGGTGGTTTAAATACTGCACTCTATTTTTTAAGGACTCTGTGCATGGTATTTCCGGTGGCAGATGTGTAAGATTTTTTATGTAAATCGTGTTGTTTTAGCAGAGGACTATCAGACCTGACAGCAGCTGGACATCGAGGTCCTCACTGGGGTGGTGACTGCCACGCTGATGCTGAGTGGAAGCCAAGCCCCTTCAGTCAGAGCTGGGCCGATCTCAGACCCAAATGCTACCACCACCAAGCCCTGTGTCGCGACGGCAGCGGCTGCAGTCACCAGAAACAATCCTTCCTGCCTCGACA
The DNA here is from genome assembly GCF_000001405.40 of Homo sapiens. NCBI lineage: Eukaryota > Metazoa > Chordata > Mammalia > Primates > Hominidae > Homo > Homo sapiens. The sequence goes on from NC_000004.12 coordinate 3,512,861, forward strand.
CCCGTGCCAGCCCCAGCCACCCTGACGGCGGGCTGTCCACGGAAATGCCACGGCCAAGAGCCCAGGTCCTTCACGCTGGCCTCTTCCCTGCCGGGCTGGGCTCCCCAATGCCTTCAGAGTTCGTTGTGCCGAGCTCTGGAGATCCTGCCGGACAGGTCCTGCAGATGCTTCTTCACCTGTGGACAGAAACGTCTCATCAGCTGGGGACAGCGCGCCTCGAGGCCAGCTCTGTGAGCTCAGCCTCATGTCAGGAGACGCGCGATCCAAAAGGAAAAGGCGCAAGCCCTGCACATCTGACTTTCCAATTCCACACCCATCCAGAAATGCTCAAATCACAAAAGCAGCTCAGTACTAACTAGAAAATCCCACCAAAGAACGCTAAGAGCCACCAGCCAGGAGCAGTTCATGCTGAAGTGGAAAGCTCAGGGTCTCTGTGATAGGCCCATGGTGTTATTTATTTACTTACTGAAAGGGTCTCGCTCTGTCACCCAGGCTGGAGTGCAGTGGCATGATCTCAGCTCACTGCAACCTCTGCCTCCCAGGCTCAAGTGATCCTCCCACCTCAGCCTCCCATGTACTTAGGACTACAGGTGCCCACCGCCACGCCCGGCTAATTTTTTCTACTTTTGGTAGAGATGGGGTTCTACCATGTTGCCCAGGCTGGTCTCGAACTCCTGAGCTCAGATGATCCACCCACCTCAGCCTCCCAAAGTGCTGGGATTACAGGTGTAAGCCACTGTGCCCAGCCCCACAGTGTTATTTTTAAAAGCAATGACCAGAGAGACTGGGACAGAGCTCTGGGAAAGGCGCCTTCCTCCTCAGGGCCTGGGAGGGAAGGAGAGGGACCTCCAGCTCCTCACATCACAACAGCCCAGAGCATCCCCACAGATACCACCCCAGTGGCAGCAGGTGCTGCGTCAGCCCAGCCTGGGCTGGGGTCACTGTAGCTCTCCCCAGATTCTCACAAAACCCTGCTCGTGGGCGCCACCTCCCTCTCCACATAGAAGCCCGTGGCTCAGGGTGAATAACTCACCGAAGGTCCCTTCTCTCAGCGGCCCTGACCTCTGCCCCAACGGTGCGGGTGCCTCAGGCAGTGCCACACGGCTTTCTTAACCAACACCGAGCTTTGCCGTGGTCAGGTGAAGCTAGGTGCACGCTAGCATTCCATCCCCGCGTCTCGCGGGAGCGCCCTGCAAACCCCACATGGTGGTGCTCACCCTGGACCTGAGCTCCTGCCCACGGGCAAGGGCCACAGGCTGCTCTCCTGCACATTCTGCCAGGCAGACCCGCACCACCCTCTCCTATCAGAACTTCTACCTTCATTTATTTTTTAGGCCTTTGCTATTTTTGAATCGGTAACACATGCCTGCAGTTCAAAGTTTAAAAGGCACAGATGGGGCTCCTGAGCCCCAGCTCCCTCCAGAAAGAACTTGGCATGAGCTTCCAGGGTTTTCTGTGCCTCTGTGGCAAGGCTGTGCGCTGGCTTCAGCTTCTCCTGGGCTCTGCCCCTCCTCCCCTCACATCCCAGGGGCTGTGGGGAAGGAGGCTCGCCTGTCTCAAAGGCTGGAGAGTGCCCTGACTCATGGGCTGGCTGTGGGTATCCAGGTCACGCCCCATCCTGGTCACAGGAGGACGAGGCAGTGGCCCGCCGGGGCCTGCGCTCTCACCTGAGGGTCGGGGGACTGCACTACAAGCCCGGGGGGCTCCCCTAGCATGGCTGCTGTGGCCTTCAGTGCCCCACACACTTGTGGCCCTGGGGTTCAACTCGGACAGGGAAGACAGCAGCGTGGGGCCCACACCCCATCTACAGGAAGCCCTGAGCTGCATGTGGGCGGCCTCATCTTTCCTGCAGGGGAACTGTGGCCTCCCCGGTCCTGGAACCCGTGCGCACCGTGTAGCCCAGCTCCTTGGTCCGCCCCTCCAGCAGGGCGTGCTTCTCGCGGCTGCGGCTCACACGCTCGCCGTCGCCCACGCTCTCTGCGTGCCTCAGCTTCTCGTGCGCAATCTCCAGCTGCTTCTGGTAGTGGTTGTGCTTCTCGATTTTGGCTTCGAAGTGCTTGAGCTCCTCCTGGAACAAGGTTTCCATAGGTGAGTGTTCCCTTCCCGTGCTCGCCACGCCATCTTGTGGTCCCGGGTGAACTGCAAGGACGCCAAAGGACGGCGCCATACCCGGGGCAGGACAGGCCTTGCGGTGACATGGGCAATGAGGGGGCGGCAGCTGGGAGGCCATCACACTAGCAACGGGTCCCAGCCCGCGCCTCCTTGGCAGCCCTAAGCCGACCCCTTCCCTGTCTCTGCAAATGGCACCCCCGCCCCCCGAATCTAGGGGGCCTCCAGCTCGTTCCCAGCCAGACCCCATGTCCAGGGGCTGTGCTTCTGTGGTGGCTGCCTCTGCACCCTGCCCCCAGCCTGCCTGGGCTCCACTGCTGCTGGACTGCAGCTCTGTCCCTGCTCCTGTAGGTGCCCTGCCCTGCCTTGACCCCACGCTCCAGACCCAGGGCCCTCCATGTGGCCCCACCTGCCAAGCCCCATGCACGTGCCTGCGGCCAGCTAAGGTGCCCCAGCCCCAGAGGGAAGCTCCTGACCCCTTTCTGGGGGAGGTGCTAAGGGCCCTTCCTGGGGCCAGGAAAGTCCCAAGTCCTATGAGGGCAGGACCACACCCACCTCCCTCCCAACAGACACCAGCTATAGGGACCCTGGGTGAACTCATGGCCGGATACCATACTCAAGGCTGCCCACCCAGGACCCCCGATGGACTCCCCACTCCTCACAGCCCTGCTGGGTGCTCACCGAGCTGATGAATTCTCCACCCTCAGAATGATCTGGCACTCCACACGCCCCAGGAGCCCCTGCCACCTGAGGTGGTCTCCTTCCCTCCCTGGGCCTCCATCTCAGGAAGTGGTGACACCCCTAAACGATCCCGGTAGTGTCCTTGGTCCCCTCCCCCCAGGCTGTGGCTGGGTCCCGACCAACTGTTGACCATCCACAGGACCCGCACCAAGGCCACGCTCAGACGTGAACACGGACAAAAGAACCAAAGCCCCTCCCTCCAGAGCCTGGCCCCGCCCCTGAAACACGAGTTCCCACGCAGATGAGAAGGAAAACGCAAGCAGGTTCACCGAGTGGTTAAGGAAGAAACTGCGAGAATCTTGAGAGAGAGAGCTTGGAGGAGAGGGCTGCATTTCCTTACCCGGAAACTGCAAGAGAATCTTCACCACAGGAGAGAGCTAGAAGGAGAGGGCCGTGTTTCCTTACCCGGAACGCCTCCAGCTCCTTGTCCGTGAGGTTGGCGGACTGCGCCAGGTCCCACAGGTCAATCACCCTGGGCTCCTCGAACTCTGCAGGGGAGGAGCAAGAGTGGCCTCAGCAGCACCCGGGGTGCACACCACAGCCAGCCCCGCGGCAACCACGCTGAGTGTGCGTGGAGCCTATGAGGGTTTGCAGGCGCGACCTGCATGTGTGTGAAACACGGGTGCGTGCACTCAAAGTCTTATGGGGCACAGAGGGCATCTGCTCAGTAGCTCACATGACCTCGCTGAAATGTGGCTTCTCTGTCCCCTTGGCCAAACAACTGCTTCTCCTTTGTGTCCAGAAACACCTGCCTCCATCAGAGCCTGGGAAGCGCCACAGCCCGCCCTGGCTGCCTCTGAAGCAGGAGGCAGAGGATGGACGTGGCCTGTGTGCAGAGGCTGCCAGGACCTCGGGTGGGGGCACCTGCAAGTTCAGCCAGGTCCAGACGCAGGCACAGGCCGTTTCCCTTCGGTCCTGCTCAGGGTCTCCAGCAGGATGTTGTGCTCGTGAAAGTCAAACATTCGGGCTCCTGGGAGGAGCCAAACAAACCAAGACGGCTCCTGGACCCTGGTGCTCACGAAGGGACGCAGTGAGAGACTCCGGGGCTGTCACCACTCTCCAACCAGGAGTGAGTAGTCCAGAGCCGCCTGCCCATGGAGCCCCGCAACAGTGGCCCCTGCTCCCTCCTCTGCTGACCCCTTCCTGCTCAGGACCCCGAGGACCCTGGGCTGGTGGGGCTTGCTGGAAGGCCCAGGCAGACCCGCAAGAGAACTGCAGGAGCCGCTGGACACAACTGCCTTGGGGACAGCCCGAGGTGGGAAGAGAAGTGTGTGGGGCTGAGTCGCCCTTTCCTGCATGGACTATAGCCAGGCTCATCCGGGTCTCTCCAGCACAGGAACTCAGCAAACTGCATCGCAGGCCTACAAGGTGGTCCAGCCCCCAGCACTACGGCCAAAAGCCTACGGCTGACAGTCACCAGCACCAGGTCAGGCTAAGGGAGCCTGGGTTTGGGGGTGGGTGGTGAGGGGTCTTGCCCAAGGGCACTCAGGTGACAGCAGCACAGCCACCCAAGGGGACCTGGGCCCGCGTGGACACATTTGACTGCTGTGCTGGAGGCTGCCTCTGGGCAGACCATCCTGGAGACGAGGCGGTGGCTCTGCCTGGCACCGGGGACAGAGACCAGCCCTGCTGTCTTATCACCATGAGGGCACAGATGCCATCTCCTGGCGGCTGCTGTCTCCTCGAGCCTAGAGCAGTGCCTGGCGTGCAGCTGGTGCTCAGTGTGCACGTGGAGGATGAGGTACAGAATCGGAAGCTGCGTGAGTGAGGCCAGCAGGCTTCTGGTACACCCTGCACAAGGCTCTGGCCCGGGTACGGGGCAAGAAGCAGTGGTGCAGAGCCTGGCCACTGAGGGCCTGCAGTGGAGGGAGATGAGCTGCTGAGACGGAGCCACAAGCTCTGTGGCCTCAGCGGGCGTCCTGCCCCTGCCGGGCTGAGGGGGACTGATGGACGGTGTGGGTGGCATGAGATGGAGACGGAGCTATGTTTGACGAGTGGTCTCTGTTCTTGGCCAACAGCAGCACGGGAGGGGCCGTGCTGCTGAGGCTGGGGAGACGCTGGGAAGGGCTGCTCCCAGGCCCGCTGCCGCCACTGCCCTCTGCTAGTCTCCAGGTACAAGGCTGGGGACGGCGAGTGACCTTCACGGAGCAGCTCCTGGGAGCGAGGCCTGTGACCACCCGTGGGTAGACTGAGCGCGCCGAGGGTCTCCGCTGCGTCCACAGGCCCAGGTTCCCGTCGCTACAAGCACCTGCCTGCTTGTCCCCAAAACACAACCAGAGACGGCCCCACCCTCGGGAACCAACAGTCCCGGGCGGGCACTCACCAGCCTCAGTGCTGTAGCCCTGGTGGCTGACCCTGCGCAGGCGGTCCAGGCCCTGGTTGATGCTGCGCAGCTTCTCCTTCAGCTCCGTGTGCCTGCTGTGCAGGACGCTGCCCTTGATGTCGCTCAGGTCCGAGGGGCTAATGACGTTCTCGTGGATTTCTGTAAAACCGAAGGCAGGACGCCATGAGGCTGGGAGTCCTCGCACTGCCTGCCCAGACCACTGTCTAGAACGCCCACTGCTGGGGAGCTCAAACTCGCTCTCATTTCTGGGCTGAAAATGTCCCCCTTCCGCGGTCCTGCAGCGCCGCAGAAACGACCGTTGGCACAGCTTCCTTTCCAGGCGAGACAGGCGAGACGCCGGGACACGCGCACCAAGTGGCGCCTGGCGGTGACAGCTGGGGCACCAGGTCCCCTGGGGGCTGACTCTGGACCCCTGCCCTGCCCCCTCTCTGCTGGGTCACCCTCCATTTTACTCCAGCTTTGTGGGGTGGGAAAGTCACACATTTGGGGAGGGTCACGAGTCCAGAATGAAGGACCCATCAGCGAAGCTCAGGTCTGACAAAGGCAGCAGCTGTGCCCATAGTGGGGGCAGGCGCCGGTGAGACTTGGTTCATCCAATGCAGGCAGGCGACTCCCAGAGCCTGCCTGCACAGCAACCTCCCCACTCACAAGTCCGGTGGAACCCTGGGAGGGCGTCTGGTGCCGCCTCCCTGCCCCTGCTGTGTTCCTGAGGGGAGCTGAGGCTGCCCACTGAGCACAACGAGCCTCAGGTGCAGGAGGGGTGGGGGGCAGGAGGGGGTGGGGCAGAGGGCAGGAGGGGGTGGGGGCGGGGGGCACCTTCGGTCCTGCTCAGGGTCTCCAGCAGGACGTTGTACTCGTGAACTTTCTCTTTGTGATGCAGGAACTCCCGCCAGAGCTTGTCCAGTTCTTCGCCGGAGAATTTCCCAGAGGTCTTCGCCTAAGAGGGAAACAAGGCCTGGAGTGAACCCGCCGCGGGCTCGTGTGGCCAGGGCCGCTCTTCAGCCAACCACTCCTCATGGCCAGGCAGGCCCTTGCCTACGTGAGTGCCAGGCCAGGTTCTTGGCCTCACGAAGGGCAGGAAAACAAAAAACAAACCGGAGAAGAGCTGCCGGCAGGCAACCACCCTTCTCTTGGACGTGTCCAGGCTCAACAGGGGACAGCTACCGAGCTGGCTGGGGTGGGGAGCAGAAGATCCCAAGGAGGGGGACAGGGCAGCAGCCCGGTGACCCCGGGCTTGCCTGGCTCTCCCGGCTGCAGGTGGTGAGGACAGCAAGGCCACCTTCCTAGGGGGACCTCTGCCAGCCCCTCATTGTCATCCCACCTGCCTCCTGGTTGTGAGATGACGTGGCTCACACACGTCCAGGGAGGCCACACAGGGCCCTCTCTCCCTCTCTGCCCCCTTCTACCGACTCCATCTCTCCTGGCCAAGGACATTGAGCTGAGACTGGGCTAGTACAAGAAGTCTAACTGTTGACCCCAAATCAATGTGATCCAGAGAAACTGTTCTGGAGCAGGAGCCGCTGGAAATGGGGGAGCTGCGGCAGGTAAACACCCTGCCACAGCCCACCAGGCCCTGCTGGGTCCCAGCGCCTGGCCCCGCACCCTTCCCAGGCACAGGGTGAAAGCCCAGCCCCACACACGAGGGCACCTTTCTAATCACAGAGGCACGTCCACGGCACCACTCACTACATTAAAAATCCGACACGGAGTAAAGAACGCAGCCCATGCTACGTCACCATCCCGTAACCACACGTGACCTGAGCTGAAGGTCTGACAGCTGCAGGCCAAAGGCCAAACAGAGCTCCTTTACTCAAAGAGCAAGGAATCTTCTAAACAGGAAAGCTGAAAAGATTCACAGAATGACAGTGGAATGGCTTCCTTAGGAAGCCACCGTCTTCCTGAGACTTTCCCAAACCCCGGCTCCCATGCAGAGCAGAGACTGCCCCTCACAGCCCCCGCCTTAACACTCAACGTAACGGCACCAATTCTGCAAGGTATGCAAACAATCGAAGAGTACCTTGTGCCACAGCTTTTCCAGCCTGGGGTCATCCAGCCCGTCTTCCTGGGTGCCACTGAGGGAGTTGCTGGTCACCTGCCGAGCGTCCTTCTTTCCGTCCAGACCATACTTGGCCAAGATGACTAGGAGAGAGGGGAGGTTCTATTTGATATGGTTTCCTGTGAAAAACAGTCAAAAGCCAACACATCTGGGTTGCCACGGTGGGTGAGACAGGTTTGCCTCTCATTTTCCAGTAGTTTCCTTTCACCTGTTTCCTGGATGACCACTGGAGATCTGGGGAGAACAAGAATGTAAACAAGCGTGGGGTCTGTGGTCTCCCAGCACTTAGGAACGGGTCTGGCGACTCACGGGACACCCCCAGGACCTCCCTCTTTCCTACCAGGGACACGCCGGCTGGAGTCCTCCATCAAGCTGTGTCCCCCTGAGACGCAGCTGTCGAAAGCAGCTGGTGGGCTGGGCTGTAAGAGTGGTTACCGATTGGCCCGTCTTTAGCGACCAGCTGCACAGATTTTCAAGAACAAAATTTGCAGCCTCACCTGCTGCCATAGGGCAAAAACTCTAAGGACCACAGGACAGAGGCCACCTGCAGACTGTGCAGGGTGGCAGGGCTTTCTGACAGCACACATCTTATATTTATTGGGAGGAAAAACAGTTTCTAAAGGAGAAACGTCAGTGTCAGCAGCTTCTAACAAAAAGTTACTGGTAGCAGCCAGGAGGAATAAATAGTCTGCAGTGTGCTGTGGCCCAGCCACTCGGGGAGCCCTCTAGGATCTGCCCACGTGGTGCTCCCCTAGCCCCGCTTCCCTAGGGGGGACTCGGCATCTGTGGGCTGTGTCTGTCACCACACGCTGCCACCAACATGATATGAAAGCAGGCGCTCGACGCGGGCCCTGGTGCCAACAGGACAAGTCCTGCACTTGGGATGTGAGAGCAGAGCCTGGGGGCTGGCCTCGCCCTCCACGGCAGTAGCTCTCCCCAGGCCCCAATTCCCACTTCCAAGTCCTGTGCTGTGGCTCTGTGTGACAGGCCCTCTACTAGGTCCCCTGGAATCCGGGGCCCATGCAACCACACCCGCCTCCTTAGCGGGCGGTGGGCTTGCCTGCCCGCCCTTTCCTGGGGGCTGGGGGAATTCTCCCAGGGCCCCGCCTCCCACAGAATGGGGTCCTGCCTTCCCCTCCGGGCCGAGAGGGCCCCGAGTAGGCCTCTCCCAAGATGCTGGGCTCGGAGCCTCCCTTCGCCTCACACTTCCCCTCACCCCGAGGACCTCTTCACCCAGATGGTGACTCCCGGACCCCAGCGCCTCCTCTGGGCCTTCACCCGTGACCCTACTGGACAGAACTACTCCCAGCGGGGCCTCCACATGCTCTGGGCTCAGCAGGCCCCACCCCCGCACCTCTCCCAAAGGTCCATCCTCTGTCACTGCCAGCCCTGGGGAGTGTCCCTGCTCGAGGGACACCCTGAAAGCCTCAGGCCTCCTTTCTCATCGACACCACCCTGGCCTCTGATCCCTCCTGTCTCACTCTGTCCGGAAGCCTGGGCCATGGGGGTCTCAAGGCCACACGCAGCATGTGCTTCTTGTGTTCCAGCCTGGAAGCGCTTGTGATCTTCCTAAGCGTGAAAAACCAGCCTGTGGTCTTGTCCCTGAGGAAAGCCGTCTCTCCTGACAGCAGTCAAGAGCTGCTGGCGCTGGGCACGGGTCCCGTAGATGCATGCTTCAAAGCTCAACCACATGCTGGGCCTGTCTTCCATGGCAGGGAATTTATACCTGAAATAACTATTTTAGGCCGGGCGCGGTGGCTCATGCCTGTGATCCCAGCACTTTGGGAGGCCAAGGCAGGAGGGCCGTCTGAACCCAGGTGTTCAAGACCAGCCAGGGCAGCAAAGTGAGACCCCATCTTTTAAAATAAATAAATAATTAAATAAATAATACCGGCTGTGGGGGATGAGAAAATAAATGAAATAAATACATACAAAAATACACAAACTTTTTAAAAAAGTGGCCTGGATGCCTCCTGGCCTTAGAAAGCCAGTGCCAGGCCTGCCTGTGAAGGCCGTCCTGCCCAGACCCCCAAGTCCAGCCACTGCTCAGCAGCACTGAGGTCCCACCCCCAGGCCGTGCACCCCTGAGCCCGAGAGGAGGAGAGGGGGAGACGGGGAGGGTGGGCCATGTCCTGGGGCTCTGAGGCTAGCCTGGCTCAAGCCTTCCTAGTTGGAGCCAAAAGCTCTGAGCCAGAGCCCAAAGTGGCTGGTCAGACCCCATCAAAAGGCAGAGTACCCACGGCTGCGATCAGCAGCAGGGACTATGGAAGGTTCTGGATTCTGGAGGTGCTGGGTTCTTCTGCATGGAATGGAGTCACAGAGCACTGAAGCTGGAGGCGGCCTCAGGAGCACCGAGCCCTTAGAGCTCCTGGGGAGGATGAACACGGCCCCACACTCCCTGCCTGGGGAGGACGGACGTCATCCCACACGCCCTGCCCGGGGAGGACAGACGCCACCCCACACTCCCTGCCTGGGGAAGTCGGACGCCGCCCCACACCCCCTGCCTGGGGAGGACAGACGCCGCCCCACACCCCCTGCCTGGGGAGGACGGACGCCGCCCCACACCCCCTGCCTGGGGAGGACAGACGCCGCCCCACACCCCCTGCCTGGGGAGGACGGACGCCGCCCCACACTCCCTGCCTGGGGAGTGAAGTGGCCCTGGGGGCGCGGTGGGGGTGAGGACAGGAGCGAACCCCAGAGCAGAGCAGGGCAGGGCAGAGTGGAGCGTGGCCCGTCTGTCTCAGGGTGGACCTCAGCATGGAGGGTGCCAAGGGCAGGCACACCTGGCTATGGCTGGTCCCCCAGGTATGGTATCACACTTGATAATGGCACGGGGGACCTCGGGGGTCCAGGGACCACACCCAGAAGATGGCGGGGAACTGGCCAGGACGAGCCTCTTTCCTGAGTGTGGGCAGGGTCTGCTTCTGGGACGCCGGCTCCTAGAGTCCCACTAAGTTTTCTGCCAGGTCACTAGGCAATGGCAGAAAACAAGACAGCTCCACTTGGGCCACAGACCTGGACACCCTGCAAGGACACTGCCTGGCCTGCAGGAGGGAGCTGGTTCTTAGCCCACTTCTGTGCCCCCTGCAAGCTACTCTGTCTCCTCCAGGCCCCGAATGCTGCCCTGCTGCATAGCCAGTCCCTTCTTCCTGGGGGCACCTCCAGGACAGGCTCTTTCTTGGCCCTTGGGAATGGCCCACTAGACACGCTGGTGGGGACGCAACCATCCAGAATTGTTTCAGCCATGTCTCTCTTCCCCAGGCAGTCCCTGCCGCCGTATCTTGGCTTACGTCTCAACCAGACTCTTGAACATGGTGGCATAAACCAGCAAAAATGAAGCCGGCCCTCTGTCTTTAACCCGGGCGCAGCCACATGACATGTCTGCTGATGCCTGCCAATGGGAGAAGAGGGGTGGCTGGGAACAGACCACCTGCTCAGGAGTCAGAAAACCCTGACTCCAAATCTTTGCTGCACTACTCGGCTCTGCAACTCCAGACAAATCACCCTCTCTGAGCCTGTCAAATGGGACGACAACGAGTTTTGAGGAGTAGGTGTTAGAGCATCAGGCCTAACGAAGGAACTCCGTAGACACCTCCTCTCTTTACCAGAGACAACCCGGGCGCTGCAATGCCTGAGGCCATCAGCGCGTGTGAAAAGCAGGGCTACAGCAGACTCCAGACATGGCCAGGGCTCTGGGGCCACCCTCACGACAGCAACAAGTGCGATGGCAGCCACCCCCACCCCCACCACAGTGGGGAGTATCCCACTTGGTTCACACCACCGTCCTGTGAGACAGGAGGAGGAAACGGAGGTGGGGGGCAGGGGACTGTGCCGGGGGCCCAGGTCACACAGGGAGCAGCGGGGGAGGGGATTGGGGAAGGGGTGCCTGGGGTCAGGCCCAGGGGCAGCAGTTGGGTGGAGGCACAGCAGCTCCTAGGGCTGCTACACATAGCTGACAGCAGGCAGCTGAGCACTCGACTCTCCGGAGCAGCCCCAACCCCAGTCCCACGGGCCCACCTGGTGTGCGTCCTCTGCCCGCCAGTGCCCTGCCGACGGGCCCGTGGTGAGGGAGGATGGCGGAGGAGAGGGGTCCAAAAGGAACAGTCGCAACTCTGTCATTTAAAACCCTCCCGGCTCTGAGGACACACCTGTCTTCCGTATGCTGGTACCAAGCAGGCGACTGTCCTGCCTCTTCTTGAATACCCACAGGGACGAGGACTCACTAAGCGCATGACAACCAAGTGTCCATTCTGATGACATCTGGAGTATGTCCCCAAAACTTCAAGATGCTAGGGCAGACCTGCTTCCTCCTCTGGGTGACAGAGCCTCCTGCTGTCCTCCGGCCCCTTCCTGCACCCAGAGCCCCTGCCTTGGCCCTCCCTCTGGCGTGCCAATGGCATCTGTGACAGCAAACTGAGACCACGGCCAAGGGCGCATCTGTGCTCGGAGGATAGCCCCCCGCAGGCTGTGCCCAATGGGCCCCTTGGCCAAAAGCCAAGGAGTCAGAGGCGTAGCCCACAGCACTGAGGCGAGCAGCCACCATCCCTCATGAGGGTTAGCCCCCCCAAACACTGAAGCCAGTGGCCACCTCCCTCATGAGGGTGAGCCCCCAACACAAATCCTAAGCTTTCTGGGCACTCAGGATGCTCGGGGAAAGGCTCATTTTGGATATCCAGATTAAGCATAATGCAAATATTCCCAAATCCAAAAACAAAATCCGACATCCAAAACACTGCCGCTCTCAAGCATTTAGGAAGAGGGATACTCGACCTGCATTAGGAAAGAAACAAACGTACCATTGAGGTTGCGTATGAGTCTCGCTTCCTTCTCCCCATCTTCGTCCAAGCCGTCAAGCTTTAGTTTCTTCCAGGCGAGTTCGTCCCTCTCCTGTATCTTCAGATCAGCGTGGAGCTCGGCCAGCCTCACGGGAGGAAGATGCAGCTGCGAACGAAGGGGAGGAGCCTGTGAGCCACGAGCAGGACGGACCAGGACACAGCGAGAAACTGACCTCGGAGGAGGCTGGCCACCGGGAGGTTCTGGGAGACCAGGAAGAGGTGGAGTCAGGGTCACTGTCAGCAGGATTCAAACCCCACAGGTTTAGACAAGAACTCAACATGGACACCAGTCTCTAGGCCTGTCTGTATACACGATCCGGAAACCCCAAGTCCATCGGGGGCTCCCCACCAGCAGCGGCTGCTCATTCCTGTCCGGCTGTAACAGGACACCCCACCCTAGCACCTGAGGACAGTCATCGGGCACTCGGATAAACAGAGCAGGAAGAAGATACCCACTGCATTACCATTGCAGATACATATTGCAAGGACACAGACACCTAGAAGTTCTTTTTTAAAAAAAATCACTGTAATCTCAGATCTGCCCCATCTTCATTTCCCAAAGACCCTCAGTCACCACCTCTCAAGTGTACCATGATCCGAACTGTCTTGCTGAGACGGTTCTTACACAGCCCCAGATCCTTCTGGAGCAGGAATCTGTCACCCTCTCACTTACCTGCTGGCGTAGACCACACAGGCAGCGCCCCGGAACGAGCTGCCGCACTGGGGCTGAGGAACTTCCCCGCCCCACCCTCATCCCTCTCCGCAGGGCAGGCCACGCTTCATTCATCCCACCCCTGCCCTCCCAGCTCTGGGACCCTGGGTGAGAGAAGGAAGCAAGTGAGGTGACCGCTGGGCACACTGCTTTTTGGTTGCAAAGACAGGATTTAGGCCAAGAGTGTCCCCACGTCAGAAAGACTGGGCCAGAATGCCAGGCGGCCGAGGCAAGCAGCAGAATGAAACCCACCGGCCAGCTCTCATCAACTCTGGCCTCGGGGCTGGCCCGGCCGCTAAGAGGCGTGCGCTGGGGCAGGCTAGCCCTTCAGGGAAGCGAAGGCTCTTCCGTGCAGAGCAGAGTGGCCCAGCTGTGTGAACCAGAACGTGTCATGAGGTGGGACCAGGGTTCACGGAGACAGGGTGCTGTCCCTGGCTAACTGGGGAGGCTGCACCGCATGCCTGTAGTGACGCCAGCGCATTAAAGCCTCTGTGGAGTCCTGCAGCAAAGGAAGTGCTCGGCACTGTGCAGTGCAGATCCCCAAATCTCTCGGCTCTCAGGAGGGTCCCCTTCCCTGAGCACCTGCATTCTCACATTCCCCCGGGGCTGGTCCTCATGAGCTGCCCGTGGCTCTAGGAGGGAACCCCAGCTCCTGCCTCTGAGCTCCAGGTGCCCATCACCTAACGCCTGTCTCTGATCATGTGTGTTTAAATATGGAGTCTGTTTTCCCTTAGACGTTTGAAATATTAATCTTTTATCTATATTTCATTAGCTATTTTCTAACATAAATACAACACAAGCTAGTATCCAAAGTATGTGTGTTATATTTCAATAAAGTTTACGTAAAACAGTGAACATCCCCACGAAGCGTCAAGAGCCGGCTGCCTTCCCAGTGTCCCGCAGCCCGCGCCGCCTTGTGGCCCACACTGCCTTGCAGCCCGAGACCTCAGGAGGCCCAGCCCTCAGGTCCGCGCCGCGCAGGGGCACACGTTTCTTTCAAGACTCGCACGAAGCCAATTCTGTGTGTTTGGCACACCCCACACTCCGGAACCTCCTCGCCTCACTCTGCCTGTATCTAGACTGAGCCCATCCTGCTCCCTGCAGCTCAGTCTGTGTTGGGCCTGGGAGGAAGGAGACCCCTGACCACAGGCCCTGTCTCCAGCTGGGTGCTGGGGCTGTCAGCTCCGCCCTCTCTTCTCTCAGAAGCCCAGCCTGACTCTGTGGCTGCCCTAGCCACACAGGCCCCACCCTCCAGGAGTTTAAAATTTAGTTAGGGATGAATTCAGATTACTGAGCCAAGATCCCCAATGGTAAAAAGATAGCAAACGGTAGGCACAAAATGAATGGCAGGGCCTAGGGCAGAGGAAAGCTTCTAATTCTCTAGAAGGTTCTCTAACCCTTAGTGGGTGGTCCCAGGACAGTCTTTTGTCTGGGCCCTCCTGGTAGATGCTCTGCGCCCCCATCTCTGCAGGGGCTGCTTTCCAGGATTGTCCCAACCTGAAAACCCTTTCCCTGGCAGCCTTCGACACACCCCTACCTGTGTGCCTCTTCCCCAGCCAGCCCCATCCACCCAGCCAGCCCCATCCACCCAGCCCCTTCTCCCCAGAGCTCCACCCCGTGCCCCTCTGTGCCCTGGACACTTGCCTGCGGCGTCCACTGGAAGGCCCTAGGAGACCTGAGGTCTGATCTGAGCATTCCCAGCAGGAGGACCCAGGACAATGAGGCACCTGAGTGACGCTGAACTCTCAGGAGGGGCAGTCGGTGCCTCAGGAGGAGGGGGAGCCCACACCTGCCTATCTTGTTTGTGACCCAAACTCCTGGAGGAACAGGTCTGCTTCCATCTCTACTTCCCCGTGGCTGCTGCTACCCTGTAGGCGCCTTACTTACCGTGCTGCACTGCCCGGGAGGGTCTGAGATGCGAGGCCCACAGTGATGGTCTGAGCCAGAAGCAGCACCCTGGGGCAGGCAATTCAGGCCCATGCTCTCAAGTGTGTGCTGGCCTTGAGGGGCCCCGGGTCTGCCCTCTTTGGCTGCAGGGGAGAGGATGCAGGTGTCCCATGACTGCCCATGGGCTGCCTGCTGGAAAGCGGAGCTGAAGACCCAGGGCTGCTGAAGTCCTGGGCCCATCCTGGCAGGCTCACAGCCAGGCACCAACCCCTGTAACTTGCAGTCCTCACTGGCTTCCTGTCTGCCTCCCTAGGGTGCTGGGAGAATCAAGGGCAGGTGCTCTGTGGGCTGTAAAATCTGCAACCCACAGGGGAAAGTCATTTTCTCCCTCTGATTCCCCAACTCTCAGGCAACAGGGGGTCTAAATTTCACACCGCATGTCTCACAAAAGCCAGCTCCCTTTCCCCTGATGTGTGGCTGCCAGTGCTCAGCGCAGAAGGGGCCAGCCTGGCAGCACCACCACAAAAAGCAGCCCCAGCTCTGTGCAGAGGAAGACCAGCAGGTCACGTGCAGACCCCAGACCCCACGTCTGGATTCTTTCACCTCTCTCAAGTTAAATGTTAACGCATCAAGTTAGAAGTACCCT
Source organism: Homo sapiens (assembly GCF_000001405.40). Taxonomy (NCBI): domain Eukaryota; kingdom Metazoa; phylum Chordata; class Mammalia; order Primates; family Hominidae; genus Homo; species Homo sapiens. Next base: position 3,528,191 of record NC_000004.12, read on the forward strand.
GTGGAAACCAACTGCAGAAAAGAACCTGTCAAACATGAAGCAGCGAGGCAAATCATCAACAACCAGGGTATACATGCAGGCAAGAAAGCCGGCTCAGCTGATCAAACGACGCCGGTCCTGTGTCCCCAGACACAAGCAGAGCCGACCGTGTCCTCCTGACCAGACCCAAGGGCCCAGCACTGCTTGGGACCTCAGCAGTGGCCCTTCCCCACACAGCACCACCCGCGTGCCAGCAGAGCTTTCTGGAACTTTCCAATAACCTGCTGCTGCTTCTCAACGCCCCAGGAAACCCAGGCCAGGGTCCACAGCTACACCACTGGTGTCAACCTGCACACACCGCACAGTTCAGGCTGGGCAGGTTCCAATGCCACCAGGACCGCCAATGGACCACCTCTTCAGAGGGCATGTGCCATCCTCCCAGCGCTCACCTGAGTGCCCGCGCCAGACTGCAAGGCACCCACCATGAGGAGCAGGCTGTGGCGGTGACCAAGGCTTCCTGGCACGCTGTACCTGTCTCACCACGGCAGGTGGCATGCACTGTCCCAGCCCAGCCACTGTGCCCCAGCTCCTTCCACCTGAGCTCCGTGGACAAGGGCACAGCCGTACCCGCCTTGAGCTGCTGTGAGGTCATGCATTGGCCTGGCGAGTCCTAGGTGCCCATGGAGGCCACTGGCTGGCCCATCCTCAGAGGCCCTTCTCAAGCCAGGGGGGACGCTTGAGAGCTGGGGTGGGGCTCTGAGGGCTCCTCTCTGCAGACCTCAGTTTCCACTCGTCAGACCTCTGAGAACAAGATGCTTCACACACTCTCATTGCAGTCACCATTCACGTCAGAACTAAGGACTGTCTGCGTGCGGTGCCTCCTGGGACTACACCTGTAATCCCAACACTTTAGGAGGCAGAGGCGGGAGGATCACTTGAGCCCAGGAGTTCGAGACCAGCCTGGCCAACATGGTGAAACCCCGTCTCTACTAAAAATATAAAAATTAGCCAGGCATGGTGGTGCATGCCTGTAATCCCAGCTACTCAGGAGGCTGAGGCACGAGAATCGCTTGAACCTGGGAGGCGGAGGTTGCAGTGAGCCGAGATCACGCCACTGCACCCCAGCCTCGGCGACAGAGTGAGACTCTGTCTCAAAAAAAACAAAAAAACAAAAAACCAAAAAAACTAAGGACCTATGGCCAAGGACTCCGAGCTCATGGCACCGTGCAGCCCAGGCCAAGAGGTACACGAGTGTGTCCCTGAGCGCCGCAGCTGGACCATGCAGACCCTGGAGCTTACTCCTCAGCATCAACACAACACACAGAGCTCTGAAGAGGCAGAGTCCTCAGAAGTCGTCTGTGAGCACAAGGGCTCTGCATGGCCTCTGACCTCCAAAGCTCCAGGGACAGCCTCTGCTCAGGAGTCTTGCAACACAGTGGAGCCCGCCTGTGAAAGAGGAACTGGGAGAGTCACAGAAAGTCAAGATTCAAGTTGCTGGAGAGGATGAAGCAGCACCCCCCTGGCCGGGTCTCGCCTGATGAAAGCGGGTCTCAGCATCTTCTTGGCGGCAACCTCAACGCAGGTCTCACAGCCCAAGCCCATCAAAGGCAAAGGTTTCCTGAAACGCTCCCTTCACCCTATGCCTACTGACACACTACGCAATCCTATATGCCAGGATGTGGCTTTACATGCAGAAAACAGGGACACGATGTTTTCATGAAGCAAACCAAAGAAAGGACAAGACCGTCCTGGCTGCTGAGCGCAGGTCGCAGGAGGCTGAGAGCAGTGGCTGCAGAGCCGGGCAGGAAGTGCTTCTCTGAAAAAGCAGCCCTCACCTCAATTATCTTCCAGGGGGCGATCCAAGACCCCGTCTCCGTCTGATACCTACCTAGAGCGGCGAGTCAGGTGGGGTAAGAAGCCGACTGGAGTGACTATTTGCACGAACAATTCTCTCCCCCTACGTTTGAACTGACTGTGGCTCCTCCTGCCTCCTGACCACCCTGGGCCCTGGCACGCTCGGCAGAAAGAGCCACAGCACAAAGACCACCCGGGATGCACTACCGCCACTGAGAACCTCAAAAAGACCCGGACGGGTCTGACGCCTGCACACTTGGCTCCAGGATAGAACACCCTCACAGCACCGCCACCCTCCAAGCTTCCGTTATCTGGAAGGAAAATCAGGACGAATGGGCTCTGCAGGCCTGCCTGCCATAGTACCAGGCTCTCTGGAATGGGGGAAGACACACAAAATCCCCCAAAACACCCTCACCCCCGAAGAACTTCACGTTCTGTTCAGCAAAAAAGACTTGCCCACACAACTAGAACTTCAGGACTTAAAGGGACCAGAAAGATCATCTAGTCCAAGGCTCAGTCCAAAGTGGAGGTGAGCAGCTCGCCCTACCATGGTGCCCAGTGAACCTCAGGGAGGTTTAGGAGACATGACCCAACCCAAGACTGAAACTGGTCAGGCGAGCACCCAGCACCGGGGGACAGTGCAGGGGCAGCCCGAGGGTAGCTGGACCAGTGCAGGGGCAGCCTGAGGGCAGGTGTATTGCTGCAGGAGGCCTGGGCTGACAAAGACAGAGGACCAGCTGGAGGTGGCTGGAGGTAAGGTGGAGCGCACCAGGGCGGCCCTGCAGAGCAGGTGGAAGACTTGGGCCAGCACCCAAAAGGGAGCCGCTGGGGTTCCTGGGTCCGAGTGCACTTCCTCAGCGCCACCTCCAATCGGTCAGGGAGTCTATTTCGGGCTCCCCATTCCTCATGGGGAGGGGGGACTCCACCCACTCAACAGATGCCCAGTGCAGTGGGCACGGGGAGGCAGCACTGCATCCCGGCTGCTCCTGGTCACACCTGTTCCCTGCTGCTGGGAGGCCATCAACACATCCAAACCCAGCCGTGTCCCCAGCCCCTCCAGAATCCCTTCCTCCAAGAAGCCGCCCTGCCGCTCCAGCCCAGAGCGTTCTCCCACCTCCCACCTCCGCAGGCTGAACATTACGCCTGGGGCTTGACTGCTGGTCCCAGGAGCAGTTCAGGAAGGGCCTGTGGAGCTGATGCCCAGGCGTCAATCCCCATCCCCACGCAGTCTTATAACCGTCTGTCGTCTGTCTGTCCCCCACCTGTTTCTCCTCTCCCTTTTCGTTCCAAAAGTTCCTTCTTATTCTGCAAATCACTTACTTTCCCTCTCAAAGACTCAGGAATGCTTAAAACTGGACTATTGAGACAGAGATCTAATCTGACTCCTGCATTTGAGATGAGATAATGAGGCCCAGATGGTCGGCATAGTTCGAAAACACCCATTTCAGGTGTTTTCAGGAACACCTAACAAATGAAGCAACCGTATCTTAATGAAGAGAGCAGCTGGCCCAGGGTCACGCACCAATTAGGAAGCTGTTGTCCCGGGGGGCCCCACCGGCCGAGCCACCTTGGGGGTGCCCTTTCCCCTCGGGGCCTCCGTACCCTCATCTCTCAAATGAAGGAGAGGTCAGGTGAGCGCCCTGTTAAGACTGACTTTCAGCATTCCCAAGGTCGCGTTTTATGTGCTCTAAACCGATCCCATCTCCTCACCTCCTCATTTCTCGCTCAAATGAACAAGCACGGGCTTGCTACTGGGATTCCTTCTGTCCCTGGACACGTCTTTCTACCCAACATTTTGTTTTTCTTGTTTCCCCACATAGGGAGATAAGGTTGAGGGAACAGGCAAAGGCTCGGGAGGCAGGAGACCTGTGATCTAGCCTGGTTCTGTCCCTACGCTCGGGTCAGCAGGCCGCCCAGGCTGGGGAGGGCGACACTGACCCTCGGGGTGCCGGCCGCCACCTGCTTCACACGGCGTCGTCGCCGGCACGGGTACCTTTCCTGCTGCAGAAGGGGTCGGGGCGCCCCACCTGACACTTGGGGGAGGCTGTGCCAAGGACAGGGCGCGTAGGGCACAGGTGCCCCGGCTGCGCCCCCCTCCGCCTCCGACCCCTGGGCCCCGCTCCAACGACCCCAACCACGGCCCCCGCCCCCAGGCCCCGCTCCACCGACCGCGGGCCGCGCTCACTCGCTGGGCCTTCTCCCACAGCTGGTTCAACTTCTCCATGCGGAACTCCTCTCCGGACTCGCGTTTCGGGGACGGCTTGGGCTGGTTCTTCTCCCGCGAGTACTTGCCGCCGTGGCTCGCAGCGGGCCAGGGCCCGAGGAAGAGCAGCAGCAGTAGCAGCGCCGGGAGCCCGCGCAGAAACGACCTGACCCTCCGCGGCGCCATCTTCCTCTGCGACTGGCGCTGCGCGGAGAAAACCTAGCCTGCCGATGCCCCGCCCACTACCCCGCCCCCACCCACCGCGCGGTCTCCTGGGAATTGTAGTTCCTCCGTGAGCGGCCGGCAGCGGCGAGGCCGCCGGCGGACTCCAGCGCCTAGGAAGCCCTGCGCAGGCGCAAGCGTTTCCCAGGCAACCACGCCGCGGCCCGAGGCTGCAGACTCTGGCAGGGGATACAACTGGAGAATGAGGGTGGCCGGGTGGGAGCAGGGATCAGGCCTCACCCAGAGCCCGGAGCCTGGAGCCCGCACGACTCGAGGCCTCTTTCCCTCTCTGCCCCACAGAAAGAGCGGAAAGCCCAAGAACCGGGCCGCGTTTGGCTGAGCCTGATAATGCTCCGGCTTCACGCGCACTGACGCCGACTCTTGCATGTCCAGTGCCGTTGCGGGGTTGGCACTGCGGCCCGGGCCTGGCGCTGAGGAGCCTGGCCCAGCCCGCTTCTGCCCTCCGCGGAGCGCCTGGCCGTGGGTAAGCCCAGGCCAGGTTGTCCCGGGGACGCAGGGCCGCGCAGACGTCCCCCTACGTCCCGGGGCCCCTGCCCCAACCCGCGTCCCAAGCGCCTGCTCTCGCGCCTGCTGCAAGGCAGGACTTCGCGCGCTTTTCCCCAACCCATGACACTCTAGGAAATTCACAGAGCCAAAGTTAGCATAGACCGCTCGTTGGGGGCTTGGCCAGTGAGTTGGGAAGTGCCCTGGAGGTAGCGCGGGAAACAAGGGGAAGGAGGGAGACAGACAGCAGCTGGGCCCCTTTGGGCTCAGAGAAGGGACAAGGGGAGCTCATCTGGCAAGAATGATCTGAAAAGGCCTCCAAGGGTGGGCGGGATTTTGCGGGGGGAGGGAGGAATTTCCAACTGGAGGGACAATGACAAAGGGGGTGAATAGAGCCTGGGCATCTTGAGAGGAATTAATGTTAATTCATTTCCTTTTTTTGCGTGGGGGGATAGGGTCTCTGTCATCGAGGCTGGAGTGCAGTGGCATGATCATGGCTCACTGCAGCCTCGACCTCCTGGGCTAAAGCGATCCTCCTGCCTCAGCCTCCCAAGTAGCTGGAACTATAGGTGCGTGTCACCACGCCCAGCTAATTTTTGAAATTTTTTGGTAGAAATTAGGTCTCCCTATGTTGTCCAGGCTGTTCTCCAACTCCTGGGCTCAAGCAACCCTCCCGTCTTGGTCCCCCAAAGTGCTGGGATTACAGGCGTGGGCCACTGGGCCTACCCTAATTTACATTTAAATTGTATCTTGTGTTGTTCCAGAGAAGATTTCAGGTCCCTGGAATCAAGGTGATCTGCTTCTGTCCTGTGCTGCTTTTCTAGTATTTTCAGAGCCATCGTTTCATTTCTTTTTTTCCAGCTGTTGAGTTGTTTCAGGCAAGAGGGTAAATTCAGTCTGTTACTGCATCTTAGCTGGAAGCACAAGTTCCCAATATGGGATGTATGGGGGAGAGGAGGTAAAGGAATCCCCCAGGAGGGTGGTGGAGGGAGAATGACCTCATGCGAAGTGACTCCAGAGACAGATCAAATGCTGTCATTGCCATCATTGCATGTTTTTAAGCCTCAGGACAGAATGGCCAGGTGAGCCTGGCCTAGATTCTCACCTGTGCCTGCCTTCCCCTTGTGTTCCCTCGTTCCTGCTCTTCTCTCCATCTCCTGGTGCCTAGAATCAGAGGTCACCTGTTTTACCCCACATACATGTTTTGCCCTGACCCCACTCCTGAGAGCTACAGGTAGGTCTTGGTGGGCTTAGAAGGGGATAGTCCAAATTGGCCTATCCCCCCCAAGCATGTCCCTGTTGGTCATCTGGAATGTGGTCCTAACTGCAAATGTTCCAGCTCTGTGAATCCTGCCCCCAGTGTCTCTAGAAAGGCCCGTTATAAACCCACAGGAATTGGAAGCTGGACTGGGAGCAGAGTCTTCTGGGATCCTGCATCTGACAGTGGTGTGGGGTTCTAAGAGCCCTTTTCCTATACAGCCCGGTTTCCCAGATAACTAAGCAATATTTTATTCGTGGCTGCATACACAGGCAATGAAACTAAAGAAAGTCAGGGGATGGCTAAAGGATGGAGGATACCTGGGCTGGGGGAGGAGGGAGAATGCGACGGGTGAACACAGACAGGCTTCCAAAGTGGTGTCCAGGTTGTAGTTCTTCACTAGGTGGTGGGCACACAGGCATGCATTTTTCCTTATCTTTAAATTGTACATATTTCATACACTTCTCCGTATGTATTATACATTTCAAACTAGTACATCTTCTAAAAAATCACAGTGGTTAATGCAATCAGTACAGGTGCCAGGCACATACCAGAGACTCCAGGTGACGGCATGCTCTCCTCTTGGGCTCCTCCTCTAGGGCTGAAAGTTTATTTCTCACCCCTGCCGCCAGCACCCGCCATGCCAGCCCGTGTCTCTAAGTGCTGAGGGGAAGGTGTATGAACAGAGACAGATACGGCCGTGGAGGAACCCGGAGGGAGGGCCCTCCACTTGGTGAGGACGGATTGTGAGGCTGGTCAGTGCTGAAGCTGAGTATCTTGCTTACGAGAGAAAAGGGGAACTGTGCTTATAGGACCATCTCTCAGAGCAAAACAAATTGAGTCTCTTGGGAAGCCTGGCATTGAGGATTGTCCAGCTTTCAGAAGTGAGAGTGTTCAGCCTGACTTCAGGGGCACAAGGTTCTTGCTGCCTGGGCCTGTTCTGTAGTGTGGGGCTGTCCCTGACTGGCCGGCTTTCAGAAGCATGCAGCATTGTCATTGACTTATTGGGGTTTCATGCCACCACGGCCAAAAAGCAGTTTGTTTTTGTCCTTGAGTTTGGACTATAGATTGTTATTCTCTCCAGGCAAAGGCAGGAAGCACACGGGAACAGGTAGCGCCAGGTGGCTGCAGGCAGGTGGTCTGGCTGGAGCTCAGTGCAGAAGCACAAGACGGTGGTGAAGAGTGAGGCAGACCCAGGGGACTGAAACGCCACTGGAAGGAAGATTCCACCCAGAGCAATGGGGGCCACAGAGTGATCCTGAGGGGAGAGTTACACAGAGATGCGTTTGAGGAAAAGCAGAGACCAGTGGGAATGCTGGTGCTCTCCGCCAGAGGAGAGGCGAAGGTGATCGGGATGAGATAGAGACACGGAGGCAGTGAAGATGGAGAGGCCATGTGAAGGTGGAAGGGACAGAATTTGGTGACAAGCGTCCAGACTGACGCCCAGGTTTCCACTTGGGGAGACCAGAAGGTGGCAGGGCGAATTCCAATGCCAGGTCTCCAGGGAGAGCACGCTCAGGAGGAAGATGAGAGTCCGGGTCCCTGTGGGATGGACGTGGAGCCCTCCAGGGGCACTGAACTCTATAGATCTGCCAGTCAGGGGCAGAGGGGTCCAGGGCAGAGGAGACAGAGATCTGGGCACCACCCACGAAGGCACAGTGGGCAGGGGATGGAGCCCTCTGGAGGGAGCCAGCGCAAGGGTGCGAGAAGGAGCTTGCAAAGGAAGCAGAGCGGCAGCCAGGACAAGGGAAGGTGCCCGCGAGGAATTTGCCTGTAGACCCCAGGGTTGAGTAGGCTTTAAGGAGGAGCACATGGGCAGCGTTGGGCCGCTCACAGACTGAACGCACAGAGGCTGGTGTAGATGCCTGTGGCCTCTGCCCTTGCAACAACCTCTGTCTTGGGTCAGGTTTCCTGGAAGCAGAGCTGAGATGGAATTCCTGTGGAGGTGATTATGGAGGGGTGCTCCTAGGAAAGGAGAGTGGGGGTAGAGAGCCGGTGCAGAGAGCTGAGCAAGGCTGTGACTGCTTCAGCCTGGTTGGATGAAGGGGAGCTCGGGAGCACTGCACCTCACGGCTGTCCCTGCCTTGAGGCCAGGACCATTTTGTGTCTCCTCTCCCTCCCCTCATCAATCAGGCACTGGGTTGTGGGGGAGGGTGTGACCTTCTGGGTGAGGCAGTTTTCCCACTTGGCCTAGGGCAATGAGCCTCCGCTATCCTCAGGCAGCCACCATTGCCTGAAGACAAGTGAGACCCCATGTGCTTGGGCAAAACCAACCCCTTCCCAGCTCCCAGCATTCAGGGAGGGTCTTTGAGTAAGACACCCTCAGCTGCCTCCTCTGCTGGCAAACTCCCTGTCACTGCTTTCCCCACTGTCTGCCACTGTAGACCCCAGGATGAAGCTCATTATGCTGCTTCTCCCTCTGTATGGAAAGTTCGAGTCCCCCCAGGCCACCCCTTGCCCCAGACAGCTCTGTAAATCCCCTTCTCAGACCCCTTCCCCCATCCCCAGTTCCCTCAAACCCTTCCACTCTCGAGCTCCTGACCAGCCATGAGCAACGTCCCCCATATCCTAAACTTTTTGTAAACCAAAAATAAAATTCTGAGGGCCCCCCAGCCATCTGAATGGACTTCCTCCTCTGCCAGGGCACTCTTTTTTTTTTTTTTTTTTTTTTTTAACTTCTTAAATGCACAAATTTATTTTTTCTCAACAAACACACATCTTAATGCCTTTACAACTTTTATCTCCCCAAATATATCTTGCTTTTCTTTATACATGCTGTATACAGAGTTGTTTTCCTTATATTTAGTAGTTATTGCTTTTTTGTGCCCTTTTGGGTCCTGAATTTACACATCAGGCATAGATCTTGGGACAGGAAAGAGCTGTGAAGCAAATTCCTGGAAGATCAAACCCCTTCCAGCATGGCCAGGTAGCACAGCTGAGCCAGGGATGATGGGGCCATATTGGGTTTGGCTCTGCCTTGCAGCTGGCAGTCCAATCACTGAGGACATGCATATTTCTGCAGGCCTCACTATGGTCATCTGTCCAAACCCCAGAATCCAGAGACTCAAAACGAAATACAGTCATACAGTAAGATATGTGCAAGGTTTCAGGGAGCCCAGCAGCCAGACCTTACAGCTTTAGCTCAATTTAGACAAATCAAGCAAGTTTAAGAAATATTCCAGAAGTAGCAGTTTTATGACCTTAAAACATGTAATAGGCTGGGCACGGTGGCCCATGCCTGTAATCCCAGCACTTTGGGAGGCCAAGGTGGGCAGATCAATTGAGGTCAGGAGTTCGAGACCAGCCTGGCCAACATGGTGAAATCCTGTTTCTACTGCAAATACAACAATTAGCCAAGTATGGTGGCATACACATGTAGTTTAGCTATTCGGAAGGCTGAGGCAGGAGAATCACTTGAACCTGGGAGACGGAAGTTGTGGTGAGCTGAGATCTCACCACTGCACTCCAGCCTGGGCAATGAGAGCAAAACTCCAGCTCAAAAACAAAAAACAAATTTAAAAAAAAAAAAAAAGAAAAAGAAAAGTAATAGAGACGATGTAAACCTGTCTGTCAGTAGACCCAGGCAAAAACAATTATATTTAACTGACAATCCTGAAGCCTTTCCAACTTTCTTTTTTTTTTTTTTTTTTTTTTTTTTTTTATTGATCATTCTTGGGTGTTTCTCGCAGAGGGGGATTTGGCAGGGTCACAGGACAATAGTGGAGGGAAGGTCAGCAGATAAGTGAACAAAGGTCTCTGGTTTTCCTAGGCAGAGGACCCTGCGGCCTTCCGCAGTGTTTGTGTCCCTGGGTACTTGAGATTAGGGAGTGGTGATGACTCTTAACGAGCATGCTGCCTTCAAGCATCTGTTTAACAAAGCACATCTTGCACCACCCTTAATCCATTCAACCCTGAGGGGACACAGCACATGTTTCAGAGAGCACAGGGTTGGGGGTAAGGTCACAGATCAACAGGATCCCAAGGCAGAAGAATTTTTCTTAGTGCAGAACAAAATGAAAAGTCTCCCATGTCTACCTCTTTCTACACAGACATGGCAACCATCCGATTTCTCAATCTTTTCCCCACCTTTCCCCCCTTTCTATTCCACAAAACCGCCATTGTCATCATGGCCCGTTCTCAATGAGCTGTTGAGTACACCTCCCAGACGGGGTGGTGGCCGGGCAGATGGGCTCCTCACTTCCCAGTAGGGGCGGCTGGGCAGAGGTGCCCCTCACCTCCTGGACAGGGTGGCTGGCCGGGCGGGGGGCTGACCCCCCCGCCTCCCTCCCGGACGCGGTGGCTGGCCGGGTGGGGGGCTGACCTCCCCGCCTCCCTCCCGGATGGGGCAGCTGGCCGGGTGGGGGGCTGACCCCCCCACCTCCCTCCCGGATGGGGCAGCTGGCCGGGCAGAGGGGCTCCTCTCTTCCCAGTAGGGGCGGCTGGGCAGAGGTGCCCCTCACCTCCTGGACGGGGCAGCTGGCCGGGCAGAGGGGCTCCTCATTTCCCAGTAGGGGCAGCCAGGCAGAGGCGCCCCTCACCTCCCAGATGGGGCGGCTGGCTGGGCGGGGTGCTGGCCCCCCCGCCTCCCTCCCGGACAGGGCGGCTGGCCGGGCGGGGGGCTGACCTCCCCGCCTCCCTCCCGGATGGGGCGGCTGGCCGGGCCAGGGGCTGACTCCCCCACCTCCCTCCCGGATGGGGCAGCTGGCCAGGCAGAGGGGCTCCTCTCTTCCCAGTAGGGGCGGCTGGGCAGAGGCGCCCCTCACCTCCCAGACGGGGCAGCTGGCTGGGCGGGGGGCTGACCCCCCCACCTCCTTCCCGGACGGGGCGGCTGGCCGGGCAGAGGGACTCCTCACTTCCCAGTAGGGGCGGCCGGGCAGAGACGCTCCTCACATCCCAGACAGGGCGGCAGGGCAGAGGAGCTCCCCACATCTCAGACGATGGGCGGCCTGGCAGAGACGCTCCTCACTTCCTAGATGGGATGGCGGCCGGGCAGTGACGCTCCTCACTTTCCAGGCTGGGCGGCCAGGCAGAGAGGCTCCTCACATCCCAGACGATGGGCGGCCAGGCAGAGACGCTCCTCACTTCCCAGACGGGGTGGCGGCCGGGCAGAGGCTGCAATCTCGGCACTTTGCGGGGCCAAGGCAGGCAGCTGGGAAGTGGAGGTTGTAGCGAGCGGAGATCACGCCACTGCACTCCAGCCTGGGCACCATTGAGCACTGAGTGAACGCGACTCCGTCTGCCATCCCGGCACCTCGGGAGGCCGAGGCTGGTGGATCACTTGCGGTTAGGAGCTGGAGACCAGCCCGGCCAACACAGCGAAACCCCGTCTCCACCAAAAAAATACGAAAACCAGTCAGGCGTGGCGGCGCGCGCCTGCAATCGCAGGCACTCGTCAGGCTGAGGCAGGAGAATCAGGCAGGGAGGTTGCAGTGAGCCGAGATGGCAGCAGTACAGTCCAGCTTTGGCTCAGCATCAGGGGGAGACCGTGGAAAGAGGCAGAGGGAGACCGTGGGGAGAGGGAGACCGTGGGGAGAGGGAGAGGGAGAGGGAGAGGAGGGAGAGGGAGAGGGAGAGGGAGAGGAGGGAGAGGGAGAGGAGGGAGAGGGAGAGGAGGAGCCTTTCCAATTTTCTTTCCCCAGGGCACTCTTAAAATGTAATCTGAAAGACTGGTTCAGGCCATGATGGGAAGTGGGGATCGGACTTGCATGATTATCGCTCCAGCATTAACATCAACACACTTTAGTCTGATAAGAAATATTTTACAGTCTATTCTCTCTGAAGCCTGCCACCTGAAGGCTTCCTCTGCAAATAAGAACTTTGGTTTCCACAATCCTTTATCTTAACCCAAACATTTTCTTTCTATTGATCCCAGGTCTTTAAATCAACTCAACCAATTGTCACCCAGAAAATTTTTAAATCTGCCTATAGCCTGGAAGTCCCCCCCCCACCCCCCGCCTTCTAGCTCTCTTGCTTTTCTGAACCAATTTATTTCTTAAATGTATTAGATTGAGGTCTCATGTCTCCCTAAAATGTGTAAAATGAAGTTGCACCCTGACCACCTTGGACATATGTTCTCAGGACCTCCCGGGGGCTGCATCATGGGCCATGATCACTCAGGTTTGGTTCAGAATAACTCTCTTCAAATATTTTACAGAGTTTGACTCTTTTTTGTCGACACTTTGAGCATCCCCTTGACTGTGCTGTAACTGGAGATGGACACCCGCTTGCCCCTCAAGGACCGCATCGCTCTCCAGCACTCCTCCTCCTCTTATAACTTTTGGTGATTTCCGTTTCCAGGGGGTGATCCCTGCAAAACCCTGGCCTGCTCTCCTTTCATGGTCTTGACCTCAAAACTACCCCAGCCCTCCTCTCCCATGGCCACACCCTAGATATTGTGGCCCATAACCATAAAGTCTTCTCTCTCCACGAAGACAATTCCGAGTGGCCAACCAGCAGCAGGAGTATTGCCATCTTGGACAAGCACTGCCATTTTAAGTTCACCCTGATCAAAAACCGCCTAAATCCAAAGGGCATCAGCCTAATGGCTAAGGTCAGCATGACCAAAAACCACAAATAACATCTCAGACCAGAAACATTCCAAACCCCTCCCTCACCAGAGGCATGCCAGCCCCGAGATAACCTCCCCTCCGGCCAGAGATATGTCAGCCCCAAGGCTGCGTTTTGTGTTTCTTTCCTCTTTCTTTAACACTTACACTCCTGATTGTGTCCAGCTGACTTCTGCAGTGCCTCACCTAAACATTCCTTCAATGGCTGGGCTTACACTCCACTGATCCCTCCACATTTTCACTGTGGTCACCCCTCTGTCCTCCCTCCCCCCTCCCAGGTATTATGGTGGGCACCAAACATTCTCAGCAGCATATGCCAGTTCCTCCAAGTCTTCTCTTCATTAGACCAACATCCCCAGGCCCCCAGTTTTCCCCAACAGGATATGGACCACAGATCAGCCATGTCCTAGCATCTTCACCTGGTGCTTCTATCCATGTCTTCTTGTCCCTGGAAAGCATGTTCTCTGAGAGCAGAGATTGTGTTTCCTGCATCTCTGTCTCCTGTTGCCCAGCACAGAATTGGTGCTCAATGAAGATTTGTCCATCCAGATGAAGAATGGATGGGTGGCTGGATGGGTAGGCAGATGGATGATGAGTGGGTAGATGGGTAGGTGGATGGGTGGGGACAGATGGATGGATGGAGATAGATGGATGATGAGTGGATGGATGGATGAGTGGGGGGATAGATGGATGGGGATGGATGGATAATGAATGAATTGGTAAGTGGATGGGTGGGTGGATGGATGGATGGGTGGATGGGTGGTTGAGTGGGTGGATGGATGGATGGGAATAGATGGATGCTGAATGGGTGGGTGGGTTGATGGATGGATGGGGATAGATGGATGATGAATGGATGGGTGGGTGGGTGGATAGATGGATAATGAATGCATTGGTAGGTGGATGGGTGGATGGATGGATGGGTAGATGGGGTGGATAGATGGATGGGTAGATGGGGTGGATGGATGGATGGGTAAGTGGATGGATGGATGGGAATAGATGATGAATGGATGAGTGGGTGGATGGGTAGATGGATGGGGATGGATTGATAATGAATGAATTGATAGGTGGGTGGGTGGGTGGATGGATGGATGGGTGGATGGATGGATGGGTAGGTGGATGGGTAGATGGGGATAGATGGATGATGAATGGATGAGTGGGTGGGTGGATGGATGGAGAGGGATTGATAATGAATGAATTGATAGGTGGATGAGTGGGTGGATGGATGGATGGATGGGGATGGATGGATAATATAAGAATTGGTAGGTGAATGGATGGATGGGGTAGATGGATAATGAATGGATTGGTAGGTGGATGGATAATGAATGGATTGATAGGTAGATACATGGATGGATGGACAGGGATGAATGGATAATGAATGGATTGGTAGGTGGATAGATGGATGAGTGGATAGATGGATCGATAATGATTGATGAATGGATGGATGGGGATGGATGGATAGATAAATGGATTGGTAGGTGAATGGACAAATGGATGGATGGATGAGTGGGTAGCTGGATGGGGAATGAGTGGGTAGGTGGGAGAATGGATGACGGATGGATGGATGGATGGATGGATGGATGGATGGGGATGGATGGATAGATAAATGGATTGGTAGGTGAATGGACAAATGGATGGATGGATGAGTGGGTAGCTGGATGGGGAATGAGTGGGTAGGTGGGAGAATGGATGATGGATGGATGGATGGATGGATGGATGGGGATGGATGGATAGATAAATGGATTGGTAGGTGAATGGACAAATGGATGGATGGATGAGTGGGTAGCTGGATGGGGAATGAGTGGGTAGGTGGGAGAATGGATGATGGATGGATGGATGGATGGATGGATGGGGATGGATGGATAGATAAATGGATTGGTAGGTGAATGGACAAATGGATGGATGGATGAGTGGGTAGCTGGATGGGGAATGAGTGGGTAGGTGGGAGAATGGATGATGGATGGATGGATGGATGGATGGATGGATGGGGATGGATGGATAGATAAATGGATTGGTAGGTGAATGGACAAATGGATGGATGGATGAGTGGGTAGCTGGATGGGGAATGAGTGGGTAGGTGGGAGAATGGATGATGGATGGATGGATGGATGGATGGATGGATGGGGATGGATGGATAGATAAATGGATTGGTAGGTGAATGGACAAATGGATGGATGGATGAGTGGGTAGCTGGATGGGGAATGAGTGGGTAGGTGGGAGAATGGATGATGGATGGATGGATGGATGGATGGATGGAGGGATGGATGATGGATGGATGGATGGATGCATGATGAATTTCTCCCTTGTTCCCAGCCTAGTCCTAGAATATGTTGCCTCTTCTCAAAAATAAGGTACCACAAAGCCTCTGGTGATGGTGGAGCAAAGGAATAGATGGTGAATATCTCATACCCACTTCGGATCCAGAACAGGCCTAGGAGAGACTCAGGTGGGATCTGCTGCTGAGGAAGGGGGTTGGGGCTGAGGTTGGAGGAGGAGGGCAGCTCTAAACCACCTCTTCCTGGCTCTAGGCCTCTCAGGCCAGACAGCCCCCACCCGTTTCTGCAGATGCCCGCATCATGGTCCTGAGGGGATGGGGGCTGGCCTGTAGCCTTTCCCCCGTGGTGTGTGGCTATAGCGGGGACATGAAGGGGGTGTGTTGGGGACGTAGTGACCACTCCCTTCTACCATCAGAGATCCTGCTTCCCCCTGCCCCCTGCCCCTCCTCGGCTGCCCTTCATAACCCCCCACCCACTCCCCACCTGCCATCTCCTGTGCTTGTGTGGATCCAGGAAGCACCTACCTGGGTACAGAGATCATTGCTCGGTGCCTCGCCCCTACACAAGGGCGATTAACTTGTCTGTTATGAACTCCTACTTAGTAATTCCGACATGAAACTCCCACTAGGATAAAACTTGGCGCAGAACAGCAATTACTGAAAACACATTTTTAAAAAGGTTGACGTTTTGTAAGAGTTCATCCTCCTCCACTCCTCAGCCTCCCTCAAGGAGACACATATTTAGATCTTCTCTCTGTGAGTCTAACTTGGAGACTGTGAGTTGCAGTTTAAAAGGGGCTCTGGGGCCAGGTGCGGTGGCACACACTTGTGGTCTCAGCTACTCAAGAGGCCGAGATGTGAGGAACGCTTGAGCCCAGGAGTTCAAGACCAGCCTGAGCAACATAGGGAGATGGGATCTACCAAAAACATTTAACAATAAGGCTGGCATGGTGGCATATGCCTGTGGTCCCAGCTACTTGGAGGCTGAGGCAGGAGAATCATTTAAGCCTGGGAGATCGAGGCTGCAGTGAGGTATGGTTTCAACTGCTGTGCTCCAGCCTGGGAGACAGGGCAATACTCTGTCTCTAAAAAATAAAAAATAAAAATAAAAAAATAAAGAGCTCTGAGCCCAGCCCTCTGGCCAGGGCCTGGTGCAGTGGCAGAGGCTTAGGTCCCTGGCAGGTCTCCTGAAACGTCTCCAGGGTCTGCTGGGGCAGCCACCTGGGCGCTCAGTTGCTCTGTGAAACAGCAAAATTCCCAAGTCCTCATCTCAATGAGCCACTGAGGCCGATGAAGAGGGCCTGTCTCATTTAGGACGTGAGTGGCCAGGCGGGTGCCACAGGCCCTTTTCCTGGTGACAACAGTGCTGTTGCATGGCTCCAGGAAGGCCACATCATTTCCCGGGCTTCGTAGGCACCTGCGGGGCGGAAACAGTTCAGCAGGGCCCTCCTGATCACAAGGATGAGGTCATACCGGCTGCTGCACGGCAGGGCTGCACTCTGCCATGGAGCGTCCTGTGAGGGAGGGGCTGCACTGCCACTTTACTGATGAGGAAATTAAGGTTCAGAGAGATGAGGTCATTTGTTAGAGGCCAGACAGCCTCCTCAGCCCATTTCTAAGGTTGTTTCTGTGGTATTTGCCATAAAGCCATAGGTTCATTGATTTGTTCTTAAGTAGTTCTGAGTCCTTCCTGCATATCAGGCAGGGACAAACGGGAAAGTCCCTGCCCTTGGCAAGTGCGGGGGAAATGAAATGATTCTGCTCAGCCTCATCCATTGGTCTGAACAATCACGTCTCATGACCCCAGGGACACGGCTTCCCCTGAACGCGGATCCTAGAGGCCAGGCAGAAGCAGCATGGGTTTCCACTCACACGGTAGGTGGCTGTGCGATTTCGTCTGGAGTCCCCGGACCCCTCCTCATCCTTCCCAGGGTTGCTCTGAGGCCATTCCTCGTCATCTAGGAGGGGTCTACATAAAAGCATTTATAAACAGCTCCAAATGGGAGCCTGGCGCGCCCACCTTTGGAGCACTTTTCTCTACTGCAGATTTATCTACTGCTCGTGAAATCTCTGGATTTAACTGTGATGAAAGACCGGAGGCTGAAGGAGAACTTCAATATCATATATTTTAAAGGTTGACTCACAGTTTGGAACAAGAATTAAAGAACCACGAACTTCAAGGTAAAACGGGCAATGGCGTTGGGGCAAGCCTCTCTGCATCTGTGTGTCCAGCCTCTCCTGCGTGCCAGAAGTCCCCAGGCAGGAGTGTGGTGGGACATCCGGCTGGGGTAAGGACAGGCACCCTCCCACTGTGTCAGGGCCCAGAGAGTGGGTGGAGAAGCTCTGCAAGAGACCTGTGCAAGGGCGCCTTGTAGGAGCCTGCCGTCCCCACAGGGGTGTTTGTGGATAACACTTGGGGAGCCCTGGCCTTTTGGGGTCACGGAGGGCTTGGCCTCTCACCTCAGAGCTGCAGAGGAGACGCTTCTACATCAGGACATCAGAAGCTGGAACGGGGATGGCCGGCGAGGGGCCTCTTGTTGGGGTCACAGAGATGGGTCGCAGAGATGGCCTGTGTGGAAGGTTGGATTCTCACCCCACCTCTGCCCCTAGATGTCCTGGTGACCCTCCCCTCTGTAGTCTTGGTTTTTTGCAAAACACTTATGACCTCCTGCCATACTGGGTACTTTGCTTATGTATTGTGTTTACTCTTTACTGTGTGTCTCTCCTGCTAAGGTCTACGAAGAAGGGTCTTTGTGGGTGGGGTTCTTAGAGGCATCCCAAGTACCAGAAGCAGTCCCTGGACTAAGGGGCTCAAGAAATATTTTTTATTTATTATTTTTTCTTTTTGAGATGCAGTCTCTCTCTCTTGCCCAGGCTGGAGTACAGTGGCACAATCTTGGCTCACTGCAGCCTTCGCCTCCTGGGTTCAAGTGATTTCAGGCTAATTTTTGTATTTTTAGTAGAGACGGGGTTTCACCATGTTGGCCAGGCTGGTCACGAACTCCTGACCTCAAGTGATCCACCCGCCTCAGCCTCCCAGCGTGCTGGGATTATAGACATGAGCCACCATGCCTGGCCAAATATTTGTCAAATTGAATTTGTATTTCCATACAAATTTTAGTCTGGATGAAGTGCTTCATGCCTGTAATCCAAGCACTTTGAGAGGCTGAGGCGGGCAGATGGCTTGAGCCCAGGAGTTTGAGACCAGCCTGGAAAACATAGAGAAACCCCGTCTCAATATAAGAAGAAGAAGAAAAAGAAAAAAAAAAAATCAAAAACGAAAACAACACAAATTTTAGAGTAAGTATTTTAAGTTCCACAAAAACCTGGTTAGGATTTGGATAGCAATTTCTTTAGTTCTACAAATCAATTTGGAAAAAATTAATTAATTTGGGAAGAATTCATTTTGAGTCTTCTAATCCATGAACATGGTATCTCCATTTGTTTAGACCATCTTTAATGCCTGCTAATAACATTTCTGTATAGTGACCTTGTACATTATTCTTAGATTCTTGATATTTTGTGCTATTATGTCTTTTTATAAATTTTATTTTTCCAACATTGTTGCTAATATATAGTAAGAAAATGGAATGTTGCCTATGGATTTTGAACCCAACAACTTTGCTAAACTCCTCTGAATCCTCAGAATTTCCCTGTGGATTATGTAGACTCTTCTGCATACACAACCATATCATCTGTGAATAAAGACAGTTTTGTTTTCTTCTTCACAAACTTTACCCAACTCACTGTGCAGTCTGCCACATCCAGGCTGATATTGAATAGCAGCGGCACCAATAGGTGTCTTTGTCCCCTTGCCAATCTTGTAAAGAAAGCTTTCAACATTTTCCTGTTAGCTGTGTTGGCAGCTCTGACTTTTTCCATAGATGGCCTTCATCAGCTTAACAACGGGTCTTTTCTTCCCAGAGGGCTGAGCTTTTCCTTAAGAACAGACAGTGAGTGTCATCAAACACTCGGCTGCATCTGTTGAGATGGTCATACGACTTGTGTCTTTTCCTGTGTTTGTGTATGAACTCTCTCTGGGTGTCTGAGAGTTCTTGTGACTTTCACAGAAGAACACAATTTACCCTCCCGTGTGGGAAGGGGAAGGAGGCAGAGGAAGAAAGACCCCAAGTCCCCCTCATCCCCACTGACCTTCCTGCTGGCTTCGTCCTTGATTTGTGCCTCCTTAGATCCTGCGTTTGACTACTTGCGGTCATGATGACAGGGCCAACCTCCTGACCAGGGCTGTTGGCACCTCCCCTCCTGCCCAGAGCCCCTGCTCCAAACCACTTCATTCATCTTCTGTACCCCCAGCCAATATTTCCCTGCCCAGTGTCAACCCAGGCCCAGAACCAGACCACAAGGGACAGCCCCGGAACCCAGAATCAGACAAATCAGCCCGTCCCAAGCTGTCTCCCCTGCTCTGCCCGGCTTTCCCAGGAAGCCAACAGAGGCTGTGGCTTGGCCTTTCCCTCGCTCCTTTCTGCCTCCTGGTCTGCCTGCGGCTTCCCCCTGCCGCCCTGCGGGGCCTGCCATGTCTCTCATTTCTAGCGAATGTTTCCAGAGCGATGTTAGACTTTCCTTTCAATAGCGCTGACCTCTGTTAGGCACCTTTATGGATTAAGACCTGGGCATAGATGGTTTCTTCGGCATCACGACCTGAAGGTGCTTGGGAGAGACGGTGAGGAGGAGAATGCACCCTGCCATGCTCTGCACTGCACATGGATGCAGATTTTACCATGTTGGCCAGGCTGGTCTGAAACACACGGAGCCCAAGCGCCCGGTGGACTCTCTGACGGTCCTCGGGCGTGTGCCATTGTAAGCAGAGTATTCAGCTCTCATCAGGGCCTCGCCAGAGCAGAAATGGTCTGTTGATAAATGCATCGTATACAATTATAAATGTGCACCCAGCATTGCTGCTTCCTCTTTTTTTTTGATATAGGGACTTGCTCTGTCGCCCAGGCTGCAGCGCAGTAGGGCAGTCACAGCTCACTGCAGCCTCAACCTCCCAGGCTCAAGCAATCCTTCCACCTCAGCCTCCTGAGTAGCTGGAACTACACATCCAGCTATTTTTTTTTTTTTTTTGGTAGACACAGGATCTCACCATGTTGGCCAGGCTGGTCTTAAACTCCTGCGCTCAAGTGATCCGCCCACCTTGGGCTCCCAAAGTACTGGCATTACAGGTGGGAGCCACTATGCCTGGCCTGCTTCCTTTCGCAAACAGGAATCTTGTAAATAGAATTGATCAGAACTTGTTGTTTAATGTACACAGACCTCTAGCTGTACTGCAAAGCTGTGTGCACATGTGTTAAGTCATCTGTTCTATGTGTTCTAATTATAAATAAGAAAAAACAAATTTCAATCAGCCATGCTGGAGGAAGAGCAATTATGTTTCTATTCCTTCTATCGTAGGTGATGTAAAATTCTCAAACAATGAGATAGATAAAAAGTACGCAGCCAAAAAGTGCAGGAAGAAGTGTTATGGAGATGGAGCAGGCCCTTCGTAAAAACACGATGTTGGTTTTCTGGATTTTGTATGTTTGCTTTTTTTTTTTCCTCATCCTAAAGAAATATTCACTGTCATACCTAATTTTGTTTTTGTAAGTTTGTATTCTTTTCTTTATAGGGAGGCCTCACAAAACCTGGATCAGACTCGCCCACTGCCCTGTGTCTGCCCTCCCGACCCCCTCTCCTGCCCAGCAGGGATGTGGGTGGCAGTGGTGCTGTGTGGAGGGTGGCGGGAGGACCGGGAAGACTGCGACCAGTGAGCCGGGAGGCCTTGGGACAGCCTCTCTCTGAATCATCCTGTGCACTGCCGGGTGTGACAGAGGCTCCTAGAGTCCTGCCTCAGATGGCCGCCTTCAGAGAGGGAGTCACTGACGTCCCTGCTCAGCGCAGCCCTGGCATGTGGGGGTCCCTCTACTCATGAGAAACCCCCACCCAATCACCGTGAGGTGTGTGACCCATGCTCACATCCAGGGGCCACTCATTCATTCAGGAAACATTGGCCGAGCCCTCAGCAGGGGGCGGTGCTGGATGCCGGGATGTAGAGAGTGCCAGCCCCGAGGGCAGCCCAGGGTGCCCCAGTGGTGAGGAGCCCTGGTGTGGAGTGCAGGGTTCGTTTGGACCACGGCTGTGGAGGCCTAGAGGAGCTCCCGCCATCAGGATGGCCGGGCATCAGGGCTCTTTGAGGGGGAAGGAGGCATCAGTGCAGCGGCGGGCAGGGGTTCGACGGGCTGAGTCCTGCGACGTGTTGCATCCACACCAGTGTCTGGGGCCAGCACCACTGCTCAGTCTCTGAACCCACTTATTTCGCCCAATATTGCATGAGTGGGAAGTTCCACCTTCCCCAGTCGGCTGCTTATCTCGTCTTTCCAATGCAGTTAGGAAGGGAAAATATTTTCTCCCCATTTTACAGATGAAGAAATGGGGCCTGGGGAGGAGCAGAGCCCAGAACTGCTGCCCACCACCCTCCCTGCCTGGTGCTTTCCTGGGAACATGTGGGAGCCCCCGCCTTGACCTTGGGACCTCCCATCTGTAATTGCAGGCCCCGGTCTGCCTGTGTGGATGTGGAATGTGTCACTCGGGATCCTGGAGTCCTCCTGAGCTTGTCCAGCAGGGCTGCATTCACTGATGTGCTGACAGAGGCCTAGGCTCGGACCTCTAGGAATATCCAAGGCATCTCATTACGCAGAAAACCACCCTCATGAGGTCCTGGGGGCCTCTCTCCATCTTCCTGGGGGTGATGCAATAGAGTGTAACTTCCAGGCTGCCGAGGCAGGCCATGAGGGGTTGCCCCCGTTGGAGGGGCAGAGTAGTATTTGTGGGGTGGTAGGAATCATTCAATGCCCACCTGCAACCCCCCGGGCTCACAGCACACTCTTAAGGCCAGTGCTACCAGCTCCCTTGGGTGGATAGAGGAGCTACGGCTCAGAAGCATGCCCACAGCTCCCCCAGGACCCTGAGGCCAGCCTGTGGCAGGGCCTGTGATTTGAACCCTTCTACGAGGCTTCAAATCAGTGCTGTTTGTCCTGGCCTCATAAAACCTGGCTGCCCAGTTGGGATTGGTGTCACTTGCCTTGCTGAACTGGGCACTCCTTGGGAAGAGGGTGGGTGCTGCGAGAAGGCGGTGGATCCTGGCTGTGCAACCTTCGCAGGTGGCTGAACCTCTCTGTGCCTCAGTTTGCTCATCTGCAAAGGGGGCTGGGATTCCTGCCTACATGCATGTGCTCAAGAGGGAAAGCCGGCCAGGCATGGTGGCTCATGCCTGTAATCCCAGCACTTTGGGAAGCTGAGGTGGGCGGATCACTTGAGGTCAGGAGTTCAAGACCAGCCTGGCCTAAATGGCAAAACCCCATCTCTACTAAAAAAAAAAAATACAAAAATTAGCTGGACGTGGTGGCAGGTGCCTGTAATCCCAGCTACTGGGGAGGCTGAGGCAGGAGAATCACTTGAATCTGGGAGGCAAAGGTTGCAGTGAGCCGAGATCCCACCATTGCACTCCAGCCTGGGTGACAAGAGTGAAACTCCACCTCAAAATAAATAAATAAATAAATAAATAAATAAATAAATAAATAAATAAATAAAATAAAGTAAAAGAGGGAATGCTGAGAGCCGGGTGTGGCCTGTGGCTCTGTAGCTACTCAGGAGGCTGAGTCAGGAGGATTGCTTTAGGCCAGAGATTCCAGGCTGCAGTGAGCTATGATCATGCTTGTGAACAGCCGCTATATTCTAGCCTGGGAAACACAGTGAGACCCTGTCTCTGAAAAAATAAAATATTTAAAAAAGAGTGAATGGTAGATCAGGGTCTTCTGTGGTGGGGTGGGTCTGGGCAGGGGTGGAGGCCTAGCCAGAGTCACTGGGGTCAGGGAGGGACTGGTGACCAGAATGCACAGCCCTGACCAGGGAAGCACCCAGGGAGCCTTCCCCGTGAGGGGGGACCTGGCCTCGCCCTGGCCTCACCCCGGCTGTGAGTTGGAACCAGCATGGAGGGAAGCCAGGCCCGGTGCACTCTGCCCAGGGGGATGTAGTTTGGCCAGTGGGGGCTGCCATCAGAGGCTGTCCTTACTGTGGGGTCGCTGTGGACGCTTTCCCTTCCGAAGCCTGGAACCTTGGGTCCCCATGCCCTCCAGCTCTGTGTCTCCTTCGTGGGCACCAGGAAGACGCATTCCCTGGCCTCCTTTGCAGTGGCTGGCTGTGGAAGGAGGCGCCTGGGGTCAGGTGGGTATAGGTGGGTACGTGGCATCACGAGGACATATTTTTGTAGAGGGAATTACATTCTTTCTTCCAATTTTTTATTATAAAAGTTTTCCAATTGAAACCACCCACACCCCAAGCCTGGGGCCGGCCTCCCATCACTGCCTTCTCAGCCCCCGGGGAGGCCTCCTTCTTTCTGCATGGCCTCTGGGCCCATCTGAGCATTCCTCTTCCCTGATGGGAGAAACGCCTGGTAGGGGAGAAGTGGATGTGGGTGTCCAGGCTAGTCTCAAATCCCAATGGCTGCCCCGGAATCCCCCCTGCACACCTCTCCTCCTGGTGCCCGGAGGGGGTGCCCACTCTGCTGCCAGGGATTTCCTGAGCAGCTGCTCCGACCACAGCCAGGGAAGAGTCCTTGCAGGAACTCTGCGGGCTGGGCCTGCCCTCCCCAGCCTTGGCATCTTCTTGTTGGTGTCTGAGTTTGAGTCTGTTCTGTGGGCTCTGTGGGAGGTGGGCCCAGCTTCTCACCATGCAGGACCCCTCACCCAGAGACTGAAACCCACTTTGACTAACATGCCTCTGGGTTCCTTCACTGGCCCTGCCCAGTCGCATCCCATGGGAAGAAGGACTGGCTGCTCGGGGTTCTCAGACCCTAGCCTGGGAAAACCAGTCTGAGGGCAGGGATAACCCTTGGCCCTGCCTCTGATTGGGCCCTGAGTTAGGTGGGGTTCTTCCCTGCTGGGGGTCCTGGAGGCATGGGAGGGTTTTGGGGTTCTGTGTGAGAGAGGCCCCAGTCCCTTCAGTTCTCACAGATCCCCCAAGGCTGTGTGTCTGATCCATTGCTTTACATAAGAGAGGAATTGGAGCCAGGCAAAGCCCAGGATTAAAATGGGTGGTGGAGGGGGGAAGCTGTGATTTGAATGTGTCCCTCTAAAAACACGTGTTGGAAACTCAGTCCTCAATGCAACAGTGTTGGGAGGTAGGGCCTAAGGGGAGGTGTTTAGGATGATCCATGGATGATCCATGCAGGTAACAAAAGGCCTCGAGGCTGGGCATGTGTTCTCTCACTCTCTCACACTCTCTTGCCATGTGATGCCTTCTGCCATGTGATGACACAGCAGGAAGGCCCTCACCAGATGCAGCCCCTCAAACTTGGACTTCCCATCCTCCAGAATCATAAGCCGAATCATCTTCTATTTTTTATTTTTTATTTTTTTTGAGACAGAGTCTTGCCCCGTCGCCCAGGCTGGAGTGCAGTGGCATGATCTCTGCTCACTGCATGCTCCGCCTCCCGGGTTCACGCCATTCTCCTGCCTCAGCCTCCCAAAGAGCTGGGATTACAAGTGCCCGCCACCATGACTGGCTAATTTTTGTGTTTTTAGTAGAGATGGGATTTCACCATGTTGGCCAGGCTGGTCTCGAACTCCTGACCTCAAGTGCTCCACTCACCTTGGCCTCCCAAAGTGCTGGGATTACAGGCATGAGCCACCACACCAGGCCTTTTTTGTCTTCTTATAAGGAGGTGAGTTGTATTGAATCAGGGCCCACTCCAATCAGGTGTGACTGCGACTTCACTTGATTATATCTGCAAAGGCCCTATTTCCAAAACGGTTGCATTCATAGGTACCAGGGGTTGAGGCTTTAACATATCTTTTAAAATTTTTATTATTTTTTTGAGACAGAGTCTTGCTCTGTCGCACAGGCTGGAGTGCAGTGGCGCGATCTCGGCTCACTGCAACCTCCACCTCCTGGGTTCAAGAAATTCTCTTGCCTCAGCCTCCTGAGTAGCTAGAATTACAGGCGCCCCCACCCACCCCACCATGCCTGGCTAATTTTTGTATTTTTATTAGAGCTAGGGTTTCACCATGTTGGCCAGGCTGGTCTCGAACTCCTGATCTCAAGTGATCCACTTGCCTCAATTTCCCAAAGTGTAACATATCTTTCTGGGGGACAGAATTCTACCCACAAATTCTAGATAAGGAGGCATTGCTTCTTTTTTCTTCTGGTATTGAATGTCACTTTGGAGAAGTCTGATGTCAAGTTGGTTTTCTTTGCTTTATAAGATACTTGGTCTTTCTGTCTGGCTGCCTAAAGGATTATTTCTTTATCTTCAAAGTCCAGTGATTTTACAAAGGCATGTTTTGTGTTGACTGTTCTGGGCCAACACACACAAGTATACAGCATGCACTTTTACAGGCAGGCGCAAGTCTGCCTGCATTTCAATAAAAGAGGTCTTGAATGATAGTTTCAATCCTTGTTCATCAGGTGCTGTGGTGCACACCTGTGGTCCCAGCTACTCAGGAGGCCAGAAGTTCAAGGCCAGCCTGGGCAACGCTAGCTTATATGAGATCATCTCTCACATAAATCAAGTAGTCAATTGTTCTGATCTGTTAGTTTTGCCTATCGTATGTGTACGCTGGAGCCCCTTTACTGTTTTTTTTTTTTTTTTTTTTTTTTTTTTGAGACAGAGTCTCGCTCTGTTGCCAGGCTGGAGTGTAATGGCACAGTCTCAGCTCACTGCAACCTCTGCCTCCTGGGTTCAAGTGATACTCCTGCCTCAGCCTCCCGAGTAGCTGGGATTACAGGCACACATCACCATGCCCGGCTAATTTTTGTATTTTTAGTAGAGACGGGGTTTCACCATCTTGGCAAGGCTGGTCTTGAACTCCTGACCTTGTGATCCAACTGTCTTGCCTCCCAAAGAGCTCGGAGCTCGGATTACAGGCGGGAGCCACCGCGCCCGGCCCTTTACTGGTCTTTTATAGTCACTTTCTCTCTAATCCTTTTTAATCTCTTTCCTCTTTCTTTCCATTTGCTCACTTTTTCCTTTTTTACATGATTTTCGTGGTGTCTCTGCTCTCGTATTACCTGTAACTTCATTTCTTCATTTCTGAAATGGTTTTGTCTTTTTCTTCAGTTTCCTTCCTGAATTCTGTCATTTCCTACCACAGACTCCGCTGCCGTTTGGCCACCTCTTCCCTGCGTTCTTATTCTGTGCTTATTCTCCTCTGTTCTTATTCTGTGCTGTAGTCTCCCTTCGGAGCTGAAGTTCTTGTTGGAATATTAGATCATGATTTTCATCTGGTTTGTGGCAGTATTTGTCTGATGAGATTTCTTCATTTGTAGGAGAATAGCACTGCTTTTATTTTTTATTTTTATTTTTTAAGACTGCAGCTTGCTCTGTGACGCAGGCTGGAGTGCGGTGGCACAATCGTAACTCACTAGAGCCTTGACCTACAGCCTGCACTCGAGCAATTCTGCTGCCTCTGCCTCCGGAGCAGCTGGGGACTATAGGTGCATGCCACCATGCCTGCCTGGGTTTCTTTTTTTATTTTTTTGAGAGAGGGTCTCCCTCTGTCACCCAGGCTGGAATGCAGTGGCACAATCTCAGCTCACTGCAATTTCTACCTCCTGGGCTCAAGCGATTCTCCCATCTCAGCCTTCTGAATAGCTGGGACTACAGGTGCACACTATCGTGCCCGGGAATTTCTTAGTATTATTATTATTTTTTTTTTTGTAGAGACAAGGTTTCACGATGTTGTCCAGGCTGGTCTCGAACTGCTGGGCTCAAGTGATCTGCCCACCTTGGTCTCCCAAAGTATTGGGCGTGAGCCACTGTGCCTGGCCTTTTTTTTTTTTTTAAGTTAGACACTTAGGTCTCCTTATGTTGGCCAGGCTGATCTTGAACTCCTGGCCTCACTCAATCCTCCCGCCTCTGTCTTTCCCACAAAGTGCTGGTGTTACTGGAAAAGGGGGGGCTCTGATCCAGACCCCAAGAGAGGTCTCTTTGATCTCATGCGAGAAAGACTTTGGAGCGAGTTCACGGAGTAAAGTGAGAGCAAGTTTATCAGGAAAGTAAAGGGATGAAGAGGATCTGAGGTCTCCTCCCCTCCCTTTTGAGACCTTATAAGGTAACCTCCAGACATTGCCATGGCATCTGTAAGCTGTCATGGTGCTGGTGGGGGTGTCTTTTAGCAGCTAATGCATTCTAATTGGCATATAATGAGCCGTGAGGACAATCAGAGGTCACTCTCGTGGCCGCCTTGGTTTTGGTGGGCTTTGGCCGGCTTCTTTACTGCAACCTCCTTTATGAGCAAGGTCTTCATGACCTGTATCTTGTGCCGACCTCCTATCTCATCCTGTGACTTAGAATGCCTAACCTCCTGGGAATGCAGCCCGGCAGGTCTCAGCCTCATTTTACCCAGCTCCTGTTCAAGATGGAGTTGCTCTGGTTCACACGCCTCTGGCATTGGGATTTCAGGCGTGAGCCACTGCGCCCGGCCAGCATTGCTTTTGGAAGTGGAGAGCGTGCCCATTCTTGTTACTCGTTTATTTGAATAGGATGGTTGTTCCGGCCAGGAGGTGCTGGGCCACGGCTCCTGGGAGGACCTCAGCACCACTCGCTCCTGTTGGCAGCTGAGCCAGCCCACCTTGAGGTCCTGTGCCTGGGTTACAGCTGGTGGTGTGTGGGTGCACAGTGATGGCCGGCCTCTGAGAGCTGGGGCGGGCCAGTGCGGCCTGACTCTGCCTGTAGGAAGCTCTAGAACAGGTCACGCTGATCTGCAATGAAAAGTCGCCTCTGGAGGGGGTGCAGTGGGGACTGATGAGCGCATATCTCGGGGGTGGTCAGGTTCTTATCTTGGTGGAGTCCGCTTTTGTCAACTCCCTGAGTGACACCCTTGAGATCTGTATAGCATGCTGGGTTGAACTGTGACTCCCAAATTCATATGTTGAAGTCTTGACCCCTGTATCTCAGAATATGCCAGGGCAGAGTCAGCAAAAAGAGGAAAATCTCCAGCCGGTTCCCCAGCTCTGAGCCTGTACCTGCCTTGGGGCCAGGAGAGGCTGAGGTGTGGGAAAAATGCATATTTGGGTTCCTCTGCCAGAGCATGGTCCTCCGTGGAGTCGGCCTCCTGCAGAGGGGAGCAGCAGGTGCTGTTGCATGCTACCGTCTCCCCTGAGCCTCTCAGGGTCTCCTTAGGAAGAGGGTGCATGTTCCCTCCCAGGTGCAGCTCACCCCTACCTCTGCCCCCCACATCTCCCTCCCCCCGCCCCAGGCAGCCCCCAAGACTTTCCTTGCCCTGAACTCCCATCTGCCTCCCGGGTCTGTCCTCTGTCCCTGGCTGCTCGGGTCAGCGTGGCCTCCGGTTCTCTCCCTTTCTGTCCCTTTTGCACTCTGGCTCCCTCTCTAGGCTGCGGTGCAGTGAGGACGCTGCCCAGGGCTGGAGGCTGGCGGGAGGTTGGGTGTGATGTGAGGCTGTGTTGCCGGCTGTTCTGGGGATGCTGACAACATTAGCGTGGCTCATGTTTATCGTGGGTCTAGCTCCCCTTGTACAGACATGGTCCTCTTCCCTTCCTCCGCGGAGGCAGAACCCTGATGCGTCGTGGGGCATGTAGCTGGCCAGAATGAAAACCTGCATCTCCCAGCCTCCTCCCTGAGGCTAAGTGGAGCCGAGCTGCTAAGTCGTGGCCAGTGGGTTAAAGGCAGAAGTGCTGTAGGAGACTTCCAGGAAG
Source organism: Homo sapiens (assembly GCF_000001405.40). NCBI lineage: Eukaryota > Metazoa > Chordata > Mammalia > Primates > Hominidae > Homo > Homo sapiens. The sequence goes on from NC_000004.12 coordinate 3,556,759, forward strand.
ATGGCTCAAAAACAAGCTGACTCAGCTGGGACTTCTGGGAGGGGCCCTTTTCTGCCCTGTACTTTTCCAGCTTTCTTCCACCTGTCCTGTGGTCTTGATGGCTGGAGCACCAGCAGCCACCTTGGACCATGGAGTGGCTTTGAGGCTAGACACTATGCGTGGAGGACGAGGAGCAGGACAGCCAGGATCTGGGTCCCTGAGGACATCGAGGAGCTGCCACCTCACCCTCAATCAGTCATCCCCAGATTCTCCCTTCAGAAAGAAATCAGCTTCTTTCTTGTTTATGCTTCTTTTGCTGGGATTGTCATATGCAGCGAAACCAAACTGTGGAGTCCCGATCAGCTGATAGAAATGAGGAAGGGGTTCCCTCCTCTGCACAGCTCCATGGCACCACAGGCCCTAGCTGGCAAGAACATGAACTAGGGTCGGGGAGAGCCGTTGTTCTAAGAAATGGCTAACCACAAGCAGCCCGCTTGCACAACCTCATGTTACCAAATACCTCACTCTGCACGTTAGCTCCAGCAGCATGACCCTGTCTGCATGGGGCCTCTCCAGCGTGACCCTGTCTGCATGTGGCCTCTCCAGCGTGACCCTGTTTGCATGTCGCCTCTCCAGTGTGACCGTTTCCACATGTAGCCTCTCCAGCATGACCCTGTCTGCATGTGGCCTCTCCAGAGTGACCCTGTCTGCATGTGGCCTCTCCAGAGTGACCCTGTCTGCATGTGGCCTCTCCAGCGTGATGCTGTCTGCGTGGGGCCTCTCCAGCGTGACCCTGTCTGCGTGGGGCCTCTCCAGCGTGACCCTGTCTGCGTGGGGCCTCTCCAGCGTGACCCTGTCTGCGTGGGGCCTCTCCAGCGTGACCCTGTCTGCGTGGGGCCTCTCCTGCGTGACCCTGTCTGCGTGGGGCCTCTCCAGCGTGACCCTGTCTGCGTGGGGCCTCTCCAGCGTGACCCTGTCTGCGTGGGGCCTCTCCAGCGTGACCCTGTCTGCGTGTGGCCTCTCCAGAGTGACCCTGTCTGCATGTCGCCTCTCCAGCATGACTGTATCCACATGTGGCCTCTCCAGTGTGACTCTGTTTGCATGTGGCCTCTCCAGCATGACCCTGTCTGCATGTCGCCTCTCCAGTGTGACCCTATCAAACTTCCCCCTGGCCCCTGCCCCTGGGGAGGTGGCCTTCTCTCTGCCATGCTGCCTGCTGTTCTCTTGCAAGGTGTCTTCAGACTTTCTTTACCCACGACTGTCTCGGTAAATTCTTTTACCACCCGTGACACCAGCCCCAGCCAGTTGCACCTGCAACACTGGCTGCAGTGGATTCCTTGTTGCTGATACTCCACATAACGTTGTTAGGTGTCATATATGATCATTCTTTAACAGAGGGGCAAGCTGAGGCTCAGAGAGGTTAAGGCACTTGCTCAAGGTCACACAGCAGAGAGGTTGTGAGTAAGCCAGGCTGCTGGCTTAGAACACTGCCATGGCATTTCTCAGATCACCTCGCTCAGGGACTCCTGGCAGTTCCCCCTGCGTCATAGCGGTGAGTCTGTCCAGGATGAGCCACTCCAGGCTACCGAGGGCCAGCTGGAGGGCCTGCAGACACCTGCTGTGGAGTCAAGGTCCACACCATCAGCCGGAAGAGAGGTCTCAGGAGGGGCATTAGTGTTTGTCCTCGCTGTGATTGCACTGACTGACAAATCAGCTGTGGGACAATGGAAAACACAGTAGCAGCTTGTTACTGAGAAGGGAGGACTCAGGGTGGACCTGACCCCTCTGCAGATGGCTTGGTGAGAACGTGGCCTGCCCTGTTGGCTCCTCCCTCTGGGTATTGGAATTGCCGGGCAGCCAGAGGCTTACCTGGGGTTACTGGCACCCAGGGAGGAGAAGCCCTGAGCTGTGCGGCTGCTGAGGAAGGCTGTCTGCAGGGGAGAGCCCGAGCGCTGAAGGAGGCCAGTGGGCTCAGCCCGATGTCTCCATTCTCCTTCCTACAGCAACCAGGGTGCTTGGAGCAACCAATTGCCCCCCCTTACCTGGTAGGGATGCTAGGAGGGAGAGCGAGCCATTCCTCTAACATCAGTGACCATGTCTTGGTTCCAAAACCCCTTAAGCCTTGGGTTATTTATCAGCAAAAAGAGAAGGGAGGTGCTCAGGGGGTCTTCGTGGAGATCCCCTGCTCCCCTCGCCTTGAATGTGGAGAGGGCCCAAGACTCCCTAGGGAAGGCAGGTGATATAGACTCCAGGTGTGCCCTGCTCCGTCCTCGGCACCACTCTGCAGCACCACAGGCAGTCTGGGGTGCAGATAACATCTCCCTGGGCACAGCTTCGCACCAGGGCATGCTGGGGTACAGCCACACTTGCACAGCCTGTGGATCCCTGCAGCCTGGGGATTGGGCTGCTATTCCCACTGCAGGGAGGGAGGTGGTCGGAGGTAGGGGCTGCTCCTACCTAGGTACTTCTGGCCTCACCAGAAGAAGGGGGAGGGTTTGCACATTGAGTGGCGCCTGCTCCATGTTTGTGCCTGTATTTACATCATTATTCTGAAGGCCAAGAGATTGGACCTGCCGGAGCTCCATGCACAGACCCTGTGCAGGTGCATGTGGGCTTCTGGCTTCCTGGTGTGCACAGCCCCTTCTCTCCCTTCTGGACTGTGGCAGTGTACTAGGGACATTGTAGCCACTGTGTAAAGTCTCCCGCTTTCTGGGACAATTTTATTCACTCATGTGTGTTGAGAGCTTGTTTTGTGCTGGGGTCCCTGGGGAGAACGCTGGGTTCACTCATAGTTCCACAACAAGAGACCTGTGGCCTTTGTTGTGGACAGGGGCCAAGAGCACGTAGAGAAGGCGCTGAATGCTCCTTGGCTTCCAGGGGAAAGATCAGGACTGGAAGGATGTGGGAACTGCCCAAAGCTACAGAATCTGCTGTCTCAATGGCTGAGCAGGGTGCAGAGTGCATGCGGCTGTTTGTTCTGTGGCACTGGTAACCTTGGCACTTCTCCAGGTGTGAAGGACAGCATGGGAGTGAGCCTGTGAAGTTGTAGGCAGAGTCCAGGCAGCCCCGAGCCTGGGTTGGTTGTAGCTGTCAGAGTGGCAGCAGGTGGACAGAGGGGATGGGCTCGGGGGGAGGCGGGGGGACCCGCTTGAGTGGGAGTCAGCCTGGGGGCATCTCAATCCCTCTGATGCCTGGTTTGGGTCCCCAGCACTACTTAGCCCACCCCACTGAGCCTGTCTGTGCCTGGCCTGGCACTGGTGATGCAGGGACTGAGTCAGGCAGGGCACGACCCAGAGAGCCCATGGGCAGACAATGTTGGTGCTGCATGCCCGGGCTTAAACCAGCAAGCCTGATTCTGAATGTCCACAAGCTCTTGGCTGGTGGGGCCACAGGACTGGGACCCAAGCCTCCTGGCGACATGGGTGAGGCCATCTGTCATCGGTCCTTCTCTCAGGCCACCTGGTTCCCTGTGACTCACTTGGTGTTGGCCAGGTGCATGGATGCAGATCTGAGCAGACAGTCCCTGTGTCCCCAGTCTGGTTGGGGGTGCAGGGGTCTGGAGCCCATGTGAGCCTGGTGAGAGCCTGGGAAGGAACCACTTTTTCCATGGCAGAGCTGAGTGCAAAGCACGCTGTTGCACTGCTCTGGTGGTGGCATTTTACTCTGTAACCTATTCATCCACACACTCATGTATTTCTCCACCCACCCATTCATCTACTTATCCACCCATTCACCCATCCATCCACTTATCCATCCACCCATCTACACATCCATCCATCCACCCACACACCCATCCACCCACCCACCCATCCACCCACCCATCCATCCATACACCCACCCATCCATCACTTATTTGTTCATCTATCCATCCATTCCCCATCTGTCCATCCACCTACTCACCCATCCATCCACCATCCATCCAACCATCCATTCATGCATCCATCTACTCATCCATTCATCCATCCATCCACCCATTCACCCACCCACCCATCCACGTATTGACCCATCCATCCACCCATCCATCTACCCATACTTCCATCTATCCACATACCTGCCCATGCACCCACTCATCCATCCACCCACCCACTCACCTATCCACCCATCCACCCATCCATGCATCCATCCATCCATCCCCCCACCCACCCGCCTCGTCCCTCCATCTGAAGGTCATTACGGAACAGCTGTGAAGCTGAGATGCTGGGGACCCAGTGGTTACTCAGGACAGTCATGGACACTGCCCTCTAGGCTGTGCTTCCTGGCAGGCAGAAGCAGCGAACAGGACCCTTTGCAGATAGTGGTGTCTGCTGTAAAGGAGAGAAAACAGCGAGAGTAAAAGAGTTGAAGAGCTACTGGGGTCTCCTGGGACTCTTTTCCATTCTGAGTCCTGAGCCCACCGAGAAGTAAGGCATGAAGGCAGGTGCTGGAAACCCAAAACCCTTCTATCAGTGCCAACTCCTCCATCAGGTTGTAAACCAAAAGATATCTGAGACAGGTCTCAATAAATTTAAAACACTTATTTTGCCAAGGTGAAGTAAGGGCCTGTGACACAGCCTCAGGAGGTCTTGACGACATGTGCCCAAAGTGGTCAGGGTACAGTTTGCTTTTTTTTTTTTTTTTGTTATTTTATTTTATTGAGATAGAGTCTCACTCTGTTGCTCAGGCTGGAGTGCAGTGGTGCGATCTCGGCTCACTGCAACCTCCGTCTCCCGGGTTCAAGCAATTCTCTGTCCCAGCCTCCCCAGTAGCTGGGAATATAGGCGCATGGTACCATGCATGGCTAAGTTTTTGTATTTTTAGTAGAGACAGGGTTTCACCATCTTGGCCAGACTGGTCTCGAGCTCCTGACCTCGTCATCCACCTGCCTTGGTCTCCCAAAGTGCTGGGATTACAGGCGTGAGCCACCATGCTTTCTTTTGTACATTTTAGGGGGACATGAGACATCAATCAATATGTGTAAGATGTACGTTTGTTTGGTCAGGTAAGGTGGGGCAGCTTGACAACTTGCGGGGGTGGGGGACTTCCAGGTCATAAGTAGGTAAGAGACAAACTGTTGCATTCTTTTGAGACCTTGATCGGCTTCCCACTGAAACACAATTTAGTCTGGCTCAGGGAATCTGTATTTTTATATCAACAATAGGGCAGAGGAAGCCATCAGATATGGATTTGTCTCAGGGGAGCAGAGGGATGGCGTTGGGTCCTGTCTGTCATTTGTCTATGAGGAATTTCCTCATGGGCAAATTTTGAGGGAGGTAGTGGCTTTTTAGTCTCTGTAGCCATCTTATTCAGGAGTGGACTGGGAGGCAGGTTTGCCTGAGCAGTACCTAGCTTGACTCTTCCCTTGGCTTGGTAATTTTGGGGCCTGAGATTGATTTTCCTTTCACAGGGTGTAGCAGGCTTAGTGCCAGGGCCCAGGAGACTTTTAGGGGTCAGGAAAGTGGTTTAATGCCTTCTAAAATCAGAATAAACACAGTGCAGCCTGGGCTGTAGTCATCTTTCTACAAACGCAGTTATGAAACATCATTCGTAATACTTTAGCCCAGAGGAGGGGCCCACAGAGGCTGTGATGCCAGGCTGCCCGTTATTCCCAATGGAGGCTGGTCGGAGGACGCGGCTCAGAGTGAAGGCCAAGGGGGCCTTCCCTGAACCCCAGAGTGGAGGGGCCACCTGCCCAAAGGTGCAGCCCAGGCCAGCCTCCAGGGAGCCCCCACCTGTTCAGCAGAGCAGGCCACCCCTGCAGGTGGCAGCGGAGAGTGAGCTCAGCCTGCCCTGCAGACCCCGCCTGGATTTGCCAACCCCTCCCTGCGTGGGGGTGGGTGACAAATGGTGGGAGAGAGGCAGGGGTCGGAGAAGTCAGTTTTCTCCACGTGGAAGGAGGCTCGGGAGTTGGGGAGGACACCCCCACCTTCCCCGGCCTTTTGTTGCCCTACCCAAGGGCCTCGTGGTCACACTTGTGGTCAGCTGGGGGGCCGCCCCTAGGGAGAGGAGAACTGTCGGGGTCCCCTTCATGAAGCCACTCCCAGGACTGCAGGGGGCCGTTTGGGTTTACCCCCCATGAAACTGCCTTTGCAAAAATTATAAGTGAGGAAATGATGACAGTGAAAGAAATCAGACCTAACCGACTCCATATTCCTTCTAACCTTTAAGCTGTCCTTATTCATCCCTGGGCGTAGGCCGAACTAACTTTGGGAAGGAATTCAGTTCATGGTTTGACTCTGAAACAAAACTGATAACAGCCCTTTCCCGAATAGACCCCCTTCTTGCCTGAGGACCAGTCGGCCTTTGTAGGACTAACAAATTAGCTGCAAGATTAGAAATTATGGTTTAGGGGTCTTGCGGCCTCCGGCTGTGAGAGTCTGAACCTCCCCAGATTGCTTCTGGGGATCACCTCACTATTGTAAAACCTGAGATCAGTGCTGGGGATATTCTGCAGACCCCGCACTCATGGATCAGCTGACACCACCTAGACCAGTCATCTGACTCAACCAGTTCCGCCATCCCACCCAGGAACAGAAGACAGCAAGAAAAACTCACTTTGACCCCCTATGAGTCCATCTCCAAACGGACCAACCGGCATTCCCCACTTCCTGAGCCCCTACCTGCCAAATTATCTTTAAAAACTCTGATCCCCAAATGCTCGGGGAGACCCTTTTGAGTAATAATAAAACTCTGGTCTCCCGCACAGCTGGCTCTGCGTTGAGTTACTCCTTCTCCTTTGCAATTCCCCTGTCTTGATAATTCGGCTGTGTCTAGGCAGCCGGCGAGGTGAACACACTGGGCAGTTACAACAGGATTAATGAAACTGATGCAAAGCTCGTTTGTGCCAAAGCTGGAACTCATGCCTCCCACCCGCCGTCCACGTGGTATCCAGCTGCACGGTCACGCGGTGTCTAGCTGCATGGTCACGTGACATTGCAGCTCTGCCGTGGCAATGGCAAGACTGTGACACACGGCGGCCCCACGCGGTGTCCACTGCACAGTCACACGACATTGCAGCACTGCTGTGGTGACAGCAAGACTGTGACACACGGCGGCCGCACACGGTGTCCACTGCACAGTCACACGACATTGCAGCACTGCCATGGCAATGGCAAGACTGTGACACACGGCGGCCCCACACGGTGTCCACTGCACAGTCATGCGACATTGCAGCTGTGCCATGGTGAGGGCAAGACTGTGACACACGGCGGCCGCACGCGGTGTCCACTGCACAGTCACACGACATTGCAGCACTGCCGTGGCAATGGCAAGACTGTGACACACGGCGGCCCCACACGGTGTCCACTGCACAGTCATGCGACATTGCAGCTGTGCCATGGTGACTGCAAGACTGTGACACACGGCAGCCCCACACGGTCTCCACTGCACAGTCACGCGACATTGCAGCTGTGCCATGGTGACGGCAAGACTGTGACACACGGCGGCCCCACGCGGTGTCCACTGCACAGTCACGTGACATTGCAGCACTGCTGTGGTGAGGGCAAGACTGTGACACACGGCGGCCGCACGCGGTGTCCACTACACAGTCACATGACATTGCAGCTGTGCCATGGTGACGGCAAGACTGTGACACACGGCGGCCGCATGCGGTGTCCACTGCACAGTCACACGACATTGCAGCACTGCCATGGCAATGGCAAGACTGTGACACACAGCGGCCCCACGCGGTGTCCACTGCACAGTCACATGACATTGCAGCTGTGCCATGGTGACGGCAAGACTGTGACACACGGCGGCCGCATGCGGTGTCCACTGCACAGTCACACGACATTGCGGCACTGCCGTGGCAATGGCAAGACTGTGACACACGGCGGCCCCACGCGGTGTCCACTGCACAGTCACGCGACATTGCAGCACTGCCGTGGTGACGGCAAGACTGTGACACACGGCGGCCGCACGCGGTGTCCACTGCACAGTCACACGACATTGCAGCACTGCCGTGGCAATGGCAAGACTGTGACACACGGCGGCCCCACACGGTGTCCACTGCACAGGCACGCGACATTGCAGCTGTGCCATGGTGACGGCAAGACTGTGACACACGGCGGCCCCACGCGGTGTCCACTGCACAGTCACGTGACATTGCAGCACTGCTGTGGCGACGGAAAGACTGTGACACACGGCGGCCGCACGCGGTGTCCACTGCACAGTCACATGACATTGCAGCACTGCCGTGGCAATGGCAAGACTGTGACACACGGCGGCCCCACGCGGTCTCCACTGCACAGTCACGCGACATTGCAGCTGTGCCATGGTGACGGCAAGACTGTGACGGCGGCCCCACGCGGTGTCCACTGCACAGTCACGCGACATTGCAGCTGTGCCATGGTGACGGCAAGACTGTGACACACGGCGGCCGCATGCGGTCTCCACTGCACAGTCACGTGACATTGCAGCTCCACCGTGGCAACGGCAAGACTGTGACACACGGCGGCCCCACGCGGTGTCCACTGCACAGTCACGTGACATTGCAGCACTGCTGTGGTGATGGCAAGACTGTGACACACGGCGGCCGCACGCAGTGTCCACTGCACAGTCACACGACATTGCAGCACTGCCGTGGCAATGGCAAGACTGTGACACACGGCGGCCCCACACGGTGTCCACTGCACAGGCACGCGACATTGCAGCTGTGCCATGGTGAAGGCAAGACTGTGACACACGGCGGCCCCACGCGGTCTCCACTGCACAGTCACGCGACATTGCAGCTGTGCCATGGCGACGGCAAGACTGTGACACACAGGGGCCCAAACGTGGGGGGCTCTTCCATTCCTGTATTACTTGATCGAAGAAATCTGTAGGTCAAACGCCCTTGCCAATTACAGTTGCTAGACTTTAAAGTGAAAATGCATTTTCTTGCCCTCACCATTTAAAAGCCAAAGCTCAGAACTTTGAGTTTTAAGTGAAAGTCCCAAATGATGGGATTCAATTTCTTTCCCCCAGGTCACAGCCAAAGGGGCTGTCATGCACGGAGATGAGGGGCCGCACAGGCACTCTGGGGACCTGGGGCTTTCTTTCCTCAGGAGGCCCAGGGGCGCGGGTGAGGTGTCGGTTGCTTTGCACCCAGGCCACGCTGCTTCCAGGGGCCTTGTGGCTGGCAGAGTGGACCTGACGTTTCCCAGACGCCGTTGCGGGGGGCTCCTGTCCTGGGGAGGGCAGATTTTCTCCTGCGTGTGGGTAACTTGTAAGGTGGCAAGGCTGCGTTCCCCGGACCCCCATCTGCGAGGATTCTCTGAGGTCCAGGTTTCCAACGCCTTTCTCTGGAAAGGTTTCGCCTTTGCTTCTCCCAGAAGCTTGGGTTGCCAGGACTCCCTCAAACTAAATTTTTGGCCTGGGGTTTTTCCAGTCATCTAGTGAGCGTGAGTTCTGGCCACACTGCCCCTGAGGTGGGCTTGTGACTGGAATTTCCTGGGGTGACCTTTTTCTGCTTTTCCCACTGCTTCCAGAGCCAAGGCGACGCGCCCACTGTCTCCCAGCTGGGTGGGCTTCCCCAGGCCGTCTGTGGGGCAGTCACCTCCTTGATCCTCCCGTGGGCAGGTCTCACGTCCCCTTTGCCTCTGGTTCCCTGTGTGCGTGGCTCACTCAAGCCAATGGGAAAAACCCGGAAACTCTACAGAGAAGTAGGTAAAATCCATGGACAGAGTGTGTAGAACAAGATAACAAATGGCTCTGAAACATAGGGAAAGAGGCTCGTAGTAAAGAAATGCAAATACAAGCTATGCGGAGATGCAGTTTCTCACATATCAGACTGGCAGAGATTCAAAAGCGCGACTGCGGTGGAGGAGGCCGTGGGAAACTGGCTCCCTCAGACACTAGGAGGGAAACTGTCCTTCACCCGAGGGAGCGGAAGGTGGCAGTAGCTAACAAAATTACACTGGCTTTGCCCCTTGACCCAGCGATTCCATTTCTAGGAATTTCCCCCGAGGTGACACCTCTGCAAATAGGGAACAGTGCATGCTTGAGGGATGCAGCACAGCCTCATTTGTCACAGCGAGACAGTGGGAACGACCTGAGTGCTCATTCACCAGGCAGGGCTGTGCAAACGGGAACAGCCACAGCGCGGGGCATCATGTGGCCGTGGGGAGCCTGGGGGGCCTGGGGGGACTGGGGAGAACTCAGGGAGTCGGAGCACGGGAGGACAGACAGGCTGCTCAGTGTGGCAGGTGCAGCGCCGAGGCCGCCTGCAGGTGGGTGAGAAGGGGGTGTAAGGGGACACACACACACACCACACATGCACATGCAAACCACACACACAAATCACACACACACATAAGCCACACACACAAATCACACACTCAGACGCACCACACACGCACATGTAAACCACACACACAATCACACACCACACACACGTAAACCACACACACAAACCACACACATCAGATACACCACACAGGCACATGTAAACCACACACAATCACACACATGCACCATACATGCACATGTAAACCACATACAAATCACACACACTACACACACACTTAAACCGCACACACAAACCACACACATCAGACACACCACACATGCACATGTAAACCACACACACAATCACGCACACCACACACGCACATGTAAGCCACACACACAAATCACACACATCAGACACACCACACATGCACATGGAGACCACACACACAAATCACACACACCACATACACACATAAACCACACACACACAAATCACACACATTGTACACACACACGTAAATCACGGCACACACCATACACGCACATGTAAACCACACACACACAAATCCTATACACGCACACACACCACACACGTCAACTATACACACAAAAATCACACATTCCTTCACTACACACGCATATATAAACTACACACAGAAATCACACAGGCAGACACACTACACATGCATATGTAAATTACACACACATAAACTACACACACAACCTATACACACAAATCATACACACACTATACATGCACATATAAACTACACACTATACACACACAAATCACCCACATGCACACACACGGCACATACTACACCTACACCTGTGAACTACACACAAACTACACACACAAACTACACACAGATATAGACCACACACACAAAACACACACACATAAACCACACACACAAACTACACACACATAAACCACACACACAAACTATACATACACATATAAACCACACACACAAACTACACACACGTAAACTTCACACACAAACTACACATACATATAAATGATACACAAACTATTCACACACAAACTACACACACAAACCACACACACATATAAACTACACACACAAACTGTTCACACATATAAAAACACAAAGTACACACAAACTATACACACAAACCACACACACATATAAACCACACACACAAAGTACACACACAAACCATACACATACATATAAACCACACACACAAATACACACACATAAACTATACACAAACTACACACACACATATAAACCACATACACAAACTATACACAAACACATAAACTACACACACAAACTACATACACATATAAACCACACACGCAAAGTACACACATGTAAACTGCACACACAAAGTATACACACAAAGTGCACACACATAAGCTACACACAAACCACACACACATACAAACCACATACACAAACTATACACAAACACATAAACTACACACACAAACTACATGCACATATAAACCACACACTCAAAGTACACATTCATAAACTACACACACAAACTATACACACATATAAACCACACACACAAAGTACACACATGTAAACTGCACACACAAACTATACACACACATATAAATCACACAAAGTATACACCTGTAAACTGCACACACAAACTATACACACACAAATAAACCACACACACAAAGTACACACACATAAAGTACACACGAACCACACACACATATAAACCACATACACACACTATACACAAACACATAAACTACACACACAAACTACACGCACATGTAAACCCCACACACAAACTACACTTTCATAAACTACACACACAAACTATACACACATATAAACCACACACACAAAGTACATACATGTAAACTGCACACACAAACTATACACACATATAAATCACACACACAAAGTACACACACATAAACTACACATGCAAACTATACACACACATATAAACCCCACACACAAAGTACACACACGTAAACTACACACAGAAATGATACACATATAAACCACACACACAAACTACACATACATAAACTACACACAGAAGCTATACACACACATATAAACCACACACACAAACTACACACACATAAACTACACACACATAAATCACACACAAACTACACACACAAACTCTACACACACATATAAACCACACACACAACCTACACACACATAAACTTCACAAACTACACATTCATATAAACAATACACACACAAACTACACACACATATAAACCACACACACAAACTACACACACATAAACTGCACACAGGAACTATACACACACACATACAAACTAGGCAAACTATACACACCCATATAAACCATACACACAAACTATACACACATAAACTTCACACACAAACTATCCATTCATATAAATGATACACACACAAACTACACACACACATATAAACCACACACACAAAGTATACACACATAAACTACACACATATAAACTACACATGCAAACTATATGCACATAAACTACACACACAGACTACACACATATAAACTACATATGCAAACTATACACATGCACATAAACCACACACACAAACTGTACACACAATATAAACCATACACACGAGTTACACACACATGTAAACTACATACAGAAACTACACACACACATAAATAACCACCAGGTGGGAGGACTGGGTGGAGTGAGAAGTCAGAGAATCCTTTACATAGGTGTTGACTTTTGAAACACGTAAATGTTTACACGTTCAGAAATAGAATTAAATTGACAAGCACAAAAAAATTGAGCATTGAATTCAAACAGAAATCAATGAACCTAAAACAATTGACAGCAACACCAGATGGAAACAAGAATGGAAGCGGCTTTCGAAGGGGCCTCTGGCTGTGGGGACCCGCAGCTCCGCGTCGCAGGCCGGCTTTGTCGCAGCAGCAGTGCTGCTGTGGTCGTCTGAAACCACTGTCTGTGGATTAAGGGCTGGTCACCCCCAGCAGCTTGGTGGTCCTCCTTGGAACCAGGACTCTTTCTCTCGCTGGGAGGCGGGAGATAGGGATGTGGAACGGGAGACAAAGAGGGTTCCCGGGGGCTTGTGCTTGGACTGGAAGCGGCAGCAATAACTCATAATTCAAAAAACATCCATTTTCTGTCTCTAACCACTGAAAGGAGCTAACATGGGTGCTACCCAAGCACAGAGGCACACGGGTGGTTTCCGAAGCTGTGCGGCACGGTGGGGCCTAAGTCTGGATCTTGGTGGAGGTGGGCACAGGATGAGCCGGAGTATGGATCGCGTTGCGCCAGGAGGGCGGATGCACTTGAGGACAGACGGGGATGCCTCAACAGGCCAAAAAGGCCAGGTGGAAGGGGCTCTGGCGGCCAAATTTGAGACATAGGATGAAGAGCATTGGATGAACAGTATAGTCCATGGCGGCCCTAGAAGGAGGGAGCACTTCCTCCTGGAACAATCCAGCCAACGTGGGAGAGGCGATGGGTTTGAAAGTCCCCATTTGTGCACTCCCCCTGGAATGAACACATTCAGGTGAAGATCAGCAGCGGATGTTGAAGTCGGCTGAATAGCATCCCCAAGGCAGGTGCCTGTCCTAAGCCCCAGAACCTGTAATCACAGGTCCCCTTGTATGGCAAGAGGGGCTTTGCAAATGTGGCTAAGTGAGGGACCTGGAGACGGGGAGGCCACCCTGGATTATCCAGGTGGGCTCTGGTGATCTTCAGGGTCCTTTTAAGAGGGAGGCAGGAGGGTCAGAGCCTGAGGAGGGGATGCAGTGATGGACGCGGAGCTTGGAGGGATGGGGTTTGGAAACGGAGGAAAGGGCCACACATGTACCCAGGAACACAGGCAGAAGGAATGCAGCCCTGCCGACACCGATCTCGGCCCGGTGTGACCCATTTTAGACTTCCGGTCTACAGAGCTGGAAGAGAACACACCTGTGTTGTTTGTGGTAATCTGTTACAGCAGCCACAGGCAACTAACTCGGGTGCCAAAGCCATTGAGTTAAGGGCTGTTGGGGAACAGGATATTCACGCTCCTAGGACCACCAGTTACAAAGGGGAGGGGGGACTTACGCAGGAGCAGCTGGCGACAGTCCTTCCCCCATGACTGGATGTAGCATCACCTGGGAGGTACAGCTGACATGTCCCCTGCTGTGACGGGCGGAGGACAGCGTCTCCTGTGAGTGTTGCTGCACAAAACACCACACCCGAATTTCACGCTGGGCCAGTCCGGGTTATGCTGCATCCTGCCGGACAGCTGGCCAGACCCTGGAAGCCAGTGGTGTCACTAAAGGAAAAGAGCTCGTCTGGTGTAAGAGGCACCGGAGAGCCCTGTCAACGCCTGCAACGTGTGTTTCTCTGGGACTTTTGGATCCTATATACGTATATGTGGCTGGAAAGGACAATTTTGGAGAATTGGGACATTTTGAGTATTTGCTGTGCACTAGGCATCATTATTGTGTCCGTGTTAATAACGAGTTATGTTTTAGCAATGCTGGAGATGTGTGTGTCTCTGTGTCTGTGTCTGCCCCACAGCTGTGGGGGTGAGGGAGGAAGCTGGAGTGCAGGGCACCCTGGTGCTGTTCTCGCAACTGTGTTCTGATTGCCTCTCTTGTGTGCATGCCCCGTGAGCCCCTCTGCAAGTCCCCGGCTAGCATGGCCTGGGGATCCTCTCTGCCTGCTGTTCCCATGACCAGGATGATTCTTCTTCTTTGCTTCTGGGTCTCGCTCTGTTGCCCAGGCTGGAATGCAGTGGCATCATCTCAGCTCACTGCAGCTTCGACCACCTGGGCTCCAGCGATCCGCCCCCTCGGCCTCCCAAGTAGCTGGGATTGCAGGTGCACGCCACCACGCCTGGCTAATTTTTGATTTTTATAGAGATGGGGTTTCGCCATGTTGCCCAGGCTGTTCTCAAACTCCTGTCCTCAAGTGATCCTTCTGCCTCTGCCTTCAAAGTGCTGGAATTACAGGCATGAGCCACCTTGCTCGGCCTTCTCCTTCACGTTTTTTGGGAAGTAGGGAAATAAAAACGCACAGCACCATCTTTTTCCAGTTTGGGGAACTAGCTGGGTGATGAATGGAAGCATATCCGTGTTGTCCAGTGGAATTCCTCATGTGTATACTTGACGGAGGCAGACAGCAGCAGAATCTGGAGCCCGCACCCCATCCTGGAGGTGTGGGGGATGCTGCGTCTGCATCTCCGGGCGGGACCGGGCTCTTGCATTCAGCCTTGGCCTGCAGTGCCCATAGGGACCCGAGGAAGAGCAGTCTGGGCTCCCCAGCTTTGGCTGTATAAAACTCCTTGCACCTGGGTGGCTTAACACACCAGCTATCTTATTTAGCCGATGCTTGTTGGATCAGGTGACGGCTTCCCTGGTCTCAGCTGGTGGCAGTCACTCTGGTCAGCCAGTGGCTTGGAAGTTCTAGATGGTCTCCCTCCCTTGTTTGGTGCTGGGCTTGATGTCAGCTGGAGAGATGGGGATGACCGGGCTGGTGTCACCTTCCAGAGCCCCAGCACCTTCACGTAGAGGAGTCACAGGCTTCCTGCAAGCAAGGGAGAGCCAGCCCCAGGACGCGGTCAGAAGTGGTGCTCTAAGAAGCACAGCAGTGCCCAAAGCTTTGTGCAAAGCGGGTCCCTGCCAGGGGCCTCCCAGGCCCATGCGTGGCCTTGTCCCTGCTGCCCCCTGTCTGCCGCCCGCCTCCGACTGGATGCTCCAACTGGAGCTCCAGGAATCATCCTGGTCGTGGGAACAGCAGGCAGAGAGGATCATGCCCCAGCAGGCCATGCTGGCAGAGGCACTTGCAGAGGGGCTCACGGAGCGAAAACAGAAGAGAGGAAATTAGAACGTAGTTGCAAGAACAGTGCCAGGATGCCCTGCACTTCTGCTTCATGTGAGTGTATGAGGAAGAGAGGCCTCTCTCCTCTGCCTGCACGTGGTGAGCCCCACTGCGAGTTACCCGCCAGCATGGCCTGGTGGGGGGTGATCCCCTCTGCCCTGCTTCTCCAGCCTCTGTGGCACTGCAGGTCGCAAGGCCAGGCTCCTGTCAAGGGGTGGAGAAAGATGGTCTACTCCCCGATGGAGTCTCTGAGTTACATGGACAGATGTAAAGGGGTGTGCACACAGCATGTGAGGTGGGGGCTTGCGGCTGTTTTTGCCCCTTAGCACACACCTCACTCAGCCATCAGTGAAGCATCTGCTGCGTGCCGGTGAACCTCTGGGTTCCGGGATGGGCAATGCCTGGGACGGGGGACATTCCAGTGTGGAGAGCATCTGTCCATGGCTCACAGAACTTGGCTCATGCACCTCCAGCTGCAGAGGGCCAGGCTGAGATCCCACGTCACAGGTATTCCCCGCGTGGCCGGGACACCAAGGCAGGCCCGTGCCTGGGATGCTGGGCCCCTGCTGATGGTCATCCAGATGGCCTTGCGGACCTTCCTCAGCCTCCCAGGGCCCAGGGGCTGCCGCCTGGCCTCCCCGTGTTCGTCAAGGTCTCATGCTCACCAGCCTTCCTGGCCTCTGTGCTGCCACTCAGGGGTGGGTGCATCCCTCCATTCAAAAGTCTCCTTGCACATTTAATCCCGCTTGGTGTCTCCTCTGCAGAGGACCTGGAATAAGATGGCATGAAAACCAGAGTGAGAAGGGCTATGCGGGTGGGAGAGGGCTGTGAGGTGGCGGGAGGGGGTGTGACACAGGTGGGAGAGGGGTGTGAGGCCGACGGGAGGGGGGTGTGACACGTGGGAGAGGGGTGTGAGATGGGGGAGGGGGTGTGACACGGGTGGGAGAGGGGTGTGAGGTGGGGGGAGGGGGTGTGGCACGTGGGAGAGGGGTGTGAGGCGGACGGGAGGGGCGTGTGACACGTGGGAGAGGGGTGACTAGTTTTGGGAAAGTGGCCAGGGAAGGCCTCTCTTGAGGAGGCTGTGTTTATTCTGAGACTCCTGTCCAAGTGATGGAACATGGGAACAGAAAACCAAATACTACATGTTCTCGCTTGTAAGTGGGAGCTAAACATTGAGTACAGATGGACACATGGACACTGGCCCACTTGAGGGCGGAGGCGGGAGGAGGGTCAGCATAGAAAAACCACCTGTTGGCTGGGCGCAGTGGCTCCTGTCTGTCATCTCAGCACTTTGGGAGGCCAAGGCAGGTGGAACACGAGGTCAGGAGTTCAAGACCAGCCTGGCCAAGATAGTGAAACCCCGTCTCTACTAAAAATACACAAAAAAATTTAGCCAGGTTTGGCGGAGGGTGCCTGTAATCCCAGCTACTCGGGAGGCTGAGGCAGAGAATTGCTTGAACCAAGGAGGCAGAGGTTGCAGTGAGCCGAGATCGTGCCACTGCACTCCAGCCTTGGTGACAGAGCAAGACTCCATCTCAGAAAAAAAAACAAAACAAAAAACAAAAAACAAAAAAAAAAAACAAAAAAAAACCACCTGTCGGTACAATGCACAGTGCCTGGGTGATGAAATAATCTGTACACCAAGACCCCGTGACACGCGGTTTACCCGTGTAACAGACCTGCACGTGTATACCTAGAACCTCAAATAGAAGTTGGAAGGAAAAAAAAAGAAACAACAAACAAAAATAATCTGAGACTCCCTGAAGGATGAGAACGGGCTGAGCGGGGCCACAGGAGCCCGCACCGGGTCCGCGGAAGGAACTCACACTCCTGCTTCAAGGTGTGGAAGGCGACCCAAGAGGCGGTACACAGACCGCGAGGGAGCGTGCTGTGAGAAGCTCAGGGAGACAGGGCCTGGGAGGCCAGGTGAGGTGTGGGCACAGCCAGGGAGAAACACTGGTGACCCGAGACGCACGGGAACTCGCAGTCACTTGACCAAGTAGCGGCCACGTTTGCGCCACACTTCCATAAACGTGACCAGTAAGGAAGCGACAAGCCTGAAGGGTCCTGACCATTTATTACTCAGGGTACAGCATGTCCTTATCCCTCTGCCTTGTCCCCCACATCTCAGGGGGCAAACAGAGCAGGTTTGTGTCAGCCGAGGAAACCCTTGATCTTCTAAGGGGACTGCTAGCCATCTCGCCCCCATCTTTGCCACAGAAAAGACGGTATCCTTTTGCCCTGGAAGATAAACCAACGTCTCGGGGAGAGGAGGGGCCGCAGGTTTATTTCCCAGAAATGTGTGCAAATCTGCAGACACAGCAGGGAGGTTTTGCTCTCCTGCATGCCTCCAGCGGGCTCTGGCTTGCAAGAATGTCTCATGCAGGCATTCTTCCAGTGCCCTGTGCTTTGAAAAATACGCAGAAAAGCCAGAATTATGGAGGGCAGCCTCCTGGGCTTGTGGGTGTTGGGCAGGTGGAGGGAGACGTATGGAATCTTCTGGTCTCCAGGCAGCTGTGCAGTGCACCGGTCGGTGGGATCAGTCAAGGAGGTTCAGAGCAGGATGGAGGAACCGCTCCAGGGATTTCCAGCAGAGAGGGGTTTGTTGCAGGGAAGGAGATGGATCCTGGGACCCTGGAGTTCGCACCCCTGCTCTGTCTGCTGCAGTGCTCCGGGGGTACACAGCCCAGCCCAGGGTCGCCCCGGTCATGTGCCCCCAGCACCAGCCCCTGGGCCTTTTATATGTTTCTGGGATGCTGCCTGTCTTCCAGTGCCATCAGGAAAGGCTCGGGGAGCTGGGCCTCACTGGACGCCATACCCCTCCCGCTGGAACAGTGCGTAGGTGTTCCGCCCTCCAGGGCAGACTGACCGCAGGATGAACGCCCCCGCCCCACAGGTGCCCAGCGCTTCACAGCTCACAGAGCCCTTCGACCTCCCTGGCCTGGGATGACCCTCTCAACACCCCCAGGAGGAGACACCGGTGCTGCCTTCAGCAGGGAAACCTGGGCTTGGATAGGTGCAGCGGCTCCTCCAAGGTGGCCAAGCTGCCTGGCCCTCGCTCATGAATTCTGAGTAGCCCCTCCTGTCACTGCCACCCACTGCTCTCCCCGGAGGCCTGTGTGTCCTTTGTTCTCTCCTGAGGATGGCTGTGGCCTCCTCCTGTTCCTGACAGGGCCCGGTGCCCACTGGCTCATGTCAGAGTTCAGGCCTGAGGGGAGGGGTGTTTGTGCTAACAGGAGGCAGAGGGCAGCCTGCCAGTCTGGCCCTGTGGCCACCTGAGCTGTCCCCTGGGACCCGTGGCTTCATGACTCTGACCCAGTGGATGCTGTCTTCATAGTCTGAGTGGGAGCCAGGTTTGACCTTGGAGTGCCTGGGGCATAGAGTCCCTGTCCTCTGGAGGAAGAGATGGTCATCCCTTTTCATGCTGACTGGCCCCAGGGCAGGACCTGCTCTTTTGGACCCTAAAAGGGACAAGGCCTGGTGGCAGAGCAGAGCTGGGGCTCAGGAGAGGGAGACGGGTGGGAGGAAGGGAGGAAGAGGAAGAGAAGGAGGAAAGGGGGAGATGAGGAAGGGGGAGGAAGAGGAGGAGGAGGAGAAGGAAGAGGAGGAGGAGGAGATGACTCAGGCACCCACGGCATTACTGTGGCAGGCTGGCCCTCGGTTTCCCCAGCAGTAAATGAAGAGATGGGGTCAAGGGGCCCAGGCCCCCTTCCAGATCTGAGACCTGCGCATCAGGCTGTCTGTATTCAGAGGAAGCCGGGGATGGCAGCTCCCAGCCGTGGGCTCGGCCTTCATTCACTGTACAGGCTCATCCATTCACCCAGTGAACCCTCCCGAGTCCCTTCATGAGGGCGGCCTCGCAGGGACTTTGGTCTCGGCTCTGCCCTGTCCTGGCCTTGGGACCCTGGGTGAGCTGAGGCAACCCAGTTTCCTGGTCTGTGACTCCAGGCTCTGTCCTCGCCCCATCGCCCCCCATCGTGGCACAGGTTCGAGGGTGTTGGCTTGCCTGGCCTCCTGAGGGCCTTCTGGGGTTAAAGTCTTCTATCCTGAGGCTGAGACCAGGGCTGGGGAGGAGGTTCAGCCCCTGTGGACTTTATCCTCCCTCTCCACGGCTGAGTCTTGATTTACAGCTGGAAGGGCAGACGGAGGCATCTTGGTGTATACACAGCCCTGCTGGGCCACATCCCGGGTCTCCTCCCTCTGCGATGCCATAGCAGGGGCGCCTTCCGAAAGCCCTCTGGATTGAGGCAGCAGGATCTATGGTGGAACCTGCCCCGGCGTCGCCAACGCCCCTAGGACCCCAGCACACTGACTGGGGAGCATCCCTGTGTCGTTTCTGCCCGGAGAGGAGCAGAGGCCAGGCTGCTGCTCTGGGAGGTGAGTGTCATGCCTGGGAACACAGCGGGGACCCCAGGGAGGGAGAGCAGGTGTTTGCTCCCTGGGCTCTGCCTGGTGGTCCTGACAGCAGTCCTGACTGTTGCGAAGGCTGTTTTTTGGTGGCTTCCTTAGGGTCCTCGCTGTGCTCTCGGTCCCAGCACTGTCTGCTCTCCTTCCTGGTTATTTGAATGACCCGGCTCCTGTTGCTGTATCCCGGGTCCTGACCTCCCCTGAGATGGACTCTGTTCAGGCTAGACTGCCTCAAGGGACCCGCTTCAGTCTATTTGTGGCAGAAAAGGTTAGCTGGCTCCTGGGAAATGTCAGGGGATAAGTCAAAGCTGGCCAGCGGCAAGGCCCAGTGACGCCCTGTCATTTTATGACTCCCTTTTCTTAATCAGTCGAGGAGAAAAACAAGCAATGAAGGATTTTCCATGGCAACCACCAGCAGGGCAGTGTTCTCTCCCTACCTGAGCTTGTTTTAAGAAGAGGGGTCTGGCCAGAGGCTGCTGACCCTGGCCCCAGAGGGCAGGGGTCGAGTGTCCTGGAGTGTGACTCCCAGGCACCTGGGCTTGGGCTGGGCCCCTGGAGCAGGCGCAGCTAATCTGGCCAATCTACTCCTTCACACTCATGGAGCAAATGGGGAAACAACCCAGAGAGGGGCAGCCCAAGGAAGCAAATTTGTAGAGCCTGACACTCTGAGAGAGCTCTCAGAAGGATACTAGTCTTCTAAACCAGAAACTTATTCATATAATAATAATAATGTTTATAATAATAACATTATTAATTCCTTCACCATCCACCCACTTACTCACCCTCTTACCCATCTGTCCATTCAACTCATCCACCCCCACATCCAGCCAGCTTCCATCCTATCATACATTCATCCACCTACCCGTCCACCCTTTCATCCTTCCTTTCTTTCATCACCCACCCATCCTCTCACTCATTCATTCATCCATCCACCCATCCATCCATCTACCCATTCATCCACCCATTCATTTATTCACTCTCCCATCCACCCATCCATTCACCCTTTCTTTCTTTCATCATCCATCTATCCACCCATCCATCCATTCATCCACATATTCGTCCACCCATTCATTATTCACTTATCTATCCATCCTTCCAACCATCCATCCATTCATCCACCTATTCTATTCACCCACCCATCCTTTCATGCTTTCTTTCTTTCATCATCCATCCATCCATCCATCCATCCATCCATCCATCCATCCGTCCATCCATCCATCCACCTATTCCATTCACCCACCTATCCATTCATTCACTCACTCATCCATCCATCCACCCATCCGTCCTCCCTTTCTTTCATCACCCACCCATCCATTCACTCACCCATCATCCATCCACCCAGCTAGCCAGCTTCCATGTCTATATCCAACTACTCACTCATCCATTCACCCATCAACCTAACTAAACTTGTTTTCTCCCATGTAACACAATACTTATCCACCCATCCATCCGTCAACCTACCCAACCACCCCATAACACGCCCACATCCTTCCCTTTGCCCATCTGTACACATACTTATCTACCTCTCCTATACCCATATACCCATGACATCCACTCACCCATTCATGCATGATCCTCCTACACATTCACTCACTTACCCATTGACTGCTTCACCTACTTATCCACTACTCCCCATTCACCCATACCCTCATAAAACTTCTATCCATCCATTCTATCCACCTACTCAAACAACCACCTATCAACCCATCTACCCATCAGACTGTGGTCCACCCACCTATCCATCCACCCATCTACCCATCTACCCAAAGACCCATCATCCATCCTCTATCCACCCATCTATCCATCCATCCATCCATCCATCCATCCATCCATCCATCCATCCAAACACCACACATCACTCGTATGACTTTAGAAGCTTTGTCCACAGATTCCAACTCAGCTTTGAGATTTGGATCATCCAAATTTGCTTCCTGGGCTGCCCCTCTGGTCTGTTTCCCCATCTGCTCCACGAGTGTGAAGGAGTAGATCAGCCAGATTAGCTGCGCCTGCTTCAGGACTCCAGCCAAGTTTGGGTGTCTGGGAGCCACACTCCAGGTCTCACCAGGAAGACTATGCCAATCATGGAGAAGTCTGATAAATGCAAAACCCATTTGAACCCCCTGGGTGGGGTTTATAGATGTGCATGAAAGGAACAGGATCAAGTTCTATATGGGGTCGAGGGCTCAAAACCAAACTCTAAGATCTGGAGTCCCTGTAACAATACATAAATAGGTTTCTGCAACTCCCGTCTGTGTGGTAGATGAAAATACCATCAGTACACTGACTGATAATGCTAGTATTTTCTAACCTCCAATTACCTAGATAATGCTGCTCAAATCTCTTAGTTGTTTCCTCAGTGAAAAAAAAAAATGTTTAAACCCAAGGGAATATTTAGAATTAGGTACAGAAATGTTTTATGGTATCAACTTCCAGTATTCATAGTTTTGAGTGAAGGAATCTGGGCGTGTTTGGTATTATAAGCATTTGTGATGTTTAAGAGATTTGGGGTTATTAGAAGGGACAGTTTGGCCTTTTAATTAACATTTGAAATATACACTGAATTACTTGATTTAGACTTATGACTATCAGTTGAAATCATAAAGTTTATATAAAATGTTGGAACATTTAAGAGAATCTAAGTTTCATCATATTAGGAAGTTATGTTTTTAAATTTAAAAGAACTAGTTAATTTGGGAATATTTGTCAGGCAAGATCTAATATATTAAGTTTGTTGATGTAATTAAGTTTTTGAAGGTGTTTTATTAAGTAGTAGGAACTACTGCTAATGAAATAACTTTTAGAAAGAGTTTTGAGATTTCTTAAACTTATAATGATAAGATTTGTAGATTCGGCTCAATAGTTTAAGGGAGAAAAACATACGTTTCTGATTTTGTATCATCAGTACATACAAATTTTAATTTTTTAAAACCCAAAGTAATTTCTGAATAATCTATCATATGTGCAAAAAAAGCCTTTGAGGACATAAAATAAATATCACATTAGCACCATGCCGACTTATTCTCCCATCCATCCATCCAACCACTCACTTATTTACCCTTTACTCTCCCTTCTCTCTATCCTCCTATCCACCTGTCCTTTAACACTCCCACCTACCCACCCATTTATTCATCCATCCATCCATCCATCCATCCATCCATCCATCCATTTCCATCCTCCATCCATCCAACCATCCGTCCGTCCGTTCATCCATCCGTCCATCCATCCATCCATCCATCCATCACCCACCCACCTTTCCATTCATCATTCATCCACCCATTTCCATCCTCCAATCATCCATCCATCCATCCATCCATCCATCCATCCATTTCCATCCTCCATCCATCCATCCATCTGTCCGTCCATCCATCCATCCATCCATCCATCACCCCCCCACCCACCTATCCATTCATCATTCATCCACCCATTTCCATCCTCCAATCATCTATCCATCCATCCATTTATCTACTTGTCCATTCACCCATTCACCTATCTACCTAGGAAATATTTATTAAAGGACCTAGTAGGCAGCAGACACTAGAAAAAAAGTACCTACACCTAAAGGGGAGCTGCTTCTGGACCCACAGACTTTTCTGACTTCTCAGTGTTGGGAGAGACTAGCTCTGTCCCTCTGCTCTGTCATTTTTCCTTGACTTTGCCATCTCGCCCCCTACAGTGATCTGGTGATCATGAGCACAGTGGTTAGCATGTGGGCTATGGTACCAATGGCCTGGGTTGAAATCCCACCTCTACTA
The DNA here is from genome assembly GCF_000001405.40 of Homo sapiens. Classification (NCBI taxonomy): domain Eukaryota; kingdom Metazoa; phylum Chordata; class Mammalia; order Primates; family Hominidae; genus Homo; species Homo sapiens. The sequence continues at coordinate 3,580,906 of NC_000004.12, forward strand.
TTTGCTCGCTGGATGACATTGGTCCACGGAGACAAAGGAGCACCGACCTCATAGGCTCCTGGTGAGGGCCACGGGTCAGTGCGTGTGGGCGTGTGTGGGAGCAGAGCCTGGACTGTGGCCTGCCCCTGCCAACACTGCCCATGCTGAGCTACAGCCAGGCATCCTGCTAGATGCTGGCTCATCCCGACATGTGTGTGCATTGAGGCGGGGTAGCCTCTGGGGGTTCTGGACACAGACCAAAGTCCTACTGCGGCTGTGAAGAGAGCTAAGTGGGGCTGAATGTGTTGCTCTGAGAAATGAAGAGAAGGGGGTGGCTTTCCATTTTGAACAGCCTCTGCCCCACCAAAGGGAATCCAGTCTCTCTGGGGGCTTTCCTCTAAGCTCTCCCTGCACTGCCCTTAGGGCCTGACAGAGCCAGGTCTGGGCTGCAGGGACTGACCAGGAATAATGAGCTGGCCTTGGAAGGCACAGTAGACAGCCCATTCCCATAGCTCCTCCCAGGGAGCACAGGGTGCAGAGAGGCCTGGGGAGAGGCTGTTTGTGCCCCCAGCGTGGGTCCCTCAGGTGCGGCCCCAGCCCTGGCTCCAGATGGGGCTCGAGAATCAGCCATCTTCCCTGCGTTCTGCGGGGCTGCCCTGGTCCTGCGGCCCCATGGCCCCTGTGGTCATGTTGAATGCTCTCAGCTCCAGGTTCACCTGAGACCCTCTGCCTGCCTGTCCCGAAGGCTGCTACCCTGTGGCGTGGGGAGCTCCTACTGTCCCCATCCACCGCCATCTGCCAGGCCCATGGTCCCTCTGGTGCCAGGAGCCTGCTGGTCACTCTGCCTGTCCTCTGGGCAGCCTGGTGGGGATGGTCCCCTGGATCCTCAGAGCCTGCCCCTGCCCCACCCAGCTGCCTCCTCCAGGCTCTCACAGCGGGCATGGCTGGTCCTGTATTATGTTCTAGAACAAGGCCGGGCACAGGCAGGGGGCATGGTGCAGGCACCAGGCAAAGCCTGTTTCCTGCCGTGGGGCTTGGGTAGGTGCAGAGCCTGCAAGTCTGATTCTTCTGTAAAGGGAGGGGACCAATATGTCCTCAAAGGGGGCTGGAAGGAGGGGCGGGCGGAGCTGGAGTCTGAGTCAGTGGGGACAGGGGCACACTGAAGGGTGGTCAAAGCAGACTTTCTCCCATTTCTGTGACCGGGGCTGTGCCATGCCTTGGAGGAGAAGAGGTGCCTGCCTGGGCTCTTTCCTGGGCTCCCGTAAGAGGAGGTGCGATGAGGGGACTGGTCAGAGATGGTGGAACCCTTCCGGTGCAGGGAGGTGTCTGCCAGGCACAGCTGCAGGGCCTCTGTGGCCGTCACAGGTGCAGCCCCATGCATGACTCAGTCAAATTAGATACCTTCAGGGAGGGCCCTGGCCTCCGTGCTTCTGGTCTCCTGGCAGTCTGGTCCCAGAACTGGGCTCACCCCTGGTCCCTCTGCACTTTTGCACCTGCACTCTCTCTGTACAGGGCAAGACAGCCCCTCCCAGACCAATGGGCAGAGCAGGGCATCCTTGTAAACAATATGATTTTATTGTCATGAAGTGAATGGCACACACGAATGGTAATGTGAGCCCCTGGAGCGACACGCTATTGCCACCATCCCAGAAACTTCCTGGGTTCCTTCCCTCTCCCCTTGGGGACCACTCACCTGACTTTTGGGGTAATCATTTTCTGCCTTTTAGTTACAATTTTCCCACCTACGTAGGCACCCCTAAACAGATGCTTAGTTTTTGTCTGTTTTCGAATGCTACCTGATGGGATCACATCCTGGGAATGCTTCCGTGACTCATTTCTATTGCTCAGACGACTCTTCTTTGCAGATGTGTGTAGCTGTCGCTGTTCATTTTCCTGGCTGTGTAGTATTCCATGGTATGCCTGCACCACTAAAGAAATGCTGCTGTGACCACTGTAAACATTGGAACCATCTTTTCCAAGCAGGTATTTACTGAAAATAGCCAGAGCTACTTTGTCAGCAGTTTGGACAGCTTCAACTTTACTAGATACTGCTGAATGATTTTCTAAAGTGCATACCCAGCAGCAACCTATAAAAGGTACTGTTGCTCCACATCCTTGTCAACACTTGGTTTTGTCTGAATTTAACATTTTTAAACTTTTTTTCCTTATTAGAAATGGGGTCTTGCTATGTCACCCAGGTTGGCCTCGAACTCCTGGGCTCAAGCAATTCTCCCAGCTTCCTGAGATTTTACTATGTTGACGGTCTAGTGAATGTGAAGTAGCACTAGCTGTGGTTTTAGTTTGCTATGGTTTTAATTTGCATTTCCTTGGTAGGGAATGAGGTTCTGCATCTTTGCCTATGTGTATTTGCCAACTGGATTTTCTTTTATGTGAAGCACCTGTTCAAGTCTTTTGTCCATTACATATTTTTTGTTTTTTGGTGACTAGTTACAAGAATTCTTTATATATTTCCTAAGTGACTCTTTGCCAATTATCCGTCCTGCAGACATCTTCTCCCAGTGTGTCTTATCTTTCCATTTCAATGCGGTGTCTGATGAACAGAAGTAGTACATTTTAATGAAGTCCAATTAATTCCTCTTTTGCTTTATGGCTTGTGTCCTTTGTGTCTTGCTTAAGGAATGTCTCTTTACTCTGAAGTCAGATTTTCTTCTTTATGCCTTTCCAAAAGGTCTGTGGGTTCATCTTTCATATTTAATCCACCTGGTATTGATTTTTGATTTAAAATTATTTTTTCTCAGCATTGACCTTTGTGGACAGTACAGAGCAGGAGTGTAAGTAATATTTTTCCCTCTATGGATAATCAGTTCTCCAAACTGATTTTAAATGGGACTGTCTTGTCCCCATCGATCTGCCTGTCTCCTCCAGCATCCAGGCCTGCTCTGTTTCCGTCTGGTATGCGTTACCTGTGTGCCGATACCTAATTGTCTGCTTTGCTAAGGCTTTAAAGGAAATCTTAGGGAACAGAAAGACCAACCTTCCCGCTTTTTATTCTTCATTAAGAATATTTTGGCTATTCCTGGCTCTTTTTAAAAAGTTAAAAAAGATCTTTATTGGGCACCAGAATCAGAATAGGTTTACAGTGGTGCCTGCTCCAATTCCATGTAAATTTTAGAATCATCTTGTTAAAGTCTACAAACACACACACACACACACCCATGTGCACACACATGCACATACATGCACCCATGCACACACCCATGCACACACATATGCACATGCGTGCACACTCACACACATGCACGCACCACTTGGGATTGTGATTGGCATTGTAGTGGCTCTACACATCATTTTGGGGAAAAATTGGTATCTCTGTAATATTATTGAGTTTTCCAATCCATATACATGTTTATTTTTTGAAAACAAGTATGTTTTATTTCTCCATTTATTTAGATCTTCATTCATGACATGCAGTAAAACTTCTTATTTTTTCTCTGTGTATCTTGCACGTATTTTGTTAGGTTTATTCCTAGATACTTCTTGCCAGCTGTACTACTGTAATGGTCTCTGGGATGGTTAATTGTATGCCAACTTGGCTGGGCCACAGTGCCCAAGTACTTGGTCAGGATGTTGCCGTGAGGCTGCTTTTCGGATAAGATACACACTGAAATCAGCTGACCTTCAGTTAGGCAGACGGCGCGCCATAATGTGGGTGGGCCTCGTCCAATCAGGTGAAGACCTGACTAGAACACAGACCGACCTCCCCAAGGGAAGAGGGAATTCTGCCAGCAAGTGGCCTTTGGACTCAAACTCCAACTGCTCCCTGAGTTTCCAGACTGTCAGCCTGCCCTGCAGACTTTGGACCTGCTACACCTCCACAATTATGTGGGCCAATTCCTTAAAAAAATCGGTGGCTCACGCCTGTAATCCCAGCACTTTGGGAGGCCAAGGCAGGTGGATTATGAGGTCAGGAGTTTGAGACCAGCCTGGCCAACATGGTGAAACCCCGTCTCTATTAAAAATACAAAAATTAGCTGGGTGTGGTGGCGGGCACCTGTAATCCCAGCTACTTGGGAGGCTGAGGCAGGAGAATCCCTTGAAACTGGGAGGCAGAGGTTGCAGTGAGCCGAGATCGTACCACTGCACTCCAGCCTGGGTGAAAGAGCGAAACTCTGTCTCAAAAAAAAAAAAAATCAATAATCTCTCTGTGTACACAAACACGTGCACACACACACATGCACGATGCGTACACACACAGGCACATGCATGCATGCACGTACACACACATCTTGTTGGTTCTGTTTCTCTGGAGAATCCTAACTAATACAGTATCTTTTTTTGTTTTTGTTTTTTTGAGACAGGGTCTCACTGTGTCACCCAGGCTGGAGTGCAGTGGCGTGATCTTGGCTCACTGCCAAGCTCTGCCTCCTGGGTTCAAGTGATTCCTGTGCCTCAGCCTTCCGAGTAGCTAGGACTACAGGCGTGTGCCACCATGTCTGGTTAATTTTGTATTTTTAGTAGAGATGGGGTTTCACTTTGTTGGCCAGGCTGGTCTTGAACCCTTGACCTCAAGTGATTTGCCTGCCTTGGCCTTCCAAAGTGCTGGGATTACAGGTATGAGCCACCATGCCCAGCCCTAATACAGCATCATTTAAAAAGTTATAGTTTCTATTTTTTTTTGTTGCTCATATATGGCAATACAACAGATGTTTGCATTTTGGTTTGTATCTAGCAAACCTGCCAAACTCATTAACCCAAGTGCTTTACTTGCAGCTCCTTCTGAATTGTTCTTGACAGAATCAGACAGACCTGTGGTCAGTCACCCTCTTTTCAGACTTTACTCTGTATTTTCCTCTCTCTCCTTCCGGGTGTCAACATGGATGTGTGCCAGACCCTTTCTGCCGGCTTCCCCTCCTCCCATTTTCTCCTCCGCACTTTCTGTCTGACTTCCTGTGCTGCGTGGAGAACGGCTTCCGCTTCCCCCAGGCTCATCCATCCTCTCCTCTGCTGTGTCTGCTCTGCAGTCAAATGCATTCATTGCCTTTGAATTTCAGTTATGTATTTTCATTCTAGGAGAGCTTCTCAGGGTGGGCGTAGTTATTTTTTGAATCTTTTTGGTCCTTTAATTTCTCGTCCTCTGTGTGTGATAAGGCCATTATCTGATTATCTGAATTCCTTTTTTCTTGAGTCGGAGTCTCACTCTGTCACCCAGGCTGGAGTGCAATGGGGCGATCTCGGCTCACTGCAACCTCTGCCTCCCAGGTTCAAGCAATTCTCCTGCCCCAGCCTCCCAAGTAGCTGGGACTACAGGTGCATGCCACCATGCATGGCTGATTTTTGTATTTTTAGTAGAGACTGGGTTTCACCATATTGGTCAGGCTTGTCTCGAATTCCTGATCTCAGGTGATCTGCCAGCCTCAGCCTCCCAAACTGCTGGGGGTCCTGTGGTACAGAAGGGATCTGTGTTTACTTCTGCCGTGTTCCTGAAGGCCCTGTCAGTCCCTACTGAACTCTAACCCAAGCTCTTGGAATAAAGCTTCTTTGTCAGTTTATCAATGTTCACAATTTACCACAAATTACCCAGGATTTATTTTATTTGATTTTGTTGTGTGGGAGGCATGAGTAAAGGTCATGGCCTGCCATAGTGTAGGAAAATGGAAGCCGTGGGCCTTGTTTAAAACAAGCTAAGAGGCGTCGAATGTAAGGAGTTTCCCGTTCCTTAGGTTGTGGGTGAACCTGTGCTCAGAACAGCCCAGATGGCTCTGCCAGGGTGGGAGCCACAGATGAGAGTCCCAGATGAGACTTCCAGCTTTCCTGCTGTGGTGTATGCCCAGGTGCTTCTGATAGGACAGTGCCAACAGCAACAACAAGGAACGCAGCTGCAGCAGCGGGGGCCCTGGGCAGGCGGCCTGCCCTCACTTAGGCCACCATGTGCCTGTCGAAGTGCGTAGGAGCCTGGAGCTGCCATCACTGCTGCTTTATAACTGTGGGCACCGAGGTTAAACAGTTTGCCCCTGGTCCCGGGCTGGGATTTGGCTGGGCTGGGCCGGCTCAGCCCCTGCAGGGTTCTCACCTCTGCACCTACCTGGACCTTCCTCTCATTCTCAGCTTCTGGTGAAAATGGAGCTTCTGCCCCGAGGCACCGGGCCTGGCAGTCCTTCCCTGAACACCCCAGCATTGAAACAAGA